>NC_000004.12:47170954-47480378 GCF_000001405.40 Homo sapiens | reverse complement strand
ATTAGAAAACATATAAGAAAAAATGTTCACTGAAGCAAGCAAAAGATAAGAATTTTTAAATGTTTTATGAGGATATTGTATATGAACTCAAAGTTTAATATTTTTCTCAATACTTCAAATTTTAGTTTTTAACAATTCTGTAATACAAGGAAAACACAATGAAACTTTATACCAAGCCCCACAGAGATCAGTTAGTTTACTTCATGAGGCTGTACAGGTATCATTTTTCATGAGTGCTAGCACATGAAAAAGTACTAAAATCTCTCTGCTGTATTATCCTCCAACCTGTAACGAAGTCTGCTCTGACCACTGCCCCTATCAATTGGGTCGGGAAAGTTGGGAAGGAATGTCTGCCTGAGAGGAAGAGGCCAGAGAAAAGATGGCAAACTTGGAGGCTATATGACCAGTTAGGATTAAAAATTCATGGGAAGGTCGGGCGCAGTAGTTCACACCTGTAATCCTAGCACTTTGAGAGGCTGAGGCGAGCAGATCACTTGAGGTCAGGAGTTCGAAACCAGCCTGGCCAACATGGCGAAACCCTGTCTCTACTAAAAATACAAAAAAATTAGCCATATATGGTGGTGGGCACCTGTAATCCCAGCTACTTGGGAGGCTGAGGCAGGATAATTGCTTGAATCCGGGAGGCGGAGGTTGCGATGAGCCGAGATTGCGACACTCCAGCCTGGGCGACAGAGCAAGACTCCGTCTCAAAAAACAAAACAAAACAACAACAACAACAACAACAACAAAAATTCACAGGAAGCACAAATTCTGGCTAGGAAATGATTAACCCCTCCTTTCTCTGTGAATCTTGTAATCAGGAGGAAGTTCTAGCTATTTTATTTGAATTTTGAGGGATAAAGCAACCTTAGAAGGCAGAAAGAATTTGAAATATGTGGATTAAAAATCAATTCTACAATCACTAGAAAAAGTTGGACCAAAGTGAATTAAGTCTTCAGTTTCAACCCCTCTGTACCCAGAACTTTGTATATTTTGTTCATTCACTTATTCATTGAACAAATATTAATAGAGCACTGAATATGTGGCAGGCACCATTTCGGGCGCAGGGAATATACAAAACAAACAAAAAGCCTTGCTCCTTATTGGATGGATGTAAAATATTTAATATAACAAATGGCAATGTGTGCTATGAAGAGCACTGCAAGGTGAGGAGGAGAGAGAGTGCCAGAGTAGGGGAGAGGGATAGCTTTTGATTTGGGGAAGGTCTTACCAAGAATGTGACATTTAAGCAAAGATCTGAAGTAGGTGAGCGAGAGAGCCATAAGGGTGTCTGGGGATGGAGCATTTCAGGGAAAGAGAACATGCAGTGCCTCGAGGCAAGGGTGTGCCAGCTATGCTGGAGAGGCAGTAAAGCACTGGCGTGCCCAGGGCACTGTGATGGGGGAACAATGTGGAGGTGTCAGTGGGAAGTAGTAAAAGTGACATCAGAGCCATAAAGTCATGGAAGACTTTGGATGTTACCCTGTGTATACTGCAAATATGTAGATAGGTTTTGAGTAGAGGACTGATACCGTCTGGCCTGTGTTCCAACAGGATCCCTCTAGCTTTTTTTGTTGCCAATAAACTGTAGGGAGCATGGTTGATGCTGGGAGACTAGTCAAGAGGTGATTTTAACAATCCTGGGGAGAGGTGATTTTGGCCTAGGTTAGAATTGTAACTGTGAGGGTGGTGGTCAGCTTCTGGATATATTTTGAAGGTAGAGCTAATAGGATTGTTTGTAAATTGTGTGTGAGTTACAAGAGAAAGAAAGGAATCAGGGATAATTCCAAGGTTTGGGGTGGAACAACTGGAAGACAGAAGTTTTTAAATTGTCCTGATTATTGCTTACCTGCAGAATAATTTATTGCTAACAGTCCCTGGATCTGACCCTGATGGGGATGGTAAAGAGTATGTGTGTGTCGGGGTGGTAAGGTTTTTATTTTGTTTTCATAAGTGCCTCAGTATCTGATAATTGGCCACTTGGAATCAACAGTTATGAAGCATGTATTCCTTTAAGGATAAGTCTAGCCGGGCACTTTGATCCCCTGATAGTATTACTGCTAAAAGCCAATTATATAGCAATACATTTTTTCTTTACTTATTTGTTTCCCATTTAGATACATTTTTTGAAATATTTCACTCTTCAGTTCAGTATCTTTAACAGAATCTTGCAAAAATTTCAAAAGAGAAACTAATGATTTCAAAGTTCAAAGTGAAGTTTCAGAGGGGCTAGCAGAAGTTTTATATAGGATTTGTCATTTCAATGGGCCTTAAAATGTGAGCAAGAATATCCTGATGGAGAAAACGAGGAAAAGCTTCTGGCTAAAAACAAGAAACAAGAAGAAAAACACAAAGATGTTAGAGTATATGGCATATCTGGGAATTTTAAAAATATTTATGTGGTCAGAATATTGTAGAGAAGGAAAGAACAAAAATTAAGGCTCCACTGTGAAGGTTTTCAAGAAGGAGAGTTGTGGTCCGACCAGGGCTGTAATAAAGTAACCTAAAATAATGGGTAGTGTGGCACTGCAGTGTGAGTGAAATGAAACGAAGGCCTGAAACAAGAAACTGGCAGTGAGTGTGGAAAGGATGGTATATATTCAAGAGTTTGTGCAAGGCCAAGTCTTCCCTGTTATGACAAGAAAAATGAGAAGGAACAGAGCTCCATCCAACAATTTAGGTTGTATGCTGGCAGGAATGTTACTGCTCTGCAGGAATGGGGTCAGTCAGCGGGTCCTGAGCTCTTCAGAAGATCCCTGACCTGGATAGGCTATACTACCTGATGTATTTTTGGTCTGACAGATGAAACAGCACTTAAATTGCAATAGGAAGTGATATTACTCCGTTCATTTAGTTGCCTTATAAAAAGTCTAGTGCAAGTTTCCATGCTGAATGTAGTGATATCCCTGCCATCTACTAGGTGAAGTGTCAAATCTCCTTTTTGAGTGATTTTGCTGATCAAGTTCCATTATCAGGATGTTCATTCATGGAAATATAACAATAGAAAGTCACTAGGGCCATGGAATTCATACTGATCTCCTGTGTGCCATGGAGGGGCACACAGTGAACTTCAAAGGTGCTGGTCATGTTCTACCATTTCTTTTTTTTTTTCTTTTTTTTTTATTATACTTTATGTTTTAGGGTACATGTGCACATTGTGCAGGTTAGTTACATATGTATACATGTGCCATGCTGGTGCGCTGCACCCACTAACTCGTCATCTTTTTTTTTTCTTTTGAGACGGAGTCTTGCTCTGTTGCCAGGCTGGAGTGCAGTGGTGTGATCTTGGCTCATTGCAACCTCCGCCTCCTGTGTTCAAGTGGTTCTCCTGCCTTAGCCTCCTGAGTAGCTGGGACTACAGGTACGCGCCACCACACCCAGCTAATTTTTGTATTTTTCACAGAGACGGGGTTTCACCATATTGGCCAGGATTGTCTCTATCTCTTGACCTTGTGATCCGCCTGCCTCGGTCTCCCAAAGTGCTGGGATTACAGGCATAAGCCACCATGCCTGGCCAATGTTCTACCATTTCTTAAACTCAGTGGTGGTGTATTAGGGTTCTCCAGAGAAACAGAAGGAACAGGATGTGTGTGAATGTGTGCGTGTGTGTATGTGTCAGTATAGGAAAAGAAAGAGAGAAATATTTATTTTTAGGTTAGCTCACAACACTGTGGGGCTATTAAATCTAAAGTCTGCAGAGCAGGCCAGCAGGCTGGAGACCCAGGGAAGAGTTGATGTGGCAGTTCCAATTAGAAGGCAGTCAGCCAGCAGGATTCTCCCTTTTGCGGGTGGGGCCGGGGGGCGGATAGGAGGAGGGGAAGATCAGCCTTTGCTTATTAAGGTCTTTAGCTGGTTGGATGAGGCCCACCCACATTATAGAGGATAATCTACTTTCTAAAAGTCTTCTGATGTAAATGTTAATCTCATCTAAAAAATACCTTCACAGACATATCTAGAATAATGTTTGACCAAATATCTGGTACTGTGGCCCAGCCAAGTTGATACATAAAATTAACCATGACAAGCGTGTACATGAGTCTTCCTTTAAACTATAACTACACATTAAAAATAAAAACAGGCCAGGTGTGGTGGCTCATGCCTATAATCTTAGTACTTTGGGAAGCTGAGGCAGGAGGATTGCTTGAGCCTAGGAGTCTGAGACCAGCCTGAGCAACATTGTGAGACTCCGTCTGTACAAAAAAATTAAAAATTAGCAAGGTGTGGTGGCACTTGCCTATAGTCTCAGCTACTGGGAAGGCTGAGGCTGGAGGATCACTTGAGCCCAGGGAGTTTGAGGCTGAAGTGAGCAGTGATCACAACACTGCATTCCAGCCTGGCTGACAGAGCTAGACCCTGGGTCAAAAAAACAAAACCAAACCAAAAACAAAGTAAAGGGAAGAATCTAGAAAACATCCTAACTATTGCCTTTGTCGGCCAGGCAGGCAGAGTTGAGAGGCAGAAAGGAGGGCTGCCCAGACCCCCACAAGAGGCTGACTCCCTTGCTGTATCTGAAACTGCTTCTGCTGGCACCTGCTGGCATTGACTATTGCTATTATTTAAATCCACCCAGGCTATCATGTTTCATGTTCAGACTAATTTGAATCATTTGTCATGTAGAAGACACAATTCCTGAACTCACAGTAAGCGCAGAGCAAGGCAAATATGTATTATTCTGTTCACCAAAATGATGTTTCTTAAAAATGATGTGTTTATTGAAGTTCCATAAATCAAAGTTTATTTCAAATGCCTTAGAGAAGCTTATTGTTAAAGAAGGCTGGTGATGAATTCCTTTACAATTTCAAATTTTGCTATGTTCCTTTTCTTATAAAAGGGCAATTATTATGTGCAGTGTACTCTACTAGCCTGCTAGATTCTGAGTGGTTCTTTACATTGTCCCTTGATAGGCTATTATTTTGTACAAAATCCATTTGCCATCATTAGCATATGCCCTTTGTAAGAATTCTTGACAATGTTTTCATGTGTGTGTACCTTTTATTAAACCAGCTTTTACAAATGCTAACAGAGACAGCTTATATTATCCTTTTAAATGCTCTTGATTTACATAGTTTAATCTGTGCTAAAATTCATTTGATATTTTGGAAAATATTTCTCTGCATAAAAACAGGTTAAAATAAAATGAGTTTAACAAAAATGAATTTACACAAGTGTCTGTGTTCTTTTTGTGTTAATTTTTAAGATGTACTATCTCCAGCATATACTTTTTACTCCCCATTCTCCCTACGTTCCAGCATGTCAAGTGGACACTCTGTTTTACTATCAAAGAAAGTCAACACTTGATTAGCTCTATTGAATTGTGTTCTGATGATGTCGATGCGGTAGCCAGTGCTTGAGTCTGGATTGGACTTGACCACTGGTGACTTCAAATTCTGAGGACCTCTGTTTCCTCTTCTGTAATAGGAAGTCTGATTAGATGCCTTTTGAGGTTAGGTTGGCTTCTAAGATGGTAATTATCTGTCCAAGTTTTTGTTTCCTATAATTTAGCAACAATATCAACAGAAAGGCTATATTAGAAAATTCTACCTGCATCCCCCTGGATCTGAACGTTCTTCATGATACTATAAATAGAAATCTCTTTATTCTTGGCATCAAATTTTGATTTACAAATTTACTCATTTTTGGATACATACTGACATTGGGTTTTATTATCTGTCTTTTTGATTTGGGTGATTCCTTCCAACTAAATTGCCGTGCTTATCCATTTCTGCCTATGGATATTGAACCCATCTCCCAAATCCTGCTTCTTCCTTTACCTGAAGGTCTTTGATCACCCTGACAGTGAGTTCTCCTTCTTTTAAACTCCTGGCTTAGACCCACCATGTGACATTTGTCTTTATTTTTATTTTGTTTTTGGAATTTAACTAATCTAGAAAAATACAAAGTCCATAAAACAAATTCATATTATCTTACCGTTCAGAAATTCAGAATGAATTACAGTTACCATTTTGGATTTTATGCCTCTAATCTCTTGTTTCTTGTTTTTTTTTTGTTTTGTTTTGTTTTGAGACTGGGTCTCGCTCTGTCACCCAGGCTGGAGTGCAGTGGCGAGATTTTGGCTCACTGCAACTTCCTCCTCCTGGGCTCAAGCTGCCCTCCCACCTCAGCCTCCCCAGTAGTTGGGACTACAGGTGCACACCACCATGCCCGGCTAATTTTTTTTTTTTTTTTTTTTTGGTATTTTTTGTACAGATAGGTTTTGCCATGTTGCCCAGACTGGGCCTTAACTCCTGAACTCAAGCAATCTGCCCACCTCAGCCTCCCAAAGTGCTGGGATTACAGGTGTGAGCCACCATTCCCGGCCTCTCTTGTTTCTTTGATGAAATACTATAGATATCACTAAAGTCCTCTTCAACACCAGTCCAAGTCTCATTGCCAGAAGCTACATGTACATATGTAAACTTCCAGATTATTTAAAAAATACACATATATATGCTTGTAATTTTTTTGCATTTTAACTTATGTGCATGGTTGTTATATGGTATGACAATATATAGTTCCACATCTTACGTAGGAATGTGGATCTGAGAGTTCCTTTAGGAGGAAGAAAGTACAGAAAGAAATGTTTCCTTTTTAATTTCCTGATATAAACCAGACTATGCAAGGAAAATCTGCAAAATACTTTAATTATCTCCAGGCCTTTTCTAACTTTCCTCTTCGGTTCTCTCAAGGATTGAATACGCTCATGCTAAGCTTTGCTGCTCCAAGCTCATTGTTGAGGAATTTCTCTGATAGCCCTTCTGGCCCATCTACATTCTTCAAAATTACCTATTTATTTGACTTTGACCAAGGCTGCCTTAACATTCCCCAGCTTGACTAAACTTTAGATCAGCTTCTTCCCTGACACTAGACCCCTGACCTCCATTTTTGTACAGCATATTTAGAAAACCTGTAACATATTTTCCTGCCCCTTTGAAATATAAATCTTTCAATCAGTCTCTTGTCAGTTTTAAAACTTACGAATGTATTTCTCAAGAACCTTTGAGCCATGTCTTTGAAATGTAATCAGCAAATCAGATAGTCACTCTATCTTTCATAACTTTGGTGGGTACCTTCCTCCAAGTTGTGAAACTGCATCCTGTCACAAAGATATGGGAAAATTTACTTTTCTTTTGAGTAAAACCAATTAGTAAACACATATAACTTATACACTCCCTCTCACTTCCAACACTTAGAAATCCTACTGTCCTTTGTTTCAGTGGTGTTGAGTTTGGATTGAGTTCTGGCCCCTCTCCGCTATTGGAATAATGTTGAATAGAGTCTTCCTTGCCTGTTTAACATTGTCCAATACAATTTCTGTTTTGACACTTTCAATGTTCTACCCAAATCAAGATTCCTATTTCATAATGGTTCTTCAAACAAAATGTCAAAAGGAAAGTAATCATAATCAAAACTTCAGTGACTTACATGAATGGCCAGTTCTTTCTTGAGTATCATAGGGGCTTTCATATATTTTAAAAACAGCTATCTGTTAATTCACATATATTTCTGAGCTCCTTCCAAGCAATGTAACAGCAAATAATTTAAATATTTTAGGCAATAGAGCCAGGATATTTTGGTCAAGGATAAAATTTTGGACCATCCTTTGTGGCTTTATGCCCTTGATTTTCAATTTCAGCTGCACATTAGAATTAGATGTAAAGAACATATGCTGCTGGGTCCAACCCCTGGAGATTCTGATTTCATTGGTTGTAGGTGTGAGCTGGTCATAGGGATTTTGAAAAGCTCCTCAGTGGATTCTAATTTCCAGTCAAGGTTGGAAATCACTGCCTACCCTTTACATCGTTGTTTTTTTGTATTTTCCCAAGTCGGAGTCTTGCTCTGTTCACCCAGGCTGGAATGCCGTCGTGCAATCTCAGCTCATTGCGACCTCCACCTCCTGGTTTCAAGTGATTCTACTGTCTCAGCCTCCCGAGTAGCTGGGATTATACGAGCTTGCCACCACGCCCAACTAAATTTTGTATTTTTAGAAGAGATGGGATTTCACCATGTTGGCCAGGCTGGTCTTGAACTCTTGACCTTGTGATCTGCCTGCCTCGGCCTCCCAAAGTTCTGGAATTACAGGCGTGAGTCACTGAGCCCGGCCTTCATAGTTTATTAAAGCACCTCTTCTATTTCCGAATTCAACAAACACTTTTTGGGAGTCAGCTTTGTGCCAGACACTGTCTAGATACTCAAATGAATGTGGCATGGCCTCTGCATTTCAAGGAGCTCTCAGAAAAATGGGAAAGTCAGAATATGAAGAAACAGCACAATGCAATAAGGACTATAATAGATGTTTATTCAAAGAGTTATGAAAACACAGGTGAGACAGCAATTAAAGTTCTCTGGGGGTTGTGTCTGAATTCATTAGGCGAACTAGGTGTGCATGGAGAGAGTGGCAGGAAGAAGGAGGGGAGATTCTAGGCAAAGGAAACAGTAGGAACAAAAGTCCAGGATCAGAAAACCACCATTCTCTAAATGTTCTAAAGGCCTCCTTTGTTATTGCTGCTGCTGCTGTTGTGACAACATTTGGTCTAAGCCAGGTGATCTCTTGGTTAGTAAAAGGTTACATTTGCATTTTCCAGATCTTCATCTTTTCTATGAAGTTTTGTCCACATCACTGTATCTCAACACTGACCTATGTCAAAATTATCTGGGGAGTTTTGTAACAGCAATGACGGAAGATTGGTGTTAGTAGTCAAAGAGACTCCGACAATATTTGTCTGCAGGGTATGACCTTTTCTTTCTTTCTTTTTTTTTTAAAGCTCCCCATGTGTCCACTACAAACAGGCATTAAGGATCATTTTGGGAGACATAGTGATAATTGCATTCCTATACAAATTTAGAAAACCTCGCTTGAGTAAACTTAGCCAACCTGTATTTTAAATGGGTAGACTTTATGGTATGTGAATTATAAAGCTATTTTAAAAGTACAAAACAAAAGTGTGACACATTTAAAGTTAAAAATCAATACTCAAAAATTCCCTGGGTTGACGAATGTGCTTCTTTGATTAAGAACCACTGGCTGAAATCCTAACAGCTTACGGATGTGGTGGTTGTAAATACAGGGCTTAAAAGGGGTAGCAATTGGGAGGCAGGAGGTTTTACACGCACAGAACCTTCACCAGAAAGATTAATTGAAAACCTGGTGTGCCATTAAAGAATGCCAGCCCCTGAGGATATAGCATGTATTACATCTTAGGTCCAAAATTGCAGCTTATTAAGTATTTCACTTTAACAGAGCGATTTCAGCTTTTAATGTATTGTTTTCTTTAGTGCTACACTGAAATAAATGTTATGGGCTCCCTCTATTGCTCTTCTTAAATCAAAGTATCTGTTTATTTTAAAGATCTCTTTAATGGAGATCTTAAGTGGCTCAAGCTACAAGATTATTTTTATCTACAAAAATATAATGAAATAAAGAGGTGTTAACATTTCTGAGTTACATATGATGCCCTAAAAGAAAGACAAAGGCCTTCAGTTTATTAAGTTCATTGACCAGAATGAAATGAGACACTTATCAAACTGATTTCTAAGAACCAGTTTTTATAGGCAAACAAATCTGTCTAGGTTTATACAGACAAGATTAAACTCATCACCTTGCAAATCTTTGCCAATTCGTCATTCATAACTTCTTTTAATGCAATAGAGCCAATGCCAATGTAACATTCAAATATTTTCTATATGGTTACAAGACCATAATTAAACTCCTTTGAACTTTAAGCCCCTTTCCTCTCAGTAGTTTATGAACAGGAATAATTTTGTGCAGGTTGCAATGCAAATAGCTAATTACATATATATTGCAACACAACTAATTAAGGTGAACAAATTAGTCAACTTCAAGTCATAGGATAACCTGAAAAGCAGGTTTGAACTGAGGAAATAAATGTGAAAAGAAGAAATACAGACCATTTCTTTTTATTAAAGGAATAAACATAAACTCTGAATAATGAACTAACATCTTTTCTTTATTCCTATAACATTTTGTTGGAAATTGTAATTACTGAAGATACAGTTGTCAGTTCATAGGTAGTAAAAGTACGTAACCCCAGAATTTGGGGAAAAACAAATATTTTTCGTCTGAAATTAACTAGTAAAACTCAACTCATAATGATGGGGACTAGTAATGCCCAGAGTAACCTTCTGGGACTGAAAGTTCTAGTATTTCCTGAATCTTGGTCAAGACTCCACATGAAGTAATTGCAAAGGTATGGCATCTAGTAAAATGGAGAATCAAAGAAACATAGTTTTTTTTTCTGCACAGTCAAGAGAAAAGCATGCTTTCTTCTTTCTTTCACTGGAAATATCCCTGGAATGAAAGAGGGTCATTAGGTCATGACAATTTAAAGAAAAAAATTAATTTAGGTCTATTCCATTTTCTTTCATTCAGTCTTACATTCACGGAGCCTCCTTATGATCTATAATTTGGTTGACTAAAAGAACTTGTGGATCAAAATACAGCATCCTACAGAAAAACAATTTCTACTCTGTGACATTCTGGTTTATCAATCAGTCTCTTGAGAGTTTGGTTACAATGAGTCAGTCTCTTTTGGATGAAATGATAAGCTCAAGTTTGGGGACCTAAAAAGCTGAAAAACAGACTCTTAATTCTGAATTAGTATATTCCAGAGGCTTACCTAAACAGCCAGCCAAGTTCACCTCCTTGACTTCTCTCAGATATAACTGGTATAATTACAAATTTTAATCTAAGCTGATTGTGGCAATAAAATGAAAAGGGATTGATTGGATTACTAGGCTCTCAGATTTTCCTCTTAATATAAATCTGAATCGATACATTTTTGAGGCAGATGCAAGACATTAGTTGGAGCCCAGTTTTATATTTTGCTAGTGGTAAGTGCAAGCCATGAAGGATTATGGCTCCTCATGAAAATGTGAAAGACAATTGTTTACAGTGTTTATATGAGGATTTCTTCTATGAGAAATTCTCTTTTATTTTTTAAAAGGCATGATTGTGGTAGAAACAACTATACATTTATTAAATTTCATTTCTTTCTCCACACACAGCTAAGTTATATTTCCAAAATTTCCTTACAATTGCATGCTGCCATGAAATTGGTTTCCAGGTGATGAAATGCAGGTAGGAATGATACACATTATATCTAGGTCTGGCACGTAAAAACTCCCTCCGTGATCCTTCATATTCTTCCTCTTTCATATGCAACCAATTCCAGAATAAAGAGAATTCTGAGGTCTTAGAGAATAGAAGAGCCACCTAAATGCCTGCACCGATATGCATCAGACTGTTAGGTAAGCGCACACACACACACACACACACTCACACACACACAAAGACGAAGAAGATTATGTTAAACTTCTAAAATTCTGCAGTTTTATTTAACTAATTAACCATTAAACTAATTAACCAGCTGCCTAATACAGACATTGGAATAAGGAGTGAGAGGCTGCTGTAATATAACTAAAATATGTGGTTGCTTAGCGATTATCAGTAGGCTAGAATTCTAGGGATTCATATTATGCAGTGCCTAAGACAACTCAACAATTAGGAAAGCAAATCCCATTCCAATGGAGGCTGCAGCTGTAGAGAATGGGGTAAAAAACAGATTATCATCAGTGTAATTTGATGTTGTTGGTGATGTTTAGCAAGATACTGGAGGAAGGGGCTGAGTTCAGGTAAGACCTGGGTTTGAAAGCAAAATGAAAGTGAATCATTAGAGTCAAAATTTATTATAGCTATCTTAAAATATTTAAGATTTTTAAATAAAAATTTGACTTAAAAATGCAGAAAAACTAAAAGAAGAAAATCAAAATCATCTATAATCTCCCAAATTAAAGAAAACCATTGCTAAAATTTTGTATATTCCTGTGTCTAGGAAATTGCACACTACACATGCACACACCTACACACACAGACACCCAGCACACCATGGATCACACAGAACAAATAGATTTGAAACATAACTCTTTTCCCAATAGTTATTGTGAGCAAGTTTATATTCTATTAAATATTCTTATATAAAATCACTTTTTTGTGGCTTCATTTTATGTTATAATATCATTTATTAAGCCAATAACTTATTCCTAGTTATTTGCTATTGTAAACAATGTATAAATGAATATTCTTGGAGCCAAATTTTTTTTTTCCTATATATTTCTGGAACTGGAATTTCTTTTTTTTTTTTTGAGATGAAGTTTCGCTCTTGTTGCCCAGGCTGGAGTGCAATGGTGCAATCTTGGCTCACCGCAACCACTGCCCCCCGGGTTCAAGGGATTCTCCTGCCTCAGCCTCCCAAGTAGCTGGGATTACACACATGTGCCACCACGCCCAGCTAATTTTGTATTTTTAGTAGAGACGGGGTTTCTCCATGTTGGTCAGGCTGGTCTCGAACTCCTGACCTCAGGTGATCCGCCCACCTCAGCCTCCCAAAGTGCTGGGATTACAGGCGTGAGCCACCGCACCCGGCCTGGAACTGGAATTTCTAAGTCAAAGAGTAGGTACATGTAGAAAATTTTATAAATGCAATCAAAACCCTCTAGAAAAATTGCCAATGGCAATGTATAGGAATGCCTATTTTTAAAATGTATATTATTATTTTATAATTTTGTCTTTTAATTTTTACCATTGAGATCATAACCCAAGACTACAGGCCCGTGGATGCAAATTAGGAGTCATTTACTATAATGCTTATATTAGTTGGGATCAGACTGAGGGATATTGACATGAAGCCCGCCATAAAAAAGGCTTAAATAAGGGGGAAGTAGGGTAGTATTTCACGTACATGTCCATGTAGGTAGTCCTGAGCTAATGTGGCATCAGGCATGGGTTCAACAATGTCAGGTACCTTAATTCCATCCTTTTGCCGCTTTGTACTTGGTCCATGACCTCCCTGTCCAAAAACAGCATCATTTGAGTTCTAGAAAGCAAGATGGAAGCAGAAACAAAGAAGAAAAAGGCAAATGGTACATTTGGGTTCTCCTTAAATAAAAGGTACCGAGAAGTGCTATATAATACTTCCATTTTCGTCCTATTGGCCAGCACTTGGACACCACCCACCCCAGATGAAAGGGAGGCTGGGATATGTACATTATTTTATTTGAGCTTCAGGACAACTTTATTAAATATGTGGTAGTTTTATCCCTATATTCAGTAGAGGGAACTTAGGTATGAGAGTTTATCCAACTTGTCCAAGGTTATATGGTTAGTAAGTGGTGGAGACATAACTGGAATCCAGGTCTGTCTGACTCTAGACCCTGTACACTTAATCACCACACCATTGCACCTCAAAAAGACTTTCACCAACAAAGAAGCTATAGTCTATGGCTCTGTCTCTTGTTCAGGGCATAAAACTTCATGCTGGCTTGGATGACAGATGCTTTACTATCTCTTTTAGTCTGCATTTCACTTCCACAAGCATCTCTTTCTCTTCCACAAGCATCCAATCCACCATCAACTTCTATAGGTCTTAGTTCCAAAATATATTTTGATTCTTTCCATTTGTATCTAGTTCCTGCTACCACCATCTATCACTAAGCCCCTGGAATTCTACAGTCTGGGGGTGGAAACTAGGCCATATTAACTCTAATCTCTATATTAGTTAGAATAAGTCTGGAGTAGCCTCCAAATTGGTTCCCCTTCTTTTGCTCTTGCACTCTAAGATCTGTTTTGCATAGCATAACTATTTTCCAGTTTCCATGGTATAAGCATTTAAAAATGTAAACCACATTATGTCAATTCACTGGTCCAAATCCATGCCCACATCTCTGGTATCTTCTTTACCAAATCCATGCCCACATCTCTGGCATCTTCAAGGCCTGTCCAGCCACACAGGCCTTGGGTAATTATGCTGAATAAGGCAGGCTTTCTCTTGCCTCAGAGCCTCTGCATTCTGCTCACAACTATTTTTCCCCAGATGTTGCCTTCATGTCTTTTCAGCCTTTATGCCTTAGTATAAATGCCATTTGTTAGCTAGGTGCTTTTTGACCAATCTAAGGTATATTTCTACCATCCCTTTCTATTACATGACTGTTTTATTTTCCTGAAGATACTTCTCAGTATATTTCATCATCTTAATTGTCTATTTGTTCATTATCTAAGCACTCCTTCTCCTCTGAAACCAGAAGGTAAATTATTGTCCACTGCTTGCATTCCCAGAGTCATTAGAGCATCTAATCAATGGTAGATGTTTAATCAACAATTGTTAAAGAATGAGTGAATGAGTGAATTTCCCAAAGCATGGCGCGCAAAACTCTTTCCTCCTTCCACCTCAAAACAAAAAATCTCAAGGAAACTAACTTCAGAAAAAGAGCACCAAATTATTTCACAAATAGCAAGCTTGAATTCCAGTTTAAGCTCAGCAAGGGCACACACTGTGGTTTACCTAAGATCTTTGTACACCTCTCCCAGCTGTTAGCAATGACCTACATCACCTATACAGCACTATATAGCTGGCTAGTTGGGTTTCAGATGCAGATCACATCTCTAAGGCAGTGACAGTTCACTAGGAGGGTAACTTTCTGGAACCCACTAGACTTTGGCTAGATAACAGTAGAGCAAAGAAGTCCACATAGAAGGGAATATAATACAATTTTCTATGTGCCAGGCCAGACTTCATTGCAAGAACTTCACATATATCAACTTACAACCACCCTGTAAATCCTAGGCTGTCATTATAACCAATTATACAATTTACAGGGTTGTTGTAAGGAATGAGAAACACAGAGAAGTGAAAATAGCTTGCCCAGAGTACATAGTCATTTGCAGAGCCAGGGTTTGAACTTATGAAGTTTAGCTCCAGAGTTCATGCATTTAAAGATTGCTATAGTACAAATAAGATTTGGGAGATGGAGACCAGAATATACCTCATAGAGATGGAACTACAAGAGACAGACATATGTTTTGAAAACCTCTTGGATTACACACATAAGAACATCCTCTTACTAATCAAAGGGCAAATATTAAGCGCTGTCTCTCTTGCAAGTTGTTAACTATTTTGGAAACCATATTTGTTGCAGGCTAAATTTTGTCCCATCCAAATTCAAGAGTAAAGATCAAATTCTTCTTAGTACTCAGTGTTGCTTGAAAGATGAGTTAGGACCTAATTCTCTGTCCTCTGACTAAACCTTGGGCCCTGTTAGGTGTGTCATTTTACCTTATTTAGTCATGTTACGTGGCCTTAGGTAAGCCATATCATTTCAGTTCCTCAGCAGGGGTAGTCAAGCATGCAAACTGAGATCACCGTTTCTGGCCTCAGACCAGTGATTTTGTAACTACTATCTATGTGACCTTACAAAATATATTACTTCAAGTTCATTTCCTCATCTGTAATACCCACTGTACAAGGCTGTAGCAGGAATTAGTAAGATAAAAATATATGAAGGGTTTGACATATAGTAGATGCTTGAAAGTACTTTTCTCCCAATTATTATAATACATAAAATTTAAGTTTTTTTCTCAAAATAGACCTTACCCATCATTAGATTTACAGAAAGACTCAGGTGAAGTAGTTTTCCAGACTTCTCATTTTAACTATTACTAGGGGAGCTCCTATTCACAAAGTATCTTAAGACAATTACATTTAAGATAGGGCAATGAGTGTTGTGCATCTATCTGCATTAAGAACTAGAAAGTGGTAAATAAGTGAGGGACAGCTAAAATATCATGAAAACTCACGGGAGAAAGAAATTGACTTCACCTTTTAGAGTTGAGGCACACAGAGAAAGGACGTAGGAGGTAAACCTAGAATGCTGCTAATGAGTAGTTTTTCTCTGCGTAGCCCATAGATTGAATACTTTCTCTTCTGCTTCACCATTTTGCACCACTTTTATTATTAAATTTATAAATTAGATTGTAATTCCTGTTTCTGGTCTACTAGTTATTATTATCCGCTTTTGCAGGACATGCTCATTTTACCACCACTGAATTCTTCAGCACCTGATTAAAGTAACAGCTGTAATAAGAAATAACAGAAAGGATATTTGGACTTTGAGCTTAGTCCAACATTAATAGCATGGCTCTTGAGTCTGATTGATTTTGTTTAACTTCAGACTGGGCCTCTTACTTAGGTCAGTGATTTTTAGCGTTGCCAGATAAAATACAGGACACCAGTTAAATTTGAATTTCAGATGGACAAATAATTTTCAGTATAAATATATCCCATACAATATTTAGGGGATACTTACAACAAAATATTATTGTTTATCTGAAATTTCACATTTAACTGGACGCTTGGTATTTTCATTTGCTAAATCTGACAACCTTAGTGACTTCTCTAATCATGTTTGCTTTCTGCAAATAGGGCTGAAAATAGTACCTTCTCCCTAGGATGATCTATATACAGAACGTTGCTCATGGCAAAACCTTAATTTACCTTGCAAATCAGGATACTTTAGTAGAGACTTCTGTTAAAACTCTGGGACAATGACCATGCCCAGGCACCCAAAAAGATGGTTACCTTTATTCGACGGTTTTCTAAAGAGCACAGAGAAAGTTCAATAGAACCCTAAACAAAGGTACAAACTGCGTTGAAAGATACGTAAATGTGCCTTTAATAGCACAAGGGTATCTTAGCCACATCACTGCAAACTGCAGTCTCCCTGGTTACGGGGAAAGCGGTAGTTCGGTCTCTGCGCAAGCGCACAGGGACTTCTTGGGTCCACGCCCCTCCCCGCCGGCGAGAGTCACGTGGGCGAGTCGTAGCTTTAGACAAGCGGCCAGCCTTGACACGTGACCCAAGCCCCAGCTTCGCGCAGGGATGGAGCCGGAAGAGGGGACGCCCTTGTGGCGGCTGCAGAAGCTGCCGGCCGAGCTGGGCCCGCAGGTGAGGGCGGGTACCGGGGGAAGCGGCGCGGGGCCTGGGATTCGCGACAGCCCGGCGTGCGGATCAGGCCGGGTGCGACCCGGACGCCTTCGCAAGCTCCCTAGGGAAGGGAGGAGGAAGGGGCGTGATTTCGGGTGGTTGGTCCCCGCCTTCCCTGGGGAGCCTAGGAGGACAGCTTGGGGCGCCACCCCCAGCCTAGAGGTGCAGCTCCAGGGGCTTTGCGCGCAGAAGCGCCCACACCAGACTGGGCTTTGAAAGCTTAAGTCGGTGTTTGCTGCCTCTTAGTATACGTTTTCTTAATTCATTCAACACATAACCTCCCAAAGGCTCCCTACCTACCGGACAGCAGGTACAGAGCTAGGTGCTGGAATACAATGTGACAAAGACCGAAGCGGACCCTGCCTCCCCCCTTGAGGGTGGTTGGTAGGAAGAGAAATAACTGGGCGAGTTACTTTAGTTAGGATCGTCCCAAGAGGTGATGTACCCATTGACTTCCAGTCTGTAAAAGAACCTGGCTTGTAAGAATCTGGAAAAAGCAACCACATTCATTTGTTCAGCCAGTTTTTCATTGAAGTCTACCATAGATTGAGCGCCCCGATGGGATGAGGTAAATGGTGAGTGAGACACAGCCTGTGCCCTGGTGGAGCATCTTTTTTATAAGTCTCAATTTTGGCTTCCTGTTTCCTCTATTCCATTTATACTGGAGAAAGTGTGGAGGAGACAGAAAGGAATGAACTTACCTCCTGCCAGGGTCAAGAAAAAAAAACACCTAATTCTTTTCTTTGTTTTTGCAAGTGAGGAACCTGAAATGTCAGCAGAAATTTTGGCTAACTTGCCCAGGATTGCCCATCCAGTTAGTGGCAGAGCTGGAACTTATGCTCAGATCTGTTGATTCTGAGTGTTTTATTGGCTTTTGGCTCTCCTTGTCTTCACTCTACCCATTTAGATAAGGCCCATAACCTTTATTACCATATATGTCGATGACTTCTAAATCTTTAGGTCCAGCCAAAAATTTCTTCCTCTATGGTTCAAGAATGCCAGGTAAAAAACAAAACAAAACCCCAAAAACCCCAAACCAAAATCTCTTCCCTGAGTGTCAGGCTTCTGCCACAGGTACCTCAAATTCAGTATGCCCTTGCCTCAGCTCTTCTTTCCCCCTGGACCTACTCCTCCCGTAGCCTCATTTTCGGTTTGTGGCACCACCACTTTCACCCAGCCCCTCTCAACCTGACGTTCTAGGTTTCATCCATGGCCCCCCCTTTTCACATCTCTTCTACCTCTTTACTGCCTCCATTTTGAGTGTCCTCAACAATTTAAGCCCCTTAATCTTTAACTCCTTAACTGAAAATTGAGGCATCTGGGCTCACCCTCTCTCTTACATCTTCCAACCTGTTAGCAAATATATGGAAAAATAATGCAAATGTGTGAATAGGTTGCTTCCCGGTTGAGCACAGATTGAAGTCTAGGCTCTTTTACTTTGTACACAAGGCCCTTTTTGATTTGGCTCCACCCACCTCTCCAGCCTTGTCTCCTGTCACCCCCTAGGCACCCCCCAAAATAACTTGCTTGTGTCTAGAAATGCACTTCTTCTCTCCTGTTTTGCTTGGCCAACTACTCATCCTTTTAAGATGGACTTTTCCTTGCTTCCTCTCTGTGCTCCTTCGTACCTTGTATATATTTTTATTATGGCCCCATCATTCTAAATTACATGTATTTGTATGTTTGCCTTTTTCGAATGGACTAAAGCTCTGTTATGGTAGGGCCTTATTTATTCTCAGTTTCCTCATTTGTAAAATAGAAATAATAACAATGGTTACTTCAGAGTTGTAGTGAGGATCAGTCCAGAGTGTGGTACCTAGTTAGGGATCCATAACGGTAGCTATTATAGTTTCTTTGCCATTAAATAAAGTCATTTCCATGACCTTTGTCATTAAATAAGGTCATTTCCATGACTTTATTTAATAACTGGGATGAAGTGTTCATTACATATTTGTGAATGAATAACAAACATATTCCAAAAAAGATAATGCTTTTATTTTTCAGTTTGAGTTCTGGGTTTTTTTTTTAGCATGGGGACAGTATAGGATAAGGTGTAGAGAATTTTGAATGGATTCAAAATTGAGTATGTTGATTTATGGTAAATAAAAATTCAGTTTGTATAGTATATTAGCCACCATTTGGAAGCAGTTGCTTGTGTTCTGGCATGTGTGGTGTTAGAGGGAAGGAGTTATTAGTTAAAATGGGGTGGAATATGATTATTTCCAAGTTATTTGGTTCAAATACTCCTCTTGTAAGATACAAATAACTTCAAGAAAGATAACCTTATTAAATGTTAAGTGCTTAGAATAGTACTGGCATTGTGTTATCTCAGTTAATAGATGCTGAAGGCATGAATTGGAGGAGGAGGACTAGTGATAATAATTAGAATGGTAACGAGGGCTAGCAATGTCTACATGTCTTTGTACATGCCAGGAAGATGCCAAGTGATTTGCACGTATTCTTATTCCATCCTTACAGCAAGATTAAGAGAATAGATGATATCCTCATTTAACACTTGAGGAAGCAGACTCAGAACATTTAAATAAAACTTGAAAATACTGAAACTGGGATTGGAACTGGATAGTTTTATTCCAAAATCCGTAGTCTTAATCACTATGCTCAGTTATACATGTGTTAGGCTTTCTGTTGCTGATATTAAGATACTAATAGGATAGAAAGGAAAGTAAAAAAAGGAAAAAAGTACTGGAGACTTTCTGGGAATACAGCAAAAGTAACTGCTGAGCTGGGTGCGGTGGTGCTCGTCTGCAGTCCTAACTACTTGGGAGGCTGAGATGGGAAAATTGCTTGAGTTCAGGAGTTCAAGGCCAGCCTGGGCAACATAGTGAGACCCTCAAAAGAAAAAAAAGTATGTTGTGAAAATGGAGGCAAAGCAAAATGAAGCTTATAGGCCTACAGTAAGAGACTTTGATATAAGTCCTATCCTTTTGTTTGGTCGTTGCTATAAATATGGAATCTTTTATATGTATCTTCCTTTTAGTTTTTTCATTATGTAATTTTTATAACAAAATTATTTTAGCTTCTGAAGGTCAACATAATAATAGAAAGTCTAGGATTTTTATGAGTTCTAATTTTTAATTAGAATAATCTTAAAAGTGGTTTATACATTTTAACTTAAGCTGGTCTTGCAGATAACATGAACATCTCCCAACATTTGTTTGTTAAGAGGAAGATAAATTTGTTTCATCATTTTACTTATAAGTACATTTATTTCCTTTTTTCTTGCTAGCTTCTTCACAAAATAATTGATGGCATTTGTGGTCGAGCTTATCCTGTGTACCAAGATTATCACACTGTTTGGGAATCAGAAGAATGGATGCACGTTTTAGAAGATATTGCCAAATTTTTCAAAGCCATAGTTGGTAAAAACTTACCTGATGAAGAGGTAACTTCTCTGCACATTTCTATAACTTACAATAAATAATGCTCAGGTTTCTCTCTGAGTTTTTTAGAGCAATGTATAATACAAGGGCTATCATCAGTAACAACAAATACCTTATAATTGTGAATGGAAAAATCTGTGGAAGTCCTAGGTTTTTGCAGTTTTGTTTTTGGTTGTTTTTACTCTTTTGTGAAACATTTAAAACATACAGAAGAAAACAAGAAATTATATAACTGACACCTACATTCACATTACCAGTTAAACAGGTGTTAACATTTTGCAATGTGTGTGTTTGTTTCAGAAATAAAGCATTACAAAGATAACCTAAATTCCCTTATCCCCCTCCTGGATATCCCACTCTTACCTAGAGATCACCACTCTTGAAGGTGGTGTTCATGTTTTGTATTATATATTGTGTGTATGTTTGAATCTTTTAGTGTATTGAAATTATTTGGGGTGTGTCAGTGTATAACTTGTAATAAAATGTAACATTTGTCTGCACTTGTAAATTGTTTTAAATGCAGCATTGTGTTTTACATTGATAAACATGGATCTAGTTAGTGTATTTTAACTCCTTGTAGTATTTGATGATAGGAATTAAATAGGATTTATTTATCTCCCTACTGACTAATGAATAGTCATTGCTTCTTTCATTATTACAAGTAGTGCTGCTATAAATGTTCTTTACATGTCTCCTTGTTCACACTCACACCAGCTTTTCTGGGGTAGATATCTTGAAGTGAAATTGCATGGTCATAGGATATCCTTCTTCCACTGAATTGCTTTTGCATCTTTGTCAAAAATCATTTGAGCTTGTGTAGGTTGCTCACTTTTCTAAAAATCAAGTTATGTATGTTTGTCATTGATTTGGTTGATATTCTGGATATAAGCTCATTGTTAGAAATATGTATTTTAAATATCTTCTATTATGTGCTTGCCTTTTTACTCTCTTAATGGTATCTTTTGGTGAAACAAGTTATGAAATTTAACAGATCTACTTTGTCAATATTTCTTTTGCTGGCTAATACTATTAATGTTTTGTTTCAGAAATATTTGTGCTGAAGACATGAAGATTCTTGGATGTATTCTTGTAGAAGCTTGATTGTTTTAGCTTTCACATTATGTTACTGATGCATTTTGAATTAATATTTGTGTATGGAGTGGAGGTCAAGTTCACAATTTTCTACATTAATATCTAGTTGACCATTTATTGAAATGACCATCCTTGCCCCACAATATTGCTGTGCTGCCTTTATTGTAAATCAAGTGGCCCTATATTTGTGCCTCTGTATCTCAACTCTTCAATGTATTCCATTAGTCTACTTTTGTATATTTGCCAATGCTATACTGCTTTAATTACTGTAGAATTAAAGCTAAATTAAATTATGTCTTCATATCTGGTAATAGAAGACCTTCATTCTCATGCTTCTTCAGGAGTGCCTTGGCTATTATATTTTCGGATAACCCTCTAGAATCAACTTTTCAGTTTTAACCTACAAACCTGCTGGAATTTTGATAGAGATCATTTATGGGGAGAATTGACATCTTAACAACATTTAGCTTTCCAAAGTTAAGAACATGGGATAGCCCTCTATTTATTTAGATTAGCTTTAGTTTGTCTCTCTCGTATTTTGTAGTTTTCAGTGTTGAGCTCTTGCAAATATTTTTATTTCTGAGTAAATGATGTTTTTGATCTTTAATTTTTCAGTAGTTTTTTGCTAGTATGTACAGTTGATTTTTATATACCTTGTGTCCCACAGCCTTTCTAAATTTGTTTACTGTGTCTAATTGTATACAGATTTTTTGGGGGGAGATTGTATATAATAATTTTCTTTTTCAACTTTAACATCTTTCATTTATTTTTCTTACCTTAGCGCATTGGCTAACACCAGTAGTCAGTGTTTCTTTTAAAAAAGCAGTCATAGTAGATATATATCTATTCCTAACCTTAGGGAGAAAGTGTTTACTATTTCACCATTTAGTATGTTAGCTCTGTAATTTTATAGATATCCATTATCAGACTAAAGAAGCATCCTACAATTCTAACTTTGCTGAGAATTTTTACCATGAATGGATATTGAATTTTATGAAATGCTTTTCCCTGAATTTATTATTGTTTCTTCTCTATTTTGTTCATGTGATTTTTGAATGTTAAACTAAGGCTGCACTGCCAAAATAAACCCCACTTGATCGTGATGTATTATCTTTTTTTTTATATATCTCTTGATTTGGATTGCCAATATTTTGTTTAGGATTTTTACATCTATATTTGAGTGATCTTGGCCTAGGTGTTTTTTTTTTTTCTTTTCCTCCCTATAATACTATTGTCAAGGTGTTAAGTTTTATTCTGGCCTCATGGAATGAATTGGGAAGGATTTTTTTCCTGTTCTCAGGAAGAATAAGTGAGATTGACTTTATTTATTTAGTGTTGTGCTACTTAATTTTCACACATTCAGAAATTTTTTGGTTACCTTTTCTCATTAGTCATAACTTCATTACCCAGTAATAAAAATATAAACAGTATTATTTAGTTCTTTGAGATCTGTCGTGGTTTGCCAAATGGCTCAGAATATGGTACGTTATGGTGAATGTTCCATATACATTTGAAAATAATGTGTACAGTTGTCAGGTGTAGTATTCTATATATTGCTAAGGTTAGGTAGAATGCATTTTTTCAATTCTTCTATATCCTCATTGATTTTTTTTCGTTTCTTTGTGTCAGCTATTGAGAGTTGTATTAATACCTCTAACTGTGAATGTGGATTTATTCATTTCTTTTAGTATTGCCAAATTTTGCTGCTTTATATATTTTGAAGCTATGGTGTTAGGTGCAGAGGGATTTATGATTGTTGTGTCTTTCTGTTGAATTGCCCTTTTACTGTCGTTCTCTATTTCTTGTAATGCTTCTTGCCTAAGGGCTACATTGTCTGATATATTAATACAAGTTGAGTATCCCTTATTTGAAATGCATGGAACCAGAAGTGTTTTGGATTTCGGATTTTTTTGACTTTGCAATGTTTGCATTATACTCACCAGTGCAGCATCCCTACTCAAAAAATCTGAAATCTCAACTATTCAAATGAGCACTTCCTTTGAGCATCCTATCAGTGAGCAGAACTTTTCCTGTTTTGGGATTTGAGATACTCACCCTGCGTGGTGGTATCAGCTTTGGTGTTTTCCAGGTGTATTCATTTCCATGCTGCTGCTTCCATCAGTCCTTTTTCTTTACTGTATATTTTGCAGAAATTTGTTAAAACCTATTTTCTGGTTATTCATTCTCATCTTACTCTTTTTTATAGTTACAGAAGTATTTCTCTTTTTCTTTTACTGTTGCTTTAAAAGTGTGCAAAAGGAGAGTGGAATTGTGTTTTTACATTTTAAACAGAAAGCCCCTTTTGCCTGTTTTTATTTTTATAGATATTTCAGCAGTTGAATCAGTTGAATTCACTTCATCAAGAAACTATCATGAAATGCGTGAAAAGTAGGAAAGATGAAATCAAACAGGCTCTGTCAAGAGAAATAGTTGCTATTTCCTCTGCACAGCTACAGGATTTTGATTGGCAGGTAAAGGTAAGAGTCTATGAGTATGTGTATTTTTTATTTCATTTTTTGGATATAGAGAAATATCTTTATAATATCATATATATAAAATTTGTTATTTTGGGAATGTATTATCCCAAAGAAATATCAAAGATAGTTTAAATTACATCTTGAATTAACTTGGGCATAAGTACACTACAAACATCTAAGCCATGTATAATAACATTACATTGATAATAAATATAATTAGATCTGTAAATTATTAAATGACATAAGTGATGGGGCAGCATATAGTCAACATATACATATATATATATATATATATATATATATATATATGTATAATTTATTTATTTTTTGAGACAAGAGTCGTGCTCTGTCATCTAGGCTGGAGTGCAATGGTGCGATCTCAGCTTACTGCAACTTCTGCCTCCCGGGTTCAAGCAATTCTTCTGCCTCAGCCCCCTGAGTAGCTGGGACTACAGGCATGTGCCCCCATGCCCGGCTAATTTTTGTATCTTTGGTGGAGATTTGGGGTTTTGCCATTTTGGCTAGGCTGGTCTCAAATCCTGGCCTCAAGTGATCTGCCTGCCTCCACCCACCAGAGTGCTGGGATTACAGGCGTGAGCCATCCCACTTGGTCAATATATATTTTTGACCACAACTTTCTAGACTTTATAGCTTTCTTAAGACTGGTAAATGTGATTCTACCTCTAGGAGGAAAATCTATAAGATATTATTAAAACATTAGTTTTTAATACATTTTGAGAGTCACTATCAGTAGAGTTCATAAAGAAGAATTTCAGACCAACTTTTTGTCCTTATAAGATACCTAGACCAGTAGATGAAGAGGAAATAAATACATTGTGTTTCTTGATGTTAGCATGACCCTGGATAAAGTGCCTTACATTGTGTATGTGGATTAAGTAGAGAAAAATGTGGGAAGATAACAGGTGGGTTCATAATTGGATAAATAACCAAGCAAAGACAGATGAATTTATATTAGTTAAAAAGTCTCTGTGGCTCTGGTCTTGGCCCAGTCATTTTCAACATTTTTATGAATATTATGCTTATCAGATCTGAAGGTGATACAAAACTAGAGCTATAACAAGTGTATAATGTGACACAAAGTTCAAAATTATGTCACAGCCAATTACAATCAGTGACCAAATGAAGCAAAATAAATTAATCAGGCAACCTAAACAGAGGATTTTTAATTTAAATATTTAAATTTTATAAATTTAATTTCAATTTCAGAGTTTATATTTTTATAAATATAAAAGATAAAGGAGACCAGGCACGGTGGCTCACACCTGTAATCCCAGCACTTTGGGAAGCCAAGGCGGGTGGATCACTTGAGGCCAGGAGTTTGAGACTGGCCTGGCCAACATGGCAAAACTGCAACTCTACTGAAAAAATATGAATATTAGCTGGGTGTTGTGGTGTGTGCCTGTAGTCCCAGCTACTTGGGAGGCTGAGGCACGAGAATTGCTTGAACCCAGGAGGTGGAGCTTGCAGTGAACCAAGATCATCGTGCCACTTCACTCCAGCCTGGGCACCAGAGCACAACTCTGTCTCAGAAAAAAATAAATAAATAAAGGATAAGAGAGATGTTAATAGTAGCATATATGAGAAATGTTTAGTTATTTTGGTTTATCAAAGTATAGCTTCATTCGTGTTGATTCAGGCCCGTATTTTGTTGGTAGAAACGTAGTTCTGTTTTTTTTTTTTTTTTTTTTTTTGAGATGGAGTTTCGCTCTTGGTGCCCAGGCTGGAGTGCAATGGCACGATCTCTGCTCACCGCAACCCCACCTCCCGGGTTCAAGTGATTCTCCTGCCTCAGCCTCCTGAGTAGCTGGGATTACAGGCATGTGCCACCACGCCTGGCTAATTTTGTATTTTTAATAGAGATGGGGTTTTGCCATGTCGGTCATGCTGGTCTAGAACTCCCGACCTCAGGTGATCTGCCCACCTCAGCCTCCCAAAGTGCTGGGATTACAGGCGTGAGCCACTGTGCCTGACAGAATTGCAGTTCTTCAAGCAAGAGATGGTGCTAGTACATTCTGTTTCCAGTGATAATATCTTCTTAGTGTATTATCTGTTTAGTTTTGGCTGCCAAACTTAAGAGATATTTAAGCAAATTGGACTCCAACTAGAAAAGAATGACCAGGAACTTAAAATCGTGGTGTGTGAAATTGCTTTGAAACACTGAGACCATGTACCTGGAAAAGATTAAACCTAGTAGAAACATGACACTTACCTTTAAAAGGCTAAAATTCATAGATGGGGAAATATATAAATGCTTTGTGGCTCCAGAGACTAGGTGAAGGACTAACGTATATTATTTGCAATAAGATACGTTTCAATTCAACCTGGGGAAGAACTTTTTAACAAGTATGAGTATCTGGAAATGATTGTAACCGCTTCTCAAGGTAGCACATGCATCATCATTGGTGGTATTCAAGCATAGGGTGAAAAACTATTTATTGGAAATATTGAGGAGGAGAATTATGCATAAGATAGTTAACCTGAAGCTGATACTTCCAGATCTGAGATATTATGGGTCCTGTTTTTGGGTGAGAGAATAGAGGAGCTATGTCAAGATTTGATTCTATAGTGTATGTACCACAAGGGAGATCCTTTGAGGTCATTAGGGAAGATGTCCCTTATCATTGCATAAGTAATTTTTTTGCAAGTGGCAGCATTCTAAACAAAGATTCAGTTTTTGTGGATTTTTCTGGCTCAGATTCTAGAAAAATTGAGTTTCCCTATGCTGTCTGCCAAGGAAGCTACAGTGCTCATTTCAAGAAGTATTAGTATTATAAATATTTGGTTCTTCCAATTCCCCTAGGATATATTCCAGAGAAAGAAATTAAGAAGTGAGGTAAATGTACAGAGTGTTTCTGTTGAGTGGCTCTAATTGAAGATGGTATCTTGATAACATATTTATCAATATTGTGATAGATAGCTGACCATGAATTAAGCATCTTAATTTCTGAGAGTTTACCACTATTTTTGGTCTCACTTATCTTTGTACATGAACTTTCATCTTCTTGGTGCCTTCAGTCTTCTTTAAGAATTCTCTGTTTCTTGTACATTAGACCCATTCAGTACTTCCCAGGCATGACTCTGATCTAGACACCTGCTTCTGCCACAAGATTGCTGACTGGTTGTCTTACTTTCCTACCGATTTCCTCTCCTTTATTCACTCTCCTTTCTCTTTCTGTTCTTCAAATATGCTTTAGCATGGACTTAATTTATTTCTTTCACCTTTCTCTATACTCAACAGCAAACAGTACTTTTAAAAAATGTACTGCTAACTAACCTCTGATGTATACTCAATATAGTTCTTTTTACTATTTATTAATTGCTATTTTTCTGATTTTAAACAGCTTGCACTTTCCAGTGACAAGATTGCTGCATTACGAATGCCACTTTTAAGCCTGCATCTAGATGTAAAAGAAAATGGTGAAGTAAAACCTTATTCTATTGAAATGAGTAGAGAGGAGCTGCAGAATCTAATACAGTCCTTGGAAGCAGCGAATAAGGTATTTGCTATAATTTTGTCATATGATTTGAATGTTTAAGGTTTTGGGGTTTTTTTTTGTTTGCGTTGGAGTCTCACTCTGTCACCCAGGCTGGAGGGGCAACGGCGCGAACTCGGCTCACTGCAACCTCCGCCTCCCGAGTTCAAGCGATTCTCGTGCCTGAGCCTCCAGACTAGCTGAGATTACAGATGCCTGCCACCAGGCCTGGCTAATTTTTGTATTTTTAGTAGAGATGGGGTTTTACCATGTTGGCCAGGCTGGTCTCAAACTCTTGACCTCAAGTGATCTACTCGCCTTGGCCTCCCAAAGTGCTGGGATTACAGGCATGGGCCACTGCACCCAGCCAAATGTTTTAAGTTTTGATTGATACTCCTAGACTCATAGTTCACTTTTAGTGTTTTTTCTCCAGATGTTTTATGTTAATTAAGCACAGAAAATACTTTGTTAATATGTTCTGAGCTCTAGTTTTAGATATTAATTATAACTTGTAATGTTCAATTAGTTTTGAACATAATGTACTAAGTAATTTTTGAAAGAATAATAGTGCTATTCTAACAGCTGAATTTCTTTTGCTGCAATGCTCGTTAATGATAAAAATAACATTTTTACCTTAGAATAATAAAATTGATTCTGAAGAGTTTTTATGATTAAAAAAATTACGATCCTAAAAAAAGTGGCTTTATTAACTGGACTAATAATAGAAAATTGCTTTTATGATCCTCTAACTATGGAAGACAGAATCTGACTTGTAGTTATTATGACAAAATCAGGTTGAGGCAAGACAGAACTAATGAATGTCCAAAAACTTCACATTTACAATGGAGTGGCTAAATAACAATAACTGCTCCTAATGTTTAATAAATGAGAAAAATAATACTTAAACAGTGGAAACTGTTGTGAGGAGGAATAAAAATAATTGTCTTTGTATATGTATGTTTCTTCGTTATTGCTCAGCATTTTCTCTAGTGATCTCATCTCAGTGATTAAGTCTCAGTGATTCTTACAACCTCTATTGCCCTACTATTTAATCTTCTTGATCCTCCTTTTTAAAAACTCTGATAAACTTCAGCTTCTCTCCACACTCTGCATTTGCTCAAACATTGTAGTGCTTTGATTACCGGTCCACATGCCTATTAACCAAACGAGCAGCTCAGGCTTGGCTGGATGGCTGGGGCTACATGTGTGAAGGGTGCATGTGATAGAGCCCGATATAAATGGTAACAGATTCTGAACCGTAGATTCCAGCAGGCATATGTCATCAGTTACTGTGCATTGTACTTGCTTGTTATGAGTTCTCCATGCCCTTTTTCAGAGACTTCAAAGCATTTAATATGGAATATATCAGCATCAGTCTTGTATAACCTGATATTTTCTCTTCAATTTGTGTTTTAAGGTGGTCCTGCAGTTGAAATAACTGGAAATGATGAATACCAGTCCTATCAGATTTTATTGCTCCAACTTATATGGCAGAGTGAATACTGCGTGTTCAGAAACCTTGTGATGTCTTGACTGTTGCACCAGGCTGAGAAAGCAGCAATATTGATATTATAAAGATAAAAATTTATCAACATTCCTTAACAGGAAATTACATGGTTGAGAGGAAATGCATAAAATGAAAGATGAAAAATCTATAGTAGCAGTTTATATTTTCATGATTGTTTTGCCTCATTTATTAAATATTTGAGAAATCTTTGGAGATACATAGTTTTATTGAAAGCTAAAAATAGGTTCTAAAGTAATGTAAAAATATAAAGCACAAATATACTTGAATATTGCTTAAAGAATTGTGTGAATAGCAACATATATTATGGATATATACTTTGTGATATTTTTAAAAAATAATTTTTTCAAAGAATGTATAAGCTGCATATATAACTCAGGAGATTCCATGTCTTTCTCATATTTCAGAGGAAAGATTATAAAATATAAAATTTCTTAGAGAACACCTCTTTGTCAGAGATAAACAAGAACAAATACTCTAAACTTATGTGAACAGTTTTGAGTTTATGAATTCTAGAAACTAAAATCAAGAATACAGAAAAATGAAAATAACATTTTACTTCTGCGCTTCTATGTTTGGGAAACATTGCTCTGATAAAAAATAGCTGTCATTATGCAGTGTGTATATTCAAATATGAGATAAGACTATGTACACATCCACTTTTGTTAATAAACTCAATATTGAATACTTTGGGATGTTAAATTCATTGGAAAAACAAACCATTTGTAACCTCAGTTAACTTTAACAACAAGCATTCTGAGCAAATGAAAAGTGTCTTGTTTTATTTTTATATATTGCTTTATTTTAAATGACTCCAAATAACTCAGTAGTTATACGTAATTATACGTAACTCAATAATACATAATTAATAGGTGCTTGCTATTTGCAAGCCATATGGCTTATTAGAGCATCAGACTATTCTTTGAGGCATCCGGAGCAATTATTACTATTCTCATCATACAGATGAGGATAGGCTTAGAGTGTTTTCTGAGTGTGATCTAAACAGTGCTACTCAAAATGTGTCTGCAGAGAAGTGCTTGTCTGTGAACTGTTTGTTACAGGTCAGTGATTCAATAAGGAGCTTGGGCCAGAAAGTGTATCAGTATACTGCTGTCTTCATCGAGAAATTTTGGTTTTAAAAAAATTATCAGCTGAAGGAAATAGTGTGCTTAGTGTGGTAGTTAATTTATCTTCTTGTGCAAGTTATTTGTTATGATGGGCCAGTGATGGTTTGTAGAACAGCACTTCGAGTAGCACTCATTGTGAAGTCTCTTCTAAATTTCAGCTTTCCATGCAGTATCTCCTTTACAAGAAAAACGTCTTGCTATAGTTAGTCTCTCTCTCACCACTTGGTAACACTCCATTAGCACATTCAGCAGCTTTATCGAAATTGAATCAGTATACTAAATACTGTGCATACTAAAGTGTGCAATGTGATATTTTGACATATACATATTTACATCCATGAAAGCATCACCACAAATTAGGATAATGAACATTTGATCACTCCTGAAGCTTTCCTCTTGGTCCTCTATAGTCCCTGTCCCTTCCATTTCCCACAAGTAACCACTGATCTGCTTCCTGTCACTATAGATGGTTGCATTTTTGGAAGTTTAGTATAAAGGAATCATATAGTGTGTAATTTTTTTTTAATCTGGCTTCTTTCAGCATTATTTTGCGTTTCATCCATGTTGCATGTATCCGTAGTTCATTTCTTTTTATTGTTCAGAAGTATTATGTTGTAGAGTTCTGCCACAATTTATTCACCTATTGATGGATATTTTGGTTGGTTCAAGTTTTAGGCATTAGAATACACAGAATGCTGCGAACTTTCTTGCATACATCTTTGAACGAACATATGCTTTTTTTTGAGCAAGTACTTTAGAATGAAATGGCTGGATGATATGGTAGGTTTATTTTTTCAAGATACTACCGAAATTAAAAAAAAATTTTATTTGAATAATTTTTGAGGGTACAGGTGGTTTTTGGTTGCACGGAGAAGTTATTTAGCGGTGATTTCTGAGATTTTAGTGCACCCATCACCCGAGCAGTATACTGTACCCTAAATGTAATCTTTTATCCTTCATGCCCCTCCCAGCCTTCCTCCCCAAGTCCACCATGTCCATTATATTACTCTTACGCCTTTGTATCCTCATAGCTTAGGTTTTCCATTCCCGAGTTACTTCGCTTAGAATAATGACTGTCAAGCTTTTTCAAAGTGATTTTAACATTTTGCATTTCCATTGCAGTCTATGAGAGTTCCAGCTCCATCTTGCCAACACTTGGCATTGCCAGTCTTTTTAATTTCAGTTATTTTAATATGTATTGTCTCACAGTGGTTTTAGCAATATTTAACAAATTTCCCTAATGACCAATGATGTTAAGCATCTTTTCATGTGCATATTTGCCATGTATACATCTTCAGTGAAGTGTCTGCTCAGATCTGTTGCCCATTTTTCAATTGGATTTTTTGTTTTCCTAGTATTGAGGTTTGAGAGCTCTTTTGACTTATTCTGAATACAAATCCTTTATTAGATAGATACTTTGCAGATACTTTCTTCTAATCTGTGGCTTATCTTTTTTCCCCCATGTAAATTGACCCTATATTGTTTTAGAACAGTTTTAGATAAACCAAACTTTAAGAGATAGTACAGAGTTTCTATATTATTAACATTTTACATTAGTACAGTGCATTTGTTATAATTAGTGAACTAATATTGACACAATGTTAAGTAAATTCTAGAGTCTATTCAAACAGAAAATTTCTAAGTTTTTCCCTAGTGTCCTTTTCCTGCCCCAGGATTCTATCCTAGATGCCGTATTACATTTAGTTGGCATGTTTTTGATGACCTTGACAGTGTTGAAGAGTGTGGGCGAAATACTTTGTGGGATGTCTCTCTCTGTTGGAATTTGTCTGATGTTTTCTTCATGATTAGACTTGGGTTATGGGTGTTGGGAAGGAAGATCACAGAGATAAAATGCCATTTTCATCACATCAAATCAAGGGTACATACTACTAACGTGATTTATGGCTTGATATTAATCTTGATACCTGGCTGAGGTACAGGTTTCTTCACTGTGAACTGACTCTTCATTTTCTCCTTTTCTTACTGTACTTAAGGAAATCACCATAGTTCAGCCCATACTTAAGGAGTGGGAAGGTGTGCTCTCCTTTTTGAGGCTGGAATATCTACATAAGTCGTGGAATTTTGTACCCATTTGTTTCTTTTCCACTATTGAGATTTCTACTTATTATCAGTATGGACTCATTTTATACTTTGGGTTATAATTCAGTACTGCTTTGTTACTCAAACTGTTCTAATGGCTTGGCCATTAGGAGCTCTTTCACTTGGCTCCTGTGTCCCTTTGACATATCCCCATCAATGAGGTTGGACTTTTTATTTTTTTCAGGGCGGGGGGTGCATCTTCTTTTTCTTTTTCATCTTGGAAAGTATTTTCTTACTCTCTGGCAGTGCAAAATGCCCCAGGCTCATCTTGTGTATTTCCTGTCCAATCCTAGAATCAGTTATTTCTCCAAGGAACTCTTGGTTCCTTTTATTGAAGAATGGTGTTAGAAACAGAGCTAGGTATACTCATTGCTACTGAGGTGTTATTTCTTTTAGGCCCTTTTGGTGCTGACAGAACTAAGAAATATGTATGTGTATACCAACCTGGGTATATACTCATATCTATATTTATATTATCATACATATCTATATTAAGCTAAACAAGCTCATATTGATGTCTCCAACTCTAATCCATTACATGGATTATTCTAGCCTCCTATCCTTCCCTATCTACAAATTTCAGTTCCAACAATGAGAAAGGAGTTAATCCATTTTGAGCAGGTTTCTGTGTGTGATGTCAGATAAGGGTTAGGTTCATTATTTTATGTGTGGACACTCAGTTTTCACAACCCTGCCTGTTGAAACTATCCTTTCCCCAGTGTGTATTCTTGGCACCCTTGTTGAAGATCAGTTGACTATATTCATGTGGATGTACTTCTGGGTGCTCTATTGTATTTCATTAGTCTACATGCCTGTTTTTATGTTACTGCTTTGCTGTTTTTGATTTTTGTAGCTTTTTTCATACATTTGTAGGCCCCTGTCAGAAAGTACGAGGCCTCCAGCTTTGTTCATTCTCAGGATTTTGTGTGTGTGTGTGTGTGTGTGTGTGTGTGTGTGTCTACTAGGGGTCTTTGTGGTTCCTTTGAATTTTGGGGTTTGGGGATTGCTTTTTCCTATTTCTGTAAAAAATGCCATTGGGATTTTATAGGGATTGCATTGAATCTGTAGATTGCTTTGAGTCATGTGGATATTTCAAAAATATTGAATCTTTAATTCATGACCAGTGCTGTCTTTTATTTGTGTCTTCTTTAATTTCTTTTAGCAATGTTTTGTAGTTTTCAGTGTACAAGTTTTCTGCCTCCTTGGTTAAGTTTATTTCTAAATATTTCATTCTTTTTGATGCTATTGTAAATGGGATTTTCTTAATTTCTTTTTTGCCTTGTTCATTTTTAGTATATAGAAATGCAACTGATTTATGTATGCTGAATCTGTATTCTGCATCTTTACTGAATTCTTTTATTGGTTCTGACAGCTTTTTTAAATAAGGTTTTCTACACATAAGATTGCATCGTTAATGAACAAAGATAATTTTAGTTCTTTCTTTCTGATTTGGATGCCTTTGACTTCTTTTTATTGCCTAATTGCTCTAGCTAGGTCTTTCAGTACTGTATCGCATAGAAGTGGCAAGGGTAGACATCTTTGTCTTCCTGGTGTTAGAGAAAAAGCTTTCAGTTTTTCACTAAGTATGATGTTAGCTGTGGGCTTTCATATGTGGCCTTTATTATATTTATATAATTTTCTCTATTTCTAATGGTTGAAAGTGTTTTTTATCATGAAAAGGTGTTAATTTTTGTCAAATGCTTTTTCTGCATCTATTGAATTCATTATGTGATTTTTATCCTTTCTGTTTATGTGATTGATTGATTTTCATATGTTGAACCATCTTTGCATCCCAGGGATAAATTTCACTTGATCATCGCGTATGATTTTTTTTAATGTGTTGTTGAATTTGGCTTGCTATTGTTTTGTTGAGGATATTTGTACCTATGTTTGTTAGAGATATCGGCGTGTGGTCTTTTTTGTTAATATCTTTGTCTGGATTTAGCATCAGGATCATGGTGACCTCATACAATGAATTTGAAAGTGTTCCCTCTTCAGTTTTTTGGAAGAGTTTGAGGAGGATTGATTTTAATTCTTCTTTAAATGTTTGGTAGAATTTTTCAGTGGAACCCTCTGGTCCTTGACTTTTCTGTGTTGGGAGATTTTTGATTACTGATTCAATCTCCTTGCTAGTTGTAAGTCTTCATATATTCTATTTTCTCATGATTCAGTCATCGTAGGTTGTGTGTTTCTAGGAATTTATCTATTTCTCTTAGGTTATCTAAGTTGTTAGCCTATAATGGTTCATAGCAGTCTCTTGTAATCCTTCTTATTTCTGTGGCATCAGAAGTAGTATCCTCTGTTTCATTTCTGATTTTTTAATTGTGAATTTTCTTTTGTTCTTAGTCTAGCTAAAGATTTGTCAATTTTTCTATTTTCAAATAACCAACTCAGTTTCATTGGTTTTTATTTTGTTTTTATATTCTATATTTCATTTATTTATGCTTCAATCTTTATTATTTCCTTCCCGCTGCTAAGTTTGGGTATAATTTTTTCTCATTTTTCTAGTGGTTGAAGAGTATCTTGTTTAATTTTCACATATTTGTCAATTTTCTAGTTTTCTTATTGCACTGATTTCTAGTTTTATTCCACCGTGGTCTGAAGAGATACTAGGTCTGATTTCAATCATCTTAAATTTGTTAAGACTTGTTTTGTAACCTAACATGGGCAATTCTGGATAATGTTTCATGTGCTTTTGGGAAGAATGTGCATGCTGTTGCTGTTGGATGGAATGTTCTGTATATGTCTGTTAGGTCTATGTGATCTATAGTGTTGTTCAAGCCCTTTCGTCCACTATTGATATGTCTGGATGCCCTATTATTGAAAGTGGGGATACTGAAACCTACTATTATTGTGTTGCTGTTTGTTTCTCCTTTCATTTCCCTCAATGTTTGATTCATATATTTGGATGCTTTAATGTTGGGTACTATGTATTTATCGTTGTTAGATCTTCCTGGTGATTGACCATTTTATCATTATATAATATCCTTTATCTATTTCTGTGTCTGTGTTGTCCCGCGCAGATTCCCAATTAATGATTTGTGGGTTCCTCAGATGTCCATAATCTCTCCTTCCTTCTGGTGTCAGTCTGTGGTACTGCAGGTTTTCTGGACTGTCACAAACAGCCCCACTCTTTTGTTCTCAGATGCCCAAGGCTTCTAGAGTTTTCTAGGTCCTGTTAGTACTCCGAGTCAGGCAAGAGAGAAATCAGTCCCTTGGGAAGCCCTAAAACATCAGAACATTGGATACATGCTCCGCAATTCTCTCCTCCACCCCCAGTTCCCAGGGAAAGGCTACCAAGTTGTATCAGCCTCCACTGTACTGCAGGTCTTCTGGAATGACAGGAAGCAGCCAAGCCCTCTTCTGTCCTCAGCGGCCTCTAGGCATCTAGGGTATTCCAAGTCCTGTCCATAATCCCAGACAGAAAACAGTCACTTGGGCAGCCCCCTGTAAAGACAGAACGCTGAAGTCATGCTCCAACTCCTTTCCCTGGGAGAAACCAGGAGTTGGGAGTTTTCTGCTGGTTCCATGCTGAGCTTTGGAGGTGGACTGTGGTGAATGAATGCCACAAATGTTCTTATTGGAGATGCAGCTGGTTTTGTGTTCTCTTAAGTTACAGATGCATTTTAACTAGTCTCTGGATTACTCACAAAAGAAATTGGTCTGTATGTTGTTGACTTCAGATCTCAGGTAGTCAGGGGCTTTCTATTCTGCTGTCTTGCTGATGTTACTCCACTTTGCAGTTCTACGAACAATGAGAGTTGTTGCTTTGAATTCTCAGCAGCATTAGGTATTATCGGTATTTTGAGTTGTAGCTATTCTAATAGAGATGTAGTGGTATCTCATTGTTATTTTAATTTGCAGTTCCCTAGTGACCAAGGGTGTTGAGAATCTGTTCTTATGCATGTTTTCTATCTGTACATATTCTTCGGCGAGGTGTCTGTTCAGATGTCTTTGCTTATTTTTAATTAGGTTGTCTTAATGTTGATTTTTAAAAGTTCTTTGTATATTTTGGATAGATGTTCTTTATTAGACATGTGTTTTGCAAACATCTTCTTCCAGTCTGTGGCTTGTTGTTTCATTCTCCCAACTGTCTTCAAGGGCTGTGGTTTTAAATTTTGAAGAAGTTCAGTTGACCAGTTCTTTTTTGGATCATGCTTTTGGCATCATATCTAAGAAATCATTGTCTAACCCAGATTAACAAATATGATCTCCTAAATTGTCTTTTAGAAATGTGATAGTTTCAGTTTTACCTTTAGGTCTATGTTCTATTTTGTGTTAATTTTTGAATATGGCACACGGTGTGGCTCAAAGTTCACTTTTTGCATGTGAATATTCAATTATTTCAGCACCATTTGCTGAAAAGGCTATGCTTTCTCTACTGAACTGCCTCTGTGCCTTTGTCAAAAATTAATTGTTCAGGCCTGGCGTGGTGGCTCACGCCTGTAATCCCAGCACTTTGGGAGGCCAAGATGGGTGGATCACTTGATGTCAGGAGTTCGAGACCAGTCTTAATTTTAACACCAGTGTTAGTGTTGATTGACTAGTCTTCTCATTATGGATCTCGTTTTCCTTTTTCTTTGAATGCCTGGTAATTTCTGATTGGGTGCCAGACGTGATGAATTTAACCTTATTGGCTGTTGGCAATTTTTATATTTCTGTAAATAATCCTTGAGCTTTGTTTTGAATTGAATGCAATTAAGTTACTCGGAAACAGTGATCTATTAAGATCTTGCTTTTCTGATTTGTGAGGCAGATCCAGAGCAGTGCTCAGTAATGGGCTAATTATTCCCTATCACTGAGACAAGACTGTCTTGAGTACTTTACCTACTGCCTTGTGAATTAAGAGATTTTCCAATTTAGTTGTTGGGAACAGGCACTATTCCTGGCAATGCGTGAGTACCAGACCTGTTCCCTCTAATTTCTTCAAGTAGCTCTTTTTCCAGCCTTGGGTTGTTTCTTCACATGTACGTACTGATCGATACTCTCCTGAATACTCAAAGGGCAATCTGCTCTAGATTTCTGGGGTTGTTTTTTTCTGCAACTTCCTCCTCTTTGGTTTTCTCTCTTGTGAATTCTAGCTGCCTTGGTCTTCCCGGATTCTCAGTTGTACTTCCTCAATTCAGGGAGCCCTCCAGGCTCCCCACGGGTTCCTGTCTCTGAACTGTGGTCTGATAACTCTGTCAAGTAAGCTGGAGCAGTCGTAGGCTGCACCTGCTTTGTTTCCTGTCACTCAGGTATCATTATCCTGTGTTCCCTGATACTTGGTGTCTTGAATACCAGTGGTTTGTGTGTGTCAAGGAGTCAGGAGTGGGGGTGGGTGGCTGTTTTTGTTTTTGATTGTTTCAAGTCATAGTGTAAATCCTGTACCTGTTTTTAAAAGTAATTTTTATTTCAATAGCTTTTGGAGTACAAGTGTTTTTGCTTTTGGAGTCTTAGTCATGAATTCTTTGCCTAGGCTCGTGTCTAGAAGAGTTTTTCTAATGTTGTCTTCTAGAATTTTTATAGTTTTAGGTCTTAGATTTAAGTCCAACTCAAGATGCATCTTGAGTTAATTTTTGTATAGGTGAGCGATAATGATTTGTTTCATTCTTCTACATGTGGCTTGCCAGTTTTCCCAGCACCATTTATTAAATAGGGTATCTCTTCCTCAATTTATGTTTTGGTGTGCTTTGTTCAAGATCAGTTGACTGTACATATTTGGCTTTACTTCTAGGTTCTCTATTCTGTTCAATTGGTCTATGTGCCTACTTTTATACCAGCACCATGCTGTTTTGGTAGCTATCACCTTGTAGTATAATTTGTTCTTTTTGCTTAGGATTGCTTTGGCTATTCAGGCTCTTTTTGGGTTCCATGTGAATTTTAGGATTGTTTTTTCTAATTCTATGAAAAATGATGTTGGTATTTTGATGGGAATTACATTGAATCTGTAGATTGCTTTGGGCACCATGGTCATTTGCACAATATTGATTCTTCTAATCCATGAGCATGGGGTATGTTTTCATTTGTTTATATCGTCTATGATTTTTTTCAGCAGTGTTTTTGTAGTTCTCCTTGTAGAAATCTTTCACCTCATTGGTTAAATATACTCCTAGGTATTTTATTTTATTTTTGGCAGCTGTTGTAAAGGGGAAAATTCTGTACCTGTTAATCCATCTTGATTGGAAGTGTAAGCCCATGTCATTAAAATTTTAGGTTAAGAAAAAAATTATTTTTTGTTCTTAGTCTAATGTGAACTGAATGCCTGAGAGATGTTGTGGGCAGTTAATTATAAAGTAGTGTAGTTATGTTAATTCTGAAGTCATTAGAGAAGATGAGAAGATAGGATGCAATGTTTATTTTATCCCTGTAACTATAGCTTGATAAGATTGAATCTTAGAATTAGGGTCAAAAGCTGAGCTATATCATGTAGCGTTTTATTTTCTGCTTAGGGTTATTTAAGAAAAAGCATCCTGGAAATAGTTAAGACCCTTTTAAAGGAGAGCAGATTCAAATAAACTCCTTTGAGAGGATTATCTCTCCTTGCACATACAGAGTACGTAACTGGTAGGCTGTACCGCACAGACAGACTGATCTACAGCTTGTCTAGCAAAAGTGATTCAATCTTGTGATGACCTGCCTTGCAAACCCAAACATAATTCATTGATAATAATGTCACATATTCCTGTGATAATTGAAATAGTTAAGGTTATATTTGTTTAACATTGGGACATAATTATCTTCTAATAAAGCTAAAGTTTCTGTTAAGAATGCTATTTTCTTTGAAAAGGGAGTTACTTCTGTAGCTAATACCTATGTTGAGAATGTGATATGATGATATTCATAGACTCAACGTCCAGCCAAGATTGACATCTCCTGCTACTGATATTTTCTGTTTAGGATATATGATGAATATTTTATTTTTCTTTTAAGAAAACCCCGAGTTTAGGTGAAATATTGTCTTTTATTTATATGCTACCAGACGCCAAAGTTAACGGATTTAAAAGTTGATTTACTTTTTATTAATTTCTCCAGAGCGGAACATTAGTTGTATGTGGATTTTTTTTTTTTTTTTTTTTTTTTTTTTTTTTTTTTTTTTTTTTTTTTTTTTTTAGTTTAGGGTCTCTTTGTTTTTTCCAACATAATGTTTCTGCATTCATCTATTCTTAAAATGAAAACCACATAATTTACTTCTTATAAAGTCTTAAATGGGAAACCAAGAAATTTAATCGAGCAGTAAAAACATTCTCAAAATGTAGACCATGATCTCAGTTTCTTCCATTTTTCTCCCGAGTAGAAAATAGACTTCTGCATAAGAAAGCTAAAATGTGTTAATATTTTTAAGTTAAAGGTTTAATATTATCAGAATACAATCCAAAGAGTAAATCAAATTACATAATTACATTTTTATTTATTAAATATGGAATCATCTACTGAATTGCAATACATTAAATATACTGTTTCCTCTTAAATAAAACTGCTTGACAGTTAAAAAATTATGGGCTTGCCATACTTGCAGGTCTCTTATGTTTTTAGATCTTATTTACTTATTTATATTTTTACAGTGAAATAGTAATTTAAAAAGAGGATGGGAAAATTCTGTAGTCACTTGAGTTTCCTCTAGCCACATTTTATTGCAAACCAGTTCCTCCTTTGAACATCTTTATAATTTAAGTCTTTAAAAATGCTTTCATTTCAAACACTAAATATTTCTATATTAGAAAAGTTTTTACAGTATATTAAATTATTTTTTCCACATGCCCCACCCCTTTACAGTATATTTTAAATACTATCTTTGGATTTCATTTCTTTCTGTTTTGTAAGATGGATACTATAATTCACCCTGGTAAACTCAGTTTTTCTTTCAGTATTATGTGTACAATATACATTGTACTGTACAATGTACATTAATGAAAAACACATAATACACATTCAGTGTACATTTTCTTTCAGTACTATGTGTTTTTCATTAATGTACACTTCATAATGTATATTGAAACTGAACATGTTGAAGCTCAACAAGAGTTTTCGATTAATTCTGTTTATATTCTGAACGATTAGAATGTCTAAGTGTAAGGCAGAGTACGAGCTTTGGAGTTGGGCATCTGGCTTGGTCACTTACTTGGCAAACTCTTTTTGTCTTGATGAACTTCCATATCTCTGTGCACAAAATGGGAAAAACAAAAATCTCATAAATTTTGGATTAATTTAATTCTCACAAAATGTCTATGAAGCAAATTCTAATGTTATCTTCAGAGAAAAAAATGGCCAAGCTGAATAGCACCATGTGTAAGCACGTTCTGCAGAACTGGCAGAGCTTCCAGCATAAAAGAAAGGGAGAGAGGAAATGTTCTAGAGTCAAAGAGACTTAAGAGACCTCACTTGGATCCTCACTTGAAAAAACAACTGTAAAAAGGTATTTTGGAGACAATTGGGGAAATGTGAATAAAATTCATTAAATGTCAAGGAGCTATTATTTTTGTTTGGTATGATAATGGTTATTATGGTTAGATTTTCTTAATCCCCATAATTTACAGATATATGTATAAGTGAAATCACATAAGGGATAAGATTTACCTTGACATACTTTAGAAGAAAACCCCACAACTGATTAAATGAAGCAAGTGCAGCTTAATTGTTGCAGACTTTTGGATAGTTGTGGAATCTGGGTGATGGTTATGTTTGAAATGTTTCAGAATTAAAAAAAGAGAAAAATTATGCAGTGGACTCAGATATGAAATAACTGGGATACTAGTGACACAGATACAGAGACTATGCAAACATATGTTCCCAGGTGCCTGGAGAACTCTCTTGCATGCCAGTGTATGACAAAAATACTTTCATCCAAGCACTTTCATATTCACTTTGTAATTATTGTGAATGTGTAGATATGCTAGTTTGCCCTAATATGGTTTATTAAGTTGGCCTCCCCATCTAAACTGTAATTTTCTCTGAGACTGAGAAGATCGGTTTGATATCTTTATCCTTTTCCCATTGCCCTTGCATGATTACTATTCAATCATTGCTGAATTAAACAACACTTTCCTTTGTTTAGGAAGATGCTGGATGCTAAACACCTGTCTTACTCAGGCTTCTTATTGACATAGCAAATTCTAAACGTGTTACATATACATGTGTTCCTTTTCTGCTTTAAATAAAACTGATGGGTATTTATTTCTCCCATTGTGTAATGTAGTCTGTGGAAATAGTAGCCAGTGTAGGATGCCTCAGATATATCCAGCTCTGCAGGCCAAAGCTCAGCTTTTAAAGTGGCGATTCCCAGTTATTTTGTTAAATGGATGTTAAAGTCATCCCTGGGTTGGAGTTTAGACTTTTATTGAAAAGCTTTTCTACTAATCACCAGTTAATGGATGAATAAAATTCACACTTTTGGTCTCTTCATTGTTTTATTGTCAACACATTCTTTCTCAAGGGAGAGAATTAATTTGGAAGTTGGAGGTCTTCAAATTAGGAAAGTCTGACAAATAGGCCAACTCTAATATTCATATTTACAGTGGAGATTTTCAAAGAAGTTTGACATAATACACCTCACAAAGGGATGCCAATAAGTCAGTTTTAGGCATTATTTTTGAATACAAGGAGACTGTTCATTTCTTCTTTTCTAGTATAAACACACCATATGTTTAAGTGTTTGTAAGGCATGTTGTCATCTTAAATAATATTTAAAAAAATCAAAGTGGTACAGACACAAGCTCCTGGAAATGTGCTGGTATCTTTTTTTTTTTTTTTGATTGTTGAGTAATCCTGAAATGAATTTCTTCCAAATAAAGGGATGTAGCTTTGTATTAAATTTTGTAATAAAAGTTCTCAAATGATAGATTCAAAATTCTAAACATTTTTAAGGATTATAAAAAGATATGCCTGAAATCTTGCATGTTTTAAAACGTAGTACAAAGTAAGCTTTTTATATGTAGGCATTTGTAATTTAAAAAAAAGTTTTATTTGTGTTTTCAGAATAAACGAGCTAACATAAATTGTACATATTTACAGCAATAAACTACATTTCAGAAGCTGCACAACAACTTTTATAAGTACAGCTGATGATTTTTGACACCAGCTTTCAAATGTGTTTTCATTCTTTCATTTGCTGCAACATTTAAAATCTTGTAGTACCAAAGCAAAGGAAACACCAAGTTATTTTATAGCAAAGCCACATTATTAACAAAAAATACTGAGTGAACTACAGTCCCGTGACTGTTATGGTATCTGTGAGTCCTGAAATCGAGAGCACAAGCATTTCTTGTGTCCATACCTGATTGCATGTAAATTGATTTTGCATTTTACAAGAACACACAATTACTCAAGGAATAATTAAGAATAGAAAAAAGGCCATGAAGGGTAAAAGGGTCAGGAATCAGAGGCCACTGAACAGTTTCTTATTCACTGATTCACTGCTTAGGAGGAAATTGGTTTTTTTCTTTCACGTGTATAAATCACAGTCAACAGGCTTCATGGATTTTGTCCACAGATAGCTTTTGAGATAACAAAGCCATAAATGTCACATACATTAAGCACATAAAAAGGAATTAATGAAACGGTTAGAGTATTTTAATCAAATCCCTAACAGAAGGGGTACAGTTAAGCACACACAGTATGAAAGTTTGCTTTCAAATGTAAAAAGCAACTACAGAAAATCACAAGTTTCATTAGACAGAACAGCAATTTCAATCAGAAAATGCAGCATATATTGATACAAAATAGAAAACTTGAAATATAAAAGTAAGGAGTCCACCTTTTCCTTTCTTGGCATTTTTTTAAACCTGTCCCATTTCATTAAAATTTCTACAGGTTTTACTGAAATACTCACTCTTGACATTTAGCTTCTTTAGTGTCTGGTAGGTATACAAAAGTATTACCTGCTTAGGTAAGAAAGCAAATGCTTATGTCAAAGAGCCTTAAAATATTGTAATTTATGTTTATTTGCAATGAAAGAAGTCTACTTGGTAAAAATAAAGAGGGAGAAAAGGATTCTTTTATTTACAAGAATTGTAATACCAATCAGGATATGAGTTGGTTAAATAATGTTTGGTAGGAGGATAGATAGCAAATTGGTAACTGGAGATCTAAAAACACAAGGAATGAAACATTTAACATGTAACGTATTTGGTGAGTTTAGCATAACGGATTTTGAGAGGCAACAGAAGGTATGTATTTCTTTCTGTATATACGTAGCACCTGCTTTTGAAAGCCCCAGCTATTTAGTACAGGATGCTATGAATTAAAATTGCAGGAGACTGGTGTGGAAAGTTCAGCTAATTTTCTGATTCAATGAAGTTTTAGGTGAGGTGGTAGCCAAAGAGGTGTCCCATTGCTGGCAGGATAGTAGTTTCCTAATTTTTAGTCTCATGAGTCCTGCTTTCTCAAACCTCCTGAATCACTGTAGGATTAGGCCCCTTGAGTAAAGTCAAGAGGAGCAAAATAATGTTCAGAGATGATAGACAGGAGAAGTTTTCAAGCAAGCCACGCTCAACACAGATGCCTTTCTTTCAAAAACAATTTTATTTGTATTAAACAATATTAAACTTCCCAATTTTCATGTCTGTTAACCTTTTAAATGACATGCCAACATTATTTCACATTAGCCATCAGGCTTCCATCATGATGGCACAGCATGCTGCATGGTGGTTAAAAAGGATAAAGCTTATTTTAAAATATCAAAAAGTTTTTGGTCCTTGTAAACATGTAAGTCATTTGGAATTTTCAAAAATGTTGTGAAATCTTGGCTTTGTATAATGCCACGTGGTAGTTTTTTTTTTTTTTTTTTTTTTCCTTTATTTAGGCAGTGTCTCACTCTGTCACCCAGGCTGGAGTACAGTGGCACGATCTCAGCTCACTGCAGCCTCAGCCACCCGGGCTCAAGTGATCCTCCCACCTCAGCCCTCCGAGTAGCTGAGACTACAGGCACGCGCCACCATGCCTGGCTAATTTTTGTATTTTAAGTAGAAACGGGGCTTCACCACGTTGTCCTGGCTGGTCTTGAGCTCATGGGCTCAAGAAATCAGCCCACCTCAGCCTCCCAAAGTGCTGGGATTACAGGTGTGAACCACCGTGCTTGGCTGACATGGTAGTTTTTATCAAGAAAAAGAGTTACTGACTCTCCTTGAGATAAGAAGCTGAGCAACACAGTCAATAAATATATGTGTATATAATCATGAACATTCCCTTCTTGGAAGAGTACTGGATGTTCTGAATATGAAAGAACACTTGGATATATAATTCTGTTTTCCATGACACTGAAGTTAAGTTAGAATAATCAAAGGACTTCCCTAAAATTGTCTCAGGGGCATTGTTGTAAAATTTCAAGCTTTATCCAGTGAGTATTTTAAAAAGATCTAACAAACAGATCAACAATGAATTAATTAGCTTAAAAAAAGAAAAAGCAGATACACTGCAATTCAATTTATTTGAGGAGTATCAGGTAGAAAAATACGTTATCTAGTAAACTGGGATGGCTGGTTGCCACTCTGAGGTAAGGCTTGCAAATTATATATTTCTTTTATGCAAATTAGTAAATTATTTAACAGGACAACTGGAAAGTTAATAATTGAAAAAAGGGGGTGGAGGCAGAAAATGCATTTCCTTGTACATCTATTATATTTTATGCACTCTTGAGAAGCAGTGGTGAATGTCAAGAACTGTCCATCCCTCTTATATAGTTCTAAATCTTCTATTTATATCTTGGCAGAAATAGGATTTGTTGTGCAGTACCTTCTGGGAGTATTAGAATTCACATGGGAATGTTCCATCAATAATACAGTGTAGCCCCAGCTTCAAGAATAAATACCCTGTAGAACCTAGATTTAAAAGGCCATTAATAAGGCAAACAATGATAAACAGGGGAAAAAACTATAAAAGAAAACTTTCCTTTTTCCATAAAGGAAAAGCAGCGGTAATTAGCAAGGAATATTCAATTCTTCTAGAACTGGTAGAATCTAGATTGGTGGTATTATCAGGATTCAGTCTGCTTGGAAAATCCCAGTAGAAAAAAATCTTAATGACCACTTTGCAAGACACAAACCTGGATTCAACTGTACCTTTGACTGCATTTTTTATTCTTTGAGAGGTTGTAGATAGAGGCTCTATGGGACTAAAATAATTTGAGAGAGGAGGTCATCTGTCCCACAAGGTATTATCTATAATCCTGAAATATTGCCTGTTATGAAAAAGTGTTTGTCTTTTGCTGCCTTTCCCACTGTAGGTGATCTAATCAGCATTTATAGACCCTGCCATGGGCAGAACAATAGTTGCTTTGGACAATACAAAAGAATTAGAAAATGGGGTGTTTGCTTTTAAGGACCTCACAAAGGGAGGCAGAATATCTCTTTGCAAAACTAGAAATGTGCAAATAAACTGTCTATTATTATTGAATAAAGTGACCACAAGAATTGAGGGAGTGTTAACAGGAGAGTGAACAGAATGAGGCAGGGTGCTCATGGACAGCATTTTTGAGGATGTTGGCCTGATTCATAAACCACGATTGAGATGGGGCTAGGAAGAAAAATATCTAATCAGTGGAAATAAAATGTAAAACTTCAAGCACAGCAGTGAGGACATTTTGGGATGATGTGTGGATGTTGGAGTGGAAGGATAAGGAAGACCTGAGGATGAGCTTGCTTGCAGCTAATTAAGGAACTCATGGAGAAATAAGGTGAGTATGAACGAGTGGTGGAGAAGACTGGGCCAGACTTAAATGATTTGTAGGGAGCCAAGACATGTTTTCTGTAGTGTGTTAATGTTACATTTATTAATATTTCCCCACCCTTCAGGTGGCTGAGATCCCATAATTATGGTGGTCGTATCATTTATTATTCACATGGACAATTTTGAGAGTGAAAAGGAGTTTTATTAATAATTACACACTGAGACTGTCTGAGGCAAATTGGGTCATATGGTCTAAACAATAATGTTAACCAAAAAGAACTGGAGCACATTTCAGGCTATTTTGCTGCTGTGCAAACTTTCCTTCTATATATTTTCTCAAGAGACTAAGGAAAGGCTTTTATGTATGGGTAAGCAAGTGGGTGGAACAGATGGAAAAAGCAGAAAACAAAACTGGACACAGAGTGTCTACTGAGCATGATATTTATCTGTTGGGAGTGGGAATAGTTCTCTTCCCCCTTACTCTCTACTCATTTTTGAACTGCCCAAAATCTGGATCATCAAGGTAAAATGGATAAAATCTAGACAGCTTAGTAGAGTGGAAAAAGCTTGAATGGCCAGGAAATACTCAGGAAAATCATGAAAGTTTAGAGTTGGAAGGTATCTTTCAACAAAGAAGAAAAAGTTAAGAACATCTGTTTACAGAAGTTGTATTGAGGACAATGTTCAGAGACCGGAATTCTTCATGCATGCTTGAAGAACATGAATAGCTAGAATGCTAATCACAAATTAATAAACTGTCAGTTTTGTCATGGCTGTGCCTAACACCAGTGGATTTAACTAGGTAAGTAGTTAACTAGGTAAGTAGTTAACTAGGTAAGCCGGGGTGGAAGGACTTGAGCAAGGAGAGTGGATAACAGATGTTCTAAAGACCTTGGATCTTTCCAACTATTATAGATGGAAAGCTGCTTCTTGCCTGAGAGCTCAAAAATATCTGCTACTCTACTTTCAGGAAACAAGACAGTGTGGGGTCCAAGACTGAGGAGGGCACTGCAACAACATTTGGGCTTAGATGCTGCCTAGAGATTGGCTTTTCTACCCATGATGGGGTGTTGCATGGCTGTTCCTTAATTGAATTACAGAGAATGGTTTAAGAACATCTTTATCTTCCAGGGATCTAAAAATAAAGGATTTGTATTATCTGAGACTCTCTCTTAAAGGGAAATATTGTAGTTATAGAAAATTACAAAAATAGTAACATTTTTCCACTTGGCTTGCAAATGTAACTGTATGTCCTATATATTTTTAAAGGAACATGAATAGGTATTGAATTCAATTCACTTGATACCAGATGGCTTACTCTCAAAGACATGATATCAAGAATTATTACCAAATTAGTTGGGTTATGTTAGCAGAGGCCATGGTCCTCCTGTATCTTTCTGCTAACCTCCCATACAAATGAACTTCTCTAAAATTACCTTTGAAATTTAGTTTTGGAAGAGAACTTGGAGGTCATCTGGTGGCATGTTCAAAGTCATGCTCCTAGGCAGTGGCAGAGACAGCACCAAGACCAGGTCCCCAATCATATTAATAATTCCAAGGTGTCTTCCATCCACTGTGAATTCCCTCTCTCCATCATGATGCTCACTTATTGTTAACTTTTCGAGGTTAGGCTGCATACTCTTTGGTATATGTTTAGAGAACTCTCTTCCAAATCTATATAAATGCTGTCTAGAGGAAACAGATGTTCTACATATTTTTATGGGAGAAATTTAGACAGTTTGCAGGCTGTCTGCAAGGCTGAGGGGAAGTGGGTAGGGTGTTATATAGAAGTAGAAATTTGTAATGGGGGTAATATACAAAAAAGATGAAATGGATCAAGGATAGTCTGTAACTAGTGGTGTGCTATTTGAATGATAAGCCCTTCTAGGAGGAATAATAATAAATTGTAAAATGGGCCTACTGGAGACTGAAAAAGCTAATGAATAAACAAGTTTGATAAAGGATTGATACACTTTAAGTTCACTATATTACAATTATAGTGTAAGGAGATGGCCTTATCTTCAAACTCTGGGGTAGATAATATAAATTTCTGTAAGATTGAGCTAAAGATTTTTATTTCCACTTTATTTTGAAATAGGCCGGGACAGAGAAGGTTTATGTAAATACATGTACTCTTTACATAAGTGACAGAAAAGCAGAAAAGAAAAACAACTCAAGGCAGTTCAGAGGAGGCTATTATGATTATACAACCTGCCTCTAAAGGACTTTTAAAGGCAATGGGAATAAGAATTTGGAAAAAAATTATTAAAATTCATTGTTTTAGTGAATTCAATTGAGTCCAAAGAAGTCAAAACTTTCAACTGTTCATAGGCAAGATAGCCTATGAGGTTTGGAAATAAGAAAGAGGAAAAATAATGGAATCAATTTCATTGGGTTGACATGAGGCAGGATGGTATACAGTGTGGGAAGGAAAGAAGACAGGAGAGGTAATCTATTTTACACAAGTCAAACTTGCAAAATGCACACACATCATATTTTAACAATTTGTCCCTATAAACAATTATATTAGAAAATGTCCTCCCTTCCCTGTTTCTCTGAAAAACAAAACAAACCCAGGAAGAAGAAGCAAGAGCCAGGTAGCAATACTGATTGCTCTTGCTCATTCTTTGGCATCCAAATGAGGTTGTAATTAAGCTAATGAATCTGTGACCCTGTAAACCTAAGGCAAATGAATAATGCTATTTGGCCTTTCTTTCACTTACTTATTTTTATTGGTTTGTTTTTTGATTGTCTGCAGAAACAGAAATGCAGGTAGTGTTGTTCAGAAAAATGATTTTCCTTCCCAAATGGTTCAGAAATACACCTACTTTTCCCACCTTGAATTCTGACTGGACTGAATGCTTTCTGATCAGTGCTGGTTGTTTCAGGATATGCAAAGTATCCAGGGGCCAATAGGGAATGGTTATGAGTCCCTTGATGTAACAAGGACTTTTTAATTAGAAAAAAACAAAACAAAACCAACTAACCAAACAAAACACCCAAACAAACAACTGTTAGACCGTTTCAATTTGAATAAGAATTTCTTGCTATAGGAGAAGTAATAACAAACACAAAACTCTTTACCCTTATCCTTCCAGGAGCTTATTATTCTCTGGTTTGCAATTCCTCTATTAAAAATGATTTCCTTTCAAATGCTTTTAAATTGCAGTCTCCAAAAATTATGTTTTCTATTTAGTTGATTTCAGTTATCTTAAAAAAAGAAAGCGTGGTTACAGTAAAAGCACAGTGTGTTCTGGAACTAGTAACTGACTGACCTGATCAGTTCAAACAAAACATTTTTCTTTCTCAATTGATGGTGGACCCTAGTTGGCAAATTTTAGAACCAATATATCTCAAAGTCATGGCTTACTGAACTCTCCTGGCACTTAAAATGTTGGCATAAAAAGTCCTATCTTGCAAAGTTCTTACCTCCAAGAAAGATGTTGTCCATTCTAAAACATTACTAAGAAACAAGCTGGTTTAGATATTCTGAATTTCTATAGACACCATTGCTCTCCCTGGGACTGCCAGTTTGCATGGAAACACATCTTGTGGCATAATATTCCACCATTCTGAAGACTTTTTCAGGAATACCAATACTTGGGAGAAATGTATTTGAGAACATTTAATTACCAGACTCTTTTAAGCTTAATTAGCACATATCACACATATCCCAAATACTTGTGTGTTTTTTTTCTTTCTCTCTCTCTCTCTCTCTTTTTTTTTTTTTTTAAAGAGACAGAGTCTCATTCTGTTGCCCAGGTTAGAGTGCAGTGGCACGATCATAGCTCACTTGAACTCCTGGGCTCAAGTGATCCTCCCACCTCAGCCTCCCAAGTAGCTAGGATTACAGGTGCATGCCAACACGCCCAGCTATTTTTTTTTTTTTTTTTTTTTTTAACAGAGACAGGCTTTGCTATGTTGTCCAGGCTGGTCTCAAACTCCTGGCCTCAAGTGATTCTCCCACCTTGGCCTTCCAAAGTACTGGAAATACAGGCATGAATTACCATGTCTGGCCAAAAATACTAGTTTCAAGTCCCAGTGTATAACAATATTTCTCTTTGCCTTTAAAAAATAATGACATGGTTACCTCTGGATCTTTCAGGAATGAATCAGCCTGTTGGTGTTACCAATCATTTACTGTCCTTCCTTTGTTCCTTCCCATCATTTGGACATTTGACTCTTTACCCTGATCAAACCCATCCATTCACTTCTATTCTTAATAGAAGTTCCGGGAAACTGGAAGAGAACAAGTTAGAAGCTAAAGCTGTTGGTGCAAATAAAGCTTTGGATTGCCTGTGGATTTTGAATATCTTTTCCATTCCTGACCCCCTCAACGGCATGGATAATTCAGTATCTGAATATATGAATAGCCACGAATGACTGATAAAGACAAATCTCTTTATGACGCAGTTCAAGGAGCAGCTTGCTACAGTTTCCGTTTCTGCTGGTGCGCTGTTCCTGAGCCCCACAGGCTTGCCGCCTTCTCATCAGCTGCTGTTCCTTTCAGTGGGGTAGGGGGATGAGGCAGTGATCACAGACACCTGGCTATGGCTTGCAGCAGAGTTACACAACTGCACACACAAAATGGCAGAGAAAGAGCAAGAGCTAAAAAGATTCTGGTTTGGGCCCAAATCACTAGTCATTTCACTTCATGAAGAAAAGCAAATACCTTATAAGCTTACATTATTTACAATGCTCAGATTTTTTGAACATCCACCCAAAGCTGAGGACCACCACACAACAGGGTCAATGAACTATGTACAGAATTTACAAGGAAGTTTATGTAATAGTCTACATTCCATTAACAAATTTACCTTTATGTTCACTGCTTGCTTTCAGGAAACAGACATATTTGTTTGTTTTTCTGTCCCCCTCATCCCAGTAATGCTGATTGAACCACCATGAACAAATGCTTGTACATTCCTTTTTTCTCCCTCCTGGGATATATGATTTACTTTGTTTAGGAAAGAAAATGGTGACACATCACCCTTTGGTAATATACTATTCAAAATTGTCCATATAAGAAATCTTGGAGATTATTTCCTTCTAGAAGTATTATAAATATATCTTTTTTTGTTTAACTTGGCAAATTATAATTGAATTCTTTCTTAATATTTATAAAATAGTCATTGATTTTAGAAAGATGGAATTTAGTCAACATTTTTATGTATTGTACATAATGCTTTTTAAGGAATGCCTATCCTTGGACCCTTAAACCAAAGTTTATTCTCTGCACCACATTTTTTTCTCTTTGCATTTTCAAGATCCTTTGTTGATTGTAATGTACAATAAAGATGGCATGTATGAAAACACATATCATTCAGTTGGCAGAATTACCAACCAATCTGCTGTTTCTATTTGGCAATGTAGAAAACAGAGGCAATAATCCTGGATAATTCAAGCCGAAAATATATCTTGACCTGGATCTTTGCCTCACAAAGCTGGTAATTGTAATGCACATGTCATCCCTAATATTTTAAGCCAAGGAACATGATTGGAAGGAATGAGTATGCAGTCATCACTGTCCAGTGAAAGCTGGAATTTCCAATGGGCTTACACAGGTGAAGTCTATGACACAGTTTATGTCACAGTTTCTGAACTGTAGATATGGGGTTACTTGGACATGACTTGGACATCAGAGAGTGAGTCTGTGTAACTTTCAGCCTCTTCCTCAACTTAACTAATGCAGGGGATTATGGCTATTTTCATGGCAAAAAGAAAACAACCCAATAATGATTGAATAATAATCCCTCTATCATGTAATAATCTGAATCTTCCAAGAATGGGGCCAGTTTTGAGGGCACTTAAGAATGTCCAACAACATTTATATTTTATGTACATGATTTTGGGCAAGACAAGGGAGACAGCCAGAGAAGGAAGTTTTTTTTTTTTTCTATTCACTGTTCAGCCTGAAAGGGGAGGACTTGGCTAGGAGTGGGGCCAAGGAGGGAAGAATTTGGCCCACAGGTGTCCAGAAAGAAGTGGGGATAGAGGTCTTTAACCATAAATATTGCAGCTTCTCCATTCTTCTGGCTGCCACTGCCTCTAAAATCAGCTATTTACCAGGATTTTTATAATGCTGGCTGTGGCCCCTCTACTGCCCAGGAGGGCATATGGTGACACCATTTTGTGCCTGATGGGTAGATTCAGGCTTAATAAGTTTACATTTTACAAAGGTTAAGATATGAATTCAAAATGTTCTCTTTTTTTCTCAGAAGATGCTTTACATCTAAAACTACAGCATCAAAATCGTTAGATTTTTTAAAGACAAGATAAAAATATAATAATAAAAATACAAATATTCTCAATCTTTCCCAAGAATAATAATCTAAATAGATAAATAAAAATAAATTGTTTGTTAAGGAACATAGATTACAGATACTTCCTTTCTGATTTAGCATTTCATTCTTAAAAGCTTTTAAAAGAGCTTTGACACCCAGAATGATTCATTTTTATTAGGCATCAGCCAACAATTTTCCTTCCTGTGTTTAAGATAAATGGCTGCACAGTGGTTCCTTTGCGGTCATTACGGAATATTAACCTTACAATCACTGACATGGCCACATGCCACTCTATATGGCCATTTTATGATGGCAAAGCATCTCACCCTGCCAAGGGACTGAAGAGTTTCAAAATGGATGACTTCATACCCTAAGGCTGGAGATTTCCTTGACCAGGAAAGTGTGATAATACAACTAAAAATCTAAATAAAAATGTGGTCCCTATCATGAAACCACTGAGATCATTTTTTCCAGTTAAAGCAGAGTTTTTGTATATATATTATCTTCAGCCTTAACTATTCATTTATTTTAAGGTTCCCTTTTCCTCTTGCTTTCTAAAAGAATATCTTGTACCTTTCTCCCCTTCAGCTCATCAGTAAAAATTCAGCATCATCTGTCCGGTGAAGACTGTAATTTCCAGAAGCTGATGCTATTGTAAACATGGACCCCATCACAGTCTTAGGGAAAAAGCTAGATCATTAAGCCAGGCAATCGTCCCTATTATTACCTCAACCCTTATTTCACATTCATGGGTCAGGTCCCAAACCTCCTGCATCAGTGTTTGGTTAGCTTACAGTTTCATTCAGTCTTGCAAATGAACATACAGAATTCTTAGATACTGAGGTTGAAAAATAAAATGACAAGGTTTCAGTGATATAACATGGGAAGAATCTCAACTGTAGCTGGTTGGACATGTTTAGAATTGTGTTGGGCTACTGAAGGATGCCCCTTCTATGAGAACCATGACCAAGAGTAATCCACAAGCGGAGATAAAGCAGAGGAGCAATGACAGTGATTAATGAGTGTAGACAGGGTCTATTCTTTAGGGACTGGTGCATGTGTTGGAAGCTCCACTGCTTTTCTCATCGCTCTTGTTTTTATCTGTAGTTCTGCAATTTTCAAGATTTTCTTTAAAATGGAATTCTGGTCCTGAAGGGGAATGACATCAACATGGGTATTTGTGCATTTTCCAAAGCATTCATTCCAGTCTGGAATGCAGAGCTCAGAGAGCAGAGCCATGAAGTGCCAGTTGAGGCCTGTGTGACTAGCCTGTCACCATTAGATACTGCTCTCTAGAAGGCAAAGAAATATATACTATTTGATTTAAGATTTGGCAGTTCAGATAACTGCCCAGGCACCCTTTTCACAGCACATAAATCTTGCCTTCCTAATGGCAAGGGCAATATTTTTCTCAAGCAAAAATTGCTCACCATCCCCTTCCTCCCACACTCTCTGGAGCAGGAACTATGGAACTGGGGTGGCATGGCTTCCTGGCACAGCATCAGGGGGTTCCAGGCTGATGAGATGAATTCAGGGCTGCATGTTTGAAATGGCCAGTTAGAAAAATGGTCATTGCCTTCCAAGCTCCTTATTCTCAAGAAAAAAAGAAAAATGTTCTCAATGGCTACCAGGTCGACCAGGTTGGATTCTAATGTTAATTTAAAATTTGCCGGAAAGTCGAGAAAGAAGCATATTTCAGAATATCCAGCTTAATGGTGCAGTGAAGATGGCAGGTTGGGATTGCATAACCTTGACCAGCGCTTGTCCTTCCTTCCCTCTTCTTCTGTGGAGCTGTGGAGCCCTTTTACAACGGACATGGGAGAACTTAAGGATAGAGGGGACTCTTCCTTCCCTGTCTAAGCTCCTTTTTCTTTTGCCTTCTTCCTGGAAATCTGTAACTTGTCAATGGCTTTGTTTTTTTCTTCTGAGATCCTGGAAATTGTGTGTTTTTTTTTATGTTTTTTTTTTTTTTTTTTTGGCAGCATAAGTTTGTTATAGTTTACCAGGAAGCAGTGCAGGCGGACAGCAAGGTCCTCTTTTCATTTTCCCTAAAAAATAAATCAGTGAAATCCAGGGAAACTAGAAAAGACTGCTAAAGATCTACCTGTCTAACTTCTCTCTTTGTGTTTGTTTGTAAACATGGCAATTAATAGAGCTCTTAAAGAGCTGATAACCTGGACCACGGTAGACTGGAAAAATAATTTTTTTTTTGTTTTGTCTTTTTGAAGTAAACATGGTGCAGTAATAAAACTGATATGCAAGACCTAAAACCAATTGGATGGCTGAATCTCTTACCTCGAGAAACAGCAGTATCGCTGTTGGGGACCTGTAAGGTTAAAAAACAATAGAAGAGGAAAGTAGTCTAAATGGAACCATTAGAACAGACCTCAGTGTACATAGTAAAGCCAATAGACGACATTAAAAAGAGAAAAGGTGATGGGGAAAAACATTCGGGACCACTTGTCTATGGAATTCACATCAGTCAAGTCGGGGATCTTGACTTTGAGCTGGGAGGCACGCCTGCGGATGCGCCCCTTGCTGGGTACCCCGTGCCGGTCCAGGGCGCGCCCGTAGGCCTCGCGGCTGCTCAGGGGCTTGCGGTACTGGATGCTGGCGCTGTCATAGGAGTACATGGTGGCCTTGGGGTCGCTCACGCTCGTGAGCACTTCCGAGCCACTCGTCTCATTCCGGATTTCCAGGGTGCTGAGGAGAATGTTACCGTGGGCGTCGACCTGATGGCAAAAAGAACAGGCTCGGACACAAGTTGCAGGACCTTTGCCTGTTTTCATTAACCTGTTACTAATGATACCCCATAAGGCTCATTAAACACTGTGTTCCTAAACATCTGGCTTGATGTGCCTCCCTGATGTGGAGATAGATCGATCGATCTATCTATCTATCTATCTATCTATCTATCTATCTATCATCATCATCCATCCACCTTGCTAGCTTTCTAGCTATCATCTGTCTCCACTCACAGAACACTTGTGTGTGTGTGTGTGTGTGTGTGTGTGTGTGTGTGTGTGTGGTATTTCTTCTTGTTATAAAAGTGGTACATGGAAACAAAGCTAGAAACACAAAATAAAAAGTAAAAATTCATAATCTCACCTTCAGAGTCAATCATTAACATCTCGCTTGGCTTCCAGTCTTTTCTCTATTCATATATACTTGCAAACACAGGTTCATTCATATATTTTGCCTTGCAACCTGCTTTTCTCAGTTAATAATACAGCCTGGGCATCTTTCCTTGTTAATAAATATTCCTCTGTGACACGCTTTATTAATAGCTTACATGAATAAAACATAATTGAATTAATCTGTTGTTAGATGTTAAGGTTTGTTTTACTTTGTAGTATTATAGACAAGTCTGGAAGGAATATTTTGTAGTTAAATCTTTGTGCATATCCATAATTATTTCCTTAGGCAAAATTGACAGATATGATTAATGGGTCAAAGGATTCGCCTGGCTATCCTTTGACTTTTGTTCCTCTACTGTTGTTCACTGATGCTTCCTGTAGTTCCAGTGATACCTATCCCAGGTTTCCTGGTTCTTCTCTATGCTATGCCCACACAGTCTTTTGGAACTACAGAAAATGTGAGCACAGTTTGGCTCAGAATGTGGCCTTGTTTAACTTCAAGCTGATATACTTTGCAAACTGATTTACCTGGAAGGGACATGGCTCATATGTGAAAATGAGCTTGAAGTACTTCCAGGGCCAGTACAGGGAGAGGGAGCTGTGCTAACATGTGTATTAGCATAATGCCTGACTTACAGTAAGGAGTCTATAAATGCTTTTGAATGAGATTAATCTTAGTAAACACTTAACACACTAGGTATAGATAAGGAGGCAAAAGAGCCTAGTGAAGAAGAGATAGAGAAAAACATAGGCGGCAAATACAAACAAGAGAGAAAGAAAAGAAAGGGACAGAGGATAGATAGCACATGATGGTGCAACCGTGGTACAGTTTAAAGAACTAAGATTTATTGTGTTCCCATCATGAGTAGCATTTATATTACTGTTTAATACAGCAACCCTATTTTAAAAGGCCATCCCATCCCCATTTTATAGATAAGGCAAATGAGATTTAGAACGGTTAACAATCTGGCTCGTTTACACAGCTAGTAAGTGCCAGCCCTGATATTAGAACCCATGTGTATCTGATTCAAAGCTCAAGCTCTTTCTACTTGGAGGACCACATCACAGTCCCTGGCCTTTGTTACACTTTGTTTCCACAGGAAACTCAGTAATGCATTTGTTAGCTTTAGGATTTGAGTTGGTTGGAGAGAGAAATGGCGACTGACTCTGGTTTCTGTCATCTCTCTCTCCTTTTTTACCTATCATTGTTTCCCTCTGTGAAGCATTTTGCTTCAGTCTAATTGGGCTACCCACATGCCCTGACTGTATACATCTATTGGTGACTTTATTCAGGGAGTTATTATTATTATCTTGTTGTTGTTGTTAATAACTACAATTTATTGAATTCTACTATGTAATTTATCTCAGTAATTTCAGTATTTCAGTAATTGAATCTTACTAATTTACCTTAGTTATAATAACACTAAGACATATATGTTATCCTAATTCAGCAGACAGGAAAACCAAGGCTCAAAGAAGTTAAGTAAATTAAACAATAAGATTAAACAACAAGTACCAAATTTGGGATTAAAACAGAATATTCTTTGTCTCAAATATTATTTTCTCTCCTCTTTGTATGTTAATCAAATCCACCTGTTTTGGCCAAGGCTCAATTTAAATCCTGCTTTCTTTGTGTACCTTTGTACTTTGCCTGCCCATAGGCACCTCCAAAACTTTCTCCCAACATTTATTGAGTGCTTACTGTGTGAGAGATGAAGTGTTAGGTGTCAAGGATATATGCAGCACAACTAGCATCCTTACCAACAAAAACCCTTAGCACTGACTTTTACAACAGAATTTACAAACTCAGCCACCTACGGGGACCAAGAAGCATGGCTGAGTAGAGCCAGGTGAAAGTAAGTAATTGAGTGAAGCTAGGGAATGGTGATGCCTATGGGGCCTCAGAGAGCAGATGTCTAAGGAGGGGACTGCAGCTCAGCTCCAGTTGACAACTACACTGAATGGACTAGACTCTAGTGTTGCCAGATCACCCCCTTTACCAGAAAACCTGAACATATAGATTTTTATTTTGTCTTTCCTTAAAGTTGACTCAATAGTGTAAAAATGATCTTCAGGTCAGATGAAACATATCTGTGTCCAGATCTGACTTTTGCATAGCCAGTTAGGGACCTCTTTTTTTTTTTCCATTCACATATCCTTTAGCATATATTACTTTGTGTTGATGTTGATTTTTAGGTTTCAGTCCTATTTTCCCAACCAGAGCTATTGGGGTGCTCAGGGGATAGATAATGAGGGCCTGGACTAGGACAATGTAGCAGAAAGAAAAGGAAAACTACACTAAAGAGGAACTTTTGAAAAATGTTTAAAATAGAAATGAAATTGATTTGGCAACTGATTAGATTTGTAGCACAAGGAAGTGAAGGTGACCTGGAAACTGTCAGCCTGTTAGGCTGAAAGATTATATTGTCATCGGCGAAATGGGGTGTCTGGTGTGTGTTGCATGTATAGGGTGGAAAAAAAGAGTTTGTTATTTTGGTTGAATTTGTGATATACATTAGGCATCCTTGTGGTGGTGTCCAGCAAATAATGTATATGTGGTGATGACTGGGATAATGTTGGGGCTGAGATTATTTTAGGAGTGGGAGGCAGCTATGGAGTCAGTGAAAGAGACACAGAGAAACTATAGAGGTAGAGAACAAATAACATCTTGCTATGAAGAGAAACTCAAGGAGGGAGAAGGGTGTCCAGAAGGACAGAATGGTCAATAGTGTTTCAGAGAGAACAGGGGGAATGAAGAAGGCTCATAGATTTATCAATAAGGCCATTTGCGGTCTTAGAATAAGAGCTGAAGCAGAACCTGGATTGCAAGGGGTTAAAGACTGAATTGGTAGCAAGGAGGAGAAGGGAGTTTGTATGGACTCCCCTTTTCAAAAGTTTGCAGGTCAAAGGAAGAAAAGAAATAAAAGCATTAGCTCACACATATCGGGATAGGGTGTCAAGTGAAGCTGGAAGAGACACAGTAGACAGGAAAAGAAGGATTGAGAAAGGCAAATTCTAAGGGAGTGAGTGAGGAAGTCAAAGATATGGAAGGATAACAGGCTACCTTCAGAAATGGGAATTTTACACATGGAGATATGGGAGGTAGAATGTTTCTGAGCAATGGGAACATGTGCTAATGTTTGCTGGGGATTTGAGATCAGGTGATGGTGAAGGTCATTGAGAATAATGAGCCAGATGCAGTCTCTGTCCTCTACTGTATGTCTATAATTGAAAAAGTCATGTGCATGAAATTTGACATTACTAAGGATGGTAGGGTTGAAGTGATGAGGACCAAAATGCTTGAATTCCTTAAAGGAGGGAGAATTACATTAGAAGATAAGGACTGGAACACATGATTTTGTTAGGTACTTTGGAATAGCCAAGATAATCACAAAATATGAATTTTGTCCATAAGAGATCATTACCTCCTTAGAGATATAGAGTGAAGCATAATATTGGGAGGGACAAGTTTTCAATCAAACTGTACATGGCATAATATAGATCACGATTAGGGATTCATCAAAGTGAGAAATCATTGGGGGTCACAGAAGCCTTCTTGTAACAGTGGGCCTTGCATTGAGTTTTAAAGGATGGGTAGAGGACAGAACAAAAATTGAGAGTTGAAAGCTATGTTATTATTCTAGTTTTATTATCTACTCAGAAATGGACTTGGATAAGTCTGGGTCTCAGATCCCTTATCTATAAATGGAAGGTTTTCATTAGGTAATCTCAAGAGTTGGCTTCCAATCTTTGACAGTTTTTGATTATGAAGAACATTCCAGGTGGAGGACATAGCATTCTGAAAAAATGCTTGTAAAATGGAATCACCTGATCTGCACTCTATGCATCATTAAGTTACATTATTATGAATCTCTCTAAGTAAAAAAAAGTTGCTAGAGTTTAGAATCGGCTAGTGAAGCATACAGATGCTCCTAATTAAACAGAAGTCAGGGTTAACAAGGTACATTTTATTAAGCTATTTTGGTTAACCTTGGTGCAGATTTAAATGTGCCTAAAACTTGCATGAGATTTACCAGTTTGTGCAAATCCCTCAGTATTCTCCGTCACTGAGCTAGAAATCATAGCATTAAGTGGTTTGACATTTAAGATAATGGATCTAGTTCTGCAACTATCCATGAAAGCTGATTTCATTACTATAGAGTTATGTCAACATTACCATGTTCTTTTTCAGGGAAATTTTTAAAGTAGCTATATAACAATTCTTGCCCACTTCCATTTTCTTTCTTACCCAGTGTAGGACTTGTCCTAAAGGCTGATGTTAACAGACTCTGTGTGTGTGTGTGTGTGTGTGTGTGTGTGTGTGTTTGTGTGTGTATGTACATGCTCATGCATTTCTTCTACAGTGTGATATTTCACCCTCACCCTCCAGCTTTCTGCTGTCAGGTAAGGTATACATGTGGTAGCCATACCACTGCTGACATCCACAAGTTTCTTGTTGGCTCTGCTGTAACCCATTCCCCTTGGAGAAGAGTGGCTTTCCCTTTGCCTCAACCATATCAGGGCATCTAAGGTATTCTTATATCTGAAGCTGACACAGCTTTCCAAAAATAATATCCATGGAGAAAGGGCTATTATTTTTTCATATCATCAGAGGGAGCAAGAAGTCATGTTGTACATTGCCTCAACATCTGCAGTGGCCAAATGCTGCCTAATTAATAAAGAAATATCAAAATATCAATATTTGAGTTGAGCACAATCCAGATTGAAGATTTTTAAACCTTGAGGCAGAAGGAAGTGAGGCAAATTAAAATTGTTAACATACTGGATTTCTAAGGCAGGTATAGACCAGCAGATTTTTTTTCAAAAGTTGCTGATGTTGAAAGAACTCTTCTGTGGGATAATTATTCCCCACTCCTCACAGTGCCCTCAAGTATGAGAATTCCCACTCCAAGTCCCAGAAGACAATCTAAGGGAGGAACATGTACAACTTCTTTTCTCCTTCTCCCCTCTCACTGCTCCCCACTGACCTATGTGGTAGGTATATTTAGAAGAAGGAAGCAGGCATTCTAGGCTCCGTGCCTTCTGGAGTTTTCTGTCTCTGATCTGCTTCCTAAGAGGGTGCAGTGCAGATAGGAATCTGCATGTTGAACCCTCCTGTGCTTTTGGGTAAAGTCTGCAGTTGTTCATCAGTTCCAGTGACCGGGGAGGTAAGTCTGTTTCTGATTAGAAGGAATGACTGCAGTATATTAATCATATATTCCTCAAACCAACATAATGGATTCTCTTTTTTAAAGTTTAGAGTGTCATTGAACCTAAATTGAGAGAAAATGAATGTAATTATTAATAAGGCTTCAGGAGGGCCAATCGAGAAACGCTTCCTCTTCCACTTCAGATAGATGACCAGTAAAGGGGAGTGGAGAATACAGCTTAGTTCTGCAGCCCCAAGGGCTTGGCAATATTTCACTCTCACCCCACTCCTTATTAGACAGGCATATTTCCTGGCTGCAAAAGGTAATTTTAGGTGGATCATGGATAATCATTTAAAATGTTAATAGTAGTTCATGCATTCACTCACTCATTTATTCAATGTTTACTGAGTGCCTACTATGCCTCAGGCACTGTTCCAGACACTGATGAAGACATCAGCCCCTCCATAAGCAATAGAACATCATGGCCCTCATTTTATAAATTCAGAGATCTCAACAAATAAAGCCTCTTGATGTTACAGTCTCCTGTACAAACACTGGAACCCTGACCCCCTATTGATTCTAAATGTTTTACTGGACAAATACTTTGACCTCTTTCAAATGCAGGTTATCAGTGCCCTTTCCAACAGCTTCTTTGAAGTTTGCTCTCTTGCAACCACGATGTCCACCTTCTTCTTGCCTGCCGAGTCTTTCTTTCATCTCCTTCCTGAAGGTCATGACACCCAGCCTTAAGGCCTGCTGATCACAGACAAGTCTTAGAGGGGCTCACATATAAAGAAAGGTCCTGGAATTCTACTTCATAAAGACCTGAGATGGAAGGGACAATCCAGCTTCTGGCTGGCGCACACTTTCCTTCCTTCCTCCAGTGCACTGCTTATAAACCATGTTATCTTGTTTTTAAATTCTAATTCTGATGACACAACAGTCCTGGGAAGATGGTGGTGAGCAAAACAGACAAAGTTCTTGAAATACTGGTGTTTACGTTGTTATGGAGGAAAATGGTCAATACCATCCCTCCTTCTAAAATTAGTTTTTAAAAAAATCAGGTAACATTATGAAGAAAAAAGAGAGCTGTATATATCTTTTAATGTATTTAGGAAAATATGACCAGTTTGTGATTTTGTGCATATTTTTCTTAACATTATATTCATGCTCACATTTCATTATGACAAGGGAAAAATCTAAAGTAATTCACGTTTCCTTATTTTCTTCTGGACCTTACTACAGAAGAACCTAAAGGATAGTGCTGCATGGATGTTTAGAGGCATCTACATCTCAAAATTGCCAGAGCAGAACTCTTGATCCTCTCTCTTCCCATCCAACTTGTTCCTTCCACTGAGTGTCCCATCTAGAATGTTACTCCAAGGGGGCAGGGATTTTGTATTATTCACAACCGTTTCCCCGAAGCCAAGAAAAGTACTTGGCATATAGAAGCATTCAATAAATATCTTTGAAATGAATGAATGGGGATAAATACATTGGGTATAGTGGTTAATTTTGTTTGTCAACTTGGTCGGCTGTGGTTTCCAGTTGCTAGGTCAAACACTAGTTTAGATGTTGCTGAGAAGGTATTTTGTAGATGTGATTGGCATTTACAGTTACTGTAAGTAAAGGAGATTACCCTCGATAATGTGGGTGGGCCTCATGCTATTGATTGAAAGCATTGAGAGCAAAAACTGAGGTTTCCAGGAAAAGAAATTCTGTCTCCACACTGCACTGTAGAAACGTTGGCCAAGTTTCCAGCAAGCCCTGCAGATTTCAGGCTAAAGATTGCAAAATCAACTCTCATCTGAGTTTCCAGCTTCAACCTGCCTGACAGATTTTGGACTTGCCAGCTTCCACAATTGCAAGAAATGATTCCTTAAAATAAATCTCTTATTATATGTATGTTGGTTCTGTTTCTATTGGTTCTGTTTCTCTGAAGAGCCCTGACTGATACAAAAGCCATGCCAAAAATCACAGGGTGATTCTCAAATGACTAAAGTCCAGAGAACATAATGTGATGGCTGTACTGTTTCTTTCCTTAACAGAAATCTGAAGTGAATTTACAGATTTATTTTCTGGATTGGGTTTAGCCTTTCTTCCACCCCTTCCATCTCACTCACTATCTCCTCTCTGCCCCAACATTCTCAATGAGTGCCTTAGGCTGTGAAAAATGTTGCCACTCACTGAATTGAACTGCTCTGGATATTTTCAATATATAAGTATAGCTGAACTCATTTTAGTGTAATTGGAATAAAATATAATCTTGTTTTCAGTGGCGGTTTTAAAGCCCTGTCGAGGAACACCTCTGGGCTCAATCTACTTTGCAAACAGTGAGTTATTTCCTTCTTGCTAGCCAATTCAATTAGATTCATATTTACTGAGTGGTTCTGAAGCACAGAGCAGGAAACCAAGTGAAGTGGAGCTGGCTACAGAATGAGCTAATTCACTGTCCTCAAGAAGCCTACACTCTACTTAATGAAGCCAACTAGTGCGAATGGCTGCCTTCCCTTGTAGAGAACACACAGTTGCAACAGCCCAGCCTTCATCTTCCCATTTCTCTCATAGAATGTACTGTATTTGCTGTTGCTGTCAGTCATTTGCGCTCACCAGGGCTGCCAAACCCTGATCTCTTAGGCTGGAATTCCTGAAACCTTTTCTCGGGGGGAGGAGATGGGAGGTTCTGCTGATGCTTTGCATGTCTCTTTGCATGTCCTGAAAGCTTGCGGCAGAAGTGGAAACTTTATTATCATTTTGAGAAGGAACAGAAGATTAAGTGCAAATGTACATAAATCTAAGACAAATAAATTATATTATTCAGGAAATAGAAAAGGAAAAAAACAAAAAACAAAAATAAGGCTGTGGCTTCCAGTTGCTAGGTCAAACACTAGTTTAGATGTTGCTGAGAAGGTATTTTGTAGATGTGATTGGCATTTACAGTTACTGTAAGTAAAGGAGATTACACTCGATAATGTAGGTGGGCCTCATGCTACTGATTGAAAGCATTGAGAGCAAAAACTGGCAATTTTCCAGAACAGTACTCAGGTAGATACATTTATCCTGGATTCGTTTCTTTTCCTTATTTCTCCCATTCTATGTTTTAGTAGGTCCAAATTGCTCTACTTTTAAATAGATCCTGATTCTATTGACTTTTTTCTTTTTTAAAAAATTTTTATGAGCACATAGCAGGTATATTCCATGCCTTGTTCTTTCCACCATCACCTCTTGCATCTTAAGTGATCTTCCTCTTTCCAGAAATGTTGCCCTGTGGTCCTTTCTCTACATAGAAGCTGGAATGATCCTTTAACAATGTAAAACAGGGTGACAGAGTGAGACTCCATCTCAAAGAAAAAAAAAGTGCAAAACAGGCTGGGTGCAGTGGCTCATGCACGTAATCCCAGCAATTTGGGAGGCTGAGGTGGCCTGATCACCTGTGGTCAGGAGTTCTAAACCAGCCTGGCCAACATGGCGAAACCCCATCTCTACTAAAAATACAAAAATTAGCCGGGTGTGGTGGCGGGCGCCTGTAGTCCCAGCTACTCAGGGAGGCTGAGGCATGAGAATTGTTTGAACCCGGGAGGCAGAGGTTGCAGTGAGCCACGATTGCGCCACTGCACTCCAACCTAGGCGACAGAGGGAGACTCTGTCTCAAAAAAAAAAAAAAAGTAAAACAAATGATGTCTATTTATATCTTCTGTTTACTCTGTTTATATCTTCTAGTTACTTTTCAAGACATAGAATGAATTCCAAATTTCTTATTCTAGTCCAAAAAGCACCATGTGGTTTGCTTCCTGTGGGTACCTCAGCCCTCATTTCCTACCAGGCTGCTCTTCAAGCACTGCTCCAGCCACACAGGCCTTATTTTGGCTGTCTCTTGATGCTCCTAAGTCTGCAGGGCATTTTCACCTGCTATGTTTCTCTTGCACAATGCTGTTTCTTGCCCACATTGTTACCTGGCTAGCTTCTCATCATTTTCTTTACTATAATTATCGTCATCTGCCATTATATCATGTGTTTATTCACATATTTGTCAATTACCTCAACTGGAATATAAGCTCCAGGAGGGCAGGTGCTTTTTTTGTTGTTCATCACTACTCAGTATGTCCTCCTTGCTTTTCCAGAACTGAGCCTAAGATAGATTTTGCTGAGTAAATGTCTGCAGAATGGGGAAATCTGAAACTTATACTTTGAGTCATCTCTCTGAGCTCTGAGTTTCAATGGCCAAGGACACCTGCAGAGGTGGCTAGAATGTCTAGGATCTCCAGGGTTGTGGTTCTCAGACATTGAGGTGTATCTGAATGAATTGGGAAGCTTGCTAAAAACACCAGTTTGAGTTCATCTCATTTTAGGTTAAGATCCTCTTAGTCTGTATTCCACCCAAACATCCCAAGGGTCATAGTAGGTTGTGGTGGATGCCTATTCGTTTGACCTGTCTGATTCCATTCTACCTTCCTCTGATGATAATGCCCTGATATTCTTTTGGTGCACGTGGTTGAAGTATGCCTAATTGCATCTTCTAGGTTCCAGGGACATGCATGTGATCCAGACCTAGGCATTTAGCATTTTCCATCTTCCTGGTGAGAAGAATTGACTTCTGCGTGAAAATATGACAAGTTTATCCAAAAAGACTCAATCCTAGGCCTTTTTTAAATTATAACTATGGGGTATAAGAAATAATTTTGTGCTAGGGTCAAAGAGCTTTGACACTATAAACTTGGAACTTTGGGACCACCATGAGGGAAGGGTCAAAACAAAGTCAATATAAAAGAAAGCAGAATTAAGAGATGAAGAGAGATACTTCTGACAAATTGTTTGGACACCTGGAACAGCACATGTGAAACTAGGACTGTGCTTCCACCTTTCAGTTGTGTGGGCCAATAAATCCCTCTCCCTCCTCTTTTATTCTTAAACCAGTTAAGTAAAGTAGACTTCTTTCTTGTTCACCAAAGGAGTTCTAGATATCTGGGTAGTGAAAAAAATAGAAAATAAGAGACAGAGATTCCTGAAAAGGAAAATTAGACTTCTGAAGACTGGAGATAGGATAGGATTAAATCAAGGCTAGAGAACAAAAAGCGAACGAAGCCAGATTAGGACAGGGGTTTGAGGAATAAAGAAATTCATGAACTATCAACACAGGCTGTCAGTAGAAATTCTGGATGCTAGGTATAGATGGTGAAAGTTTCATCAAAGGCAGGGTGAGTTTTCCAGTTGGTCTGAAGGCCCAGGCTCAAAGGCTGACAGATAGGGAGCTGTTTCAAGCTGGACCTAAAGACAGAGCTGTATACCTTTACAATGCCCACCTCCACCTGCACATTGCATCCTGGAATTAACCACAATACAGAGCTGATTTACATTTAGAAAGTTGTCTGAAAGTGTTTGGGTGACTTACCATGGAGAACAGGAATGGGAGAGAAGAGGCCAGATCACAATACTAATATCTGATTTTAAGAGGGAAAAAAATCTATTTCTTGACTATTGGGGATACAACTGCATATTTGGTATTGTGAAAGGAAAATAAATCTTGGGGCCCCCAAATCACTAAGCTAAAGGGAAAAGTCAAACTGGGAACTGTTAGGGTACACCTGCCTCCCATTCTATTCAAAGTCACCCCTCTGCTTACTGAGATAAATGCATATCTGATTGCCTCCTTTGGAGATGCTAATCAGAAACTCAAAAGAATGCAACCATTTGTCTTTTATCTACCTATGACCTGGAAGACCTTTCCCTGCTTCAAGTTGTCCCTCCTTTCCAGACCGAACCAATGTTCATCTTACATATGTTGATTGATGTCTCATGTCTCCCTAAAATGTATAAAGCAAAACTGTGCTCTGACCACCTTGGGCACATGTCGACGGGACCTCCTGAGGCTGTGTCATAGGCACTCATCCTCAACCTTGGCAAAATAAACTTTCTAGATTAACTAAGACATGTCTCAGATTCTCAGAGTTCACAGAATGAATCTTTGGCAGATTCCTCTGGTGTCCCCTGTGACACGGAATGACTGAATCAGTCTCTGCTCACAGACCACCCAAGCTACCATTTCAGCCATTTCATTTATTTGCAAATGGAAAGGGATTGTGGCCAGAATATATAACTGAAAAAGTTCCAGATGCGTATAAAAGTGGCCCAGAGGTAGCTTACTTAAAGCCTCGTTGTACTGTGAAATCTATCTTTCAAAACTCTAAATACCATCTCTATTTTCAAATGATGCCTGAGGGGCTTATGAATCTACAGTCTTTATCACCTTAGAGGTTGAAACTCTCCGAATGTCTGGATCTAGCATCTGCACTGAAATAAAAAGATGCTTCAGAGCAGCTGGAGGAAATATAAATCAAGACAAAGCAAGCACTCCTGAAGCTTCAGTACAAATACCCCTTGACCTGACTGCCCAGCCAGAGCGATCAAAAGTAATGTGTAACAACTGAACAAGGCCACTCTATGCTCCAGTGAACCAAGGCAAATACTGAGGAAATCCCTCAAATGAAAATTGTCTGGGACCAGGGCACAGATGTCATTTAAATTTAACTGTTTACAAGCATCTAAAAGTAGAGGATCATCCAACCATTATATTTAAAAAAATTAATAGTCTTTTTTATATTTTTGAGTTTAACTAGCAGGTAGCAATTTAAAATACCACACAGTTTGCATTATTAATGTAACTGCTGAAATGACACACTGAATAGATGAAGTAAATACTTGCTTTGTTATTGACATATTATCTGTCTGGACTTTTGGTTTTAGAAGAGGATAAGAAAGTTAGGAACTACCAAACCTAAGCAGGTGCAGGGATGATTATAACTTGCATGAGATGGTAATGCTGTATTATTATCCCACCTAAATATGAAGAAGTTTATAAAATTGATACAGGAGATAGAAATAAATTATTTAGACAGATAGTAAGGGCAACAGAGACCTCGGCGGAATTTCTGTTTTAACAAAAAGCAGCCCCCAAATCATTTCTTTTCTAACAAAGAGCAGTCTGAAAAATCAAGCTGTAGACATAGATAAGCAAGTTGGAAGCTTTCACGGTGAATGCTGGCAGCTGTGCCAGTAGAAAAGGGCTACCTGGAAGCCAGGTATGTTCAACATGAAGGCTCCATCTTCCCTTTCCTTTTTCACCCGAGTACAGTACAGAGAAGCAGGCAACATGGCGCCAGCCAGGTAGAGAACCAACTTGCATAATAAAAAATTAGAGTGGGGTGGCCAGCTTTTTCACATGCTATGCAAATGGCACATCTAGCCTTAACCAGTTTTTTGAGCCTTATGCAAATGGAAGACCTGGTCTGACCAATCTTTCATGCCCTATGTAAATTAGACACTACCTCCTCTTATTCAGCTGTAAAACCCATTGCATTTCACCACAGACCAGAAGACCTGCTTGGGACCCCTCTCTCTGCAGGAGAGAGCATTTCTCTTTCTTTCTCCTATTAAACCTCTGCTCTTAACCTCACTCCTTATGTGACCGCATCCTTGATTTCCTTGGCGTTGAGACAATGAACCTTGGGCGTTACTCCCAGACGAACAGTGCCATTTCAAAATCTTAGCCATAATGCTCCTTTAAAGATTACATGTAATGCTATATGGCACAGTGATTCAAAAAGAATACCAGAGGTTGATATAAAGCATGTTTAAATTTTTTTTTGAAAATAAAAATGATAGGAACAGTAAGACAGTCTGGAGCAGAAGCTGAAGTGGAGTATAGTCTCTTTTTCTTACTTATTATGAATATGTACGAGTTTTATAAAACATAGTGTAACACTGAATGCGTGATTTCTAAAAACATCTAAAATGGAGAACAACTCTCCAGTATTAATTAATTAATTCATTCATTCAACAAGTACTTATTTGTTATCTACATTTTAGCTACTGAGGAAAGAACAATGAATGTAAAAGACAAGGGCTCTGGGGTGTATAATTGGGAAGCTGTAGCTTAAAAGGAGAAACAGATGTTAAAAGATAATTATACAAATAAACATATACTCACTATCATGGAAGTCTTATTGTGGAAAAGCACAGGATCCCATAAGAACAATTAACAGCGATACCAAATAATAAATCAAGAGTGAGAGTGTCTATTAAGGCAACCCCAAAGTAGTAGCATTTATGGTAAGAACTGCTACAATTGAGAAATTGAGAGAAGCCCAATATGACCTTCAATTTCGCTAATCATTTTTTTCTGTTGTATACAATGTGATGTTAATTCATCTAATAAAAATTTTAATTCTATGATTTCCATTGTTCCACTTTTATAGTTTCAACTATCTTCTGAAACTCCCCATTTCTTTATACACTATATCAATTTTTCCTACTGACTTTCTCTTAAACTTTTTATTTGGAAACTATTACAGATTCCCAGAAAGTTGTGAAGATAGCACAGAGGGGCCCCATGTACCCCTCACCCAGGTTCTCCAACTGATTACATCTTACATAACTATGATATAATATCAAAGTCAGGAAAGTGACATTGACATAAAGTGTGTATAGTTCTGTGTAATTTTATTGCATATGTAGATTCATGTAACAAGCATTCCAATTAAGTTACAGAACTATTCCATTACTGCAATGATCTCCCTCACACTAGTTCTTTATAATCAGTCATACCCATCCCACATCCTTCCTCACTATCACTGACTCCCGGCAACCACTAATCTGTTCTCCATCTCTATAATTTTGTTATTTCAAGAGTATTATATCAATGGAATAATACAGTATTATAACCTTTTAATACTGTTTTTTTTCACTCAACCTAATGCCCTTGAGAGACATCCAAGTTTTTGCATGTATCAACAGTTCATTTCTTTTTTACTGGAATAGTACTCCATAGTGTGTATATACCACAGTTTGTTTAACCATTCATCTATTGTAGGATATTTTGGCTGTTTCCAGTTTTGGGCTATTTCTTATGAACTTTAAAATACACTAATTATAGTTATTTATACTAATTATCTTTTAGGCCAATATTTGAGACTTTTACTGCTCTGTTTCTGTTGACAAATGTTTTTCTCTTGATGATGGTCACATCTTCCTGTTTCTTCTTATGTCTAGTAATTTTTTACTATATATTGGATATTTTGAATGATGCACCATAGAGACTCTAAATTCTGCTATCTTCCCCAAAGAATGTTGAGTTTGGTTTGGTAGGCAGTTATATGACTAACATATCATCCAGAATATGTGGAGACTTGGTTTTATGTGTCATTAGGGTGAGCCTATTTTAGATTTTCCCTTAACCCAAGGGGAATCCCTTATTCTTGTGACTTATCTTTACCCTTAAGGTATAAGCCTCTTGAGATTTTTATGGAAAACCTAATGTGCTTACCACCCCCACACTCCCCAACAGGCTGGATTCAAACTCCAAACTCTGACTTTTATATAGTGGACAGTAACTAAAATCTCTGTTCATTTTTCTTTCCCCCAGCTTCTAGCTATTTTTTCTTTCTGTGCTCCTTGGTATTTGTACATTTGTACATTTGTAGCTCAGGGATCAAGCTGGGGAAGTTTACACTCAGGTGTCGAGTTTCTGTTGTGGCTCACTTCTAAAATTTCCAGGAACTCTGGAACAATCAAACTCCATGATCTGACTCTTCAGGTCAATACAACTTCAGTTTCTGCTGAAGTTTTGCTGCCCCACATCCCTCAGTCTGGGACATGGCTTCAGGGGAAAAGCTGCATAAACATGGATTTCACACAGTGTGGTTCCTTCCTTTTGAAAGTTGATTCTCTTTTAGTTTTTGCTTGTTTTGTTACTCTCCCATGTCTTAAAGCAGATTTCTAAAAATGTGCTCACAGTTTATTATTTCTATCAATAGGAGGATTACTCTGATACAAAGTACTCTGCCCTGTTTTAATATGATTTGTTTTTGAATTTTGTCAGAATTATGTCTATTTTTCTGTGGAAATCATTTGTGGAGTTCGTAGTCTAACTTTCCATGGATAAAAACATATTTTAAAAAAATCTCCTTTAAGCATTGTCTTCTGACAGTTGAGGAATTTCTTTATTCGTTCTCCTTTAATTCAAAATTTAAAAAGTCAATTTACCAGGAATAAAAGTTTACTGATTCGAGAGACAATGAATTCTTACCACATTTAAGCCCAATGTTACTCAAACAGCCTGTTTATGAAATAAAGGTCAGTCAAATGGGAACATTTTACTTATTTATTAGCCAGTCATGAAGTCCTCTGCAGGACTTATACATCTAGATCTGACATGACATAGGCTTTCCTCCTGCCTTTATTCAATCTTTATCATCTTAAAAAATTTCTCTGATATCCTAGTGTGGAATCAAAAGCTGAAAGTGTTTGCTTAAAGTTTGTTTTGTAGTCTTTTTATTTTATCTGAATAAATTGATTCCAGTTTGCCTGATGTTTCATTTTGATATGGACAGGAGACAGGAAAATACTGGAAAGAAGGGGGTAGTTCCCCGGCAAAGGCCCCACCCTCAAGCATGGAACCCCACAGCTCTAAATGGGAACAGGCATTTCTGTTTTAGTGTCAAATATTGCCTTTTGGCCCACCATGCCCCCCATACTGTACCCATATAAACCCCGAATCCTGGGCTCCATGAGCAGAAGAGCAGAGGAGCAGAGGAGCAGAAGAGTGGCATAATAGAGAAGGAGAGAAGAGAAGGAGTGTCTGAATGTCGAGAGAAGTTTGGCTGGAGATGGTCGGAGAGATGGCCGCGGGATGGCCAAACTCCTGGGGAAGATTATCTTCCCACTCCAGCCTCTTTCCAGCTCCCCATTCATCTCACTGAGAGCCACCTCCATCCAGCAATAAGATCCTCCACATTTACCATCCTTCAACTTGTCCATGTGACCTGATTCTTCCTGGACTCCAGACAAGAACCTGGGTACCAAAAAGGCACTGAGCTGGTTAACACTTAAGCTGTCTGCAGATGGCAGAGCTAAAGGAGCACTGTAACACACCTACTGGGGCTTCGGGAGTCGCAGGCACCCAACTCTAGATGCTACCATGGGGCCAGAGCCCAAAAGTGCTTGCCCCGGCTCCCACACCTGCCCGTCTGCATGCTCCCCCTCCCATAAGGTTTGAGTGCATGGCAGCCCAACAGATGAGCGTATCAGGGAACTCTCCTGTTTCAATTTAATTACTCTCCCTAGAGAACATTGTTTTTTAGCAACTGAAGGGCCCTGCTTTCTTCATTATTCTTTCCTAAATTGTACTTATCTTTGAGTATCCATCCAGTTCATGTCTTCTGCATTTTCCCACCACTGAACCTATTCCACCTTTTTTGGGTAGGGTTTTCCCTCGTGACTTATCAATTAACAAACATTCCAAGCTGTGCAGAGGATGAATTAGTATGTTTGAAGGCAACTGAGATGAGGATGGGAATAGAAAAGAGGTGGCCTCCCAAAGTACTTTTAAAGCTGGTATGGTTACAATCAGACATTGGGAAGTTGCTTCTTTTCAGGTATACACCTCAAACTAACTGTGTCCTGTCTCATTTTATAATCACCTCATATGAGTATAATATTCTTTCACAATAAGATCAGAAGATTCTTGAGGGCAAATATCTTGTCTACTTCTCTCCCCATAGCGCTGAACATAGTGCCTCACACAAAGGTAGAAGTTTATTTGATGTGTTCCTTTGAATTTTAACCACTTGGCTGAATCCCTAAGTTTTCTTTGCTAATTTTTCAAACAGTGTTTATCCAAACTTTCGTCCTACTAAAGAGCATGAAGATACACCCTGAAAATTTATAATTTGGCCTAAGTATCCAGCCACATTTCACACTACTCTGCTTTCTTCCTCACTAACTATGCTCTTGCTCTACCGGTCTTCTCTCAGTATTTAAACACACAGGAATTCCTGCCTCAGAGCCTATGCACTTGCTATTTCCTTTGCCTAGAATGGACATGGCATGGTTAGCTCTTTCTCATTACATAGGTATCAGATCAAATGGTCATTCCACAGAGAGGTCTTACCAAAGTGTCCTGCTCCCTTAAATCTGACCCAAATACTCTTTTGTTCAGTACTCTGTTTTCCTTTTTAAAATTATTATTATTTTAAGACAGGGTCTCACTCTGTCACCCAGACTGGGGTGCAGTGGCGCAATCTCTGCTCACTGCAACCTTTGCCTTCTGGGTTTAAGCCATCCTCCCATCTCAGCCTCCCAAGTAGCTGGGACTACAGGCAAACACCACAATGCCCGGCTAATTTTTATATTTTTTGTAGAGATGAGGTTTTGCCATGTTGCCCAGGCTGGTCTCAAACTCCTAGGCTCCAGTGAGCCTCAGCCTCCCAAAGTGCTGGGATTACGGACATGAGTCACTGTTTTACTTTCTTTTTAGCACTTACTAGTAACTAAAATTATCCTTTTGATATTTGTTTGTGTTTATTGCTTATCTTCTCATGTTAGAACCTAAGCTCCATGAGGGTGAGGAATTTTGTCTCATTCACATCAGTATCCCAAATGCCTAGAACAGTGCCTAAATGAACAGTTGTCACCCTCTGTGCTATCTTGAAAACAATTTGTGGTAGATACACATTTGAATGTACTTAATAATGGTAAATTGATTTCAGTGAAAAATGGCTCAGAGGTAGAGGCTACAGAGATGTTTTTAAAGAATAAACAGATCATTCATTTAAATTTAATTCCATCCAATGAGACCACAGGTTATAAGATGTACCAATGAGAAAAACAGAGTTCTTAAAACAACTCTGTGAGATAGACATACTATAATAATCTCCATTTTATGGATGAGGACACTGAGAGAAAAGGTTAGATAAAGACTGAAATAGGTTGATTTGGCTGAAGTTGTAAAGCCATTAGGTGACTAAACTGGGAATGAAAACCAGGCAGTTTGATTTCAGTCTATGGTTATAACCACTGTGCCTCATCTCCATTTAGGAATGCAATGTATATTCACTTTAGTTCTCTCATTTATTTACCATGCAAATCTAGCATTATTACTTTACATATGCTTTTACAAATAGTTTAGAATAAATAATAATGGACTTGGGGTTGAGTTCCAGGGTATATTACTAATCAGTATAACCCTCAATCTAACTTCTTCATTCCTCAGTCCCTGAATATGTAAAATGAAGGCTTGGTTGAGTCTTATTAAATATCAACTATTTTTTTATTAATCGTTTTTAAGTTATGAGAGCCCGAGGCATCATGATGCTGATAAATTTAACAAGAATATTGTTAGGAATATTTAATATCTTACCTGGACTTTATTCATCTCCAGTTTATTCTTCTCATTGGCACTCTGGTCTTGTTTGCTAGCTCCCTTTTTCTGAGGGCCTTTCCCAAAGAAGATGTAATTTACAAAGGCATACTCCAGCAGAGCCAGGAACACAAACACAAAGCAACCCATCAGATAAATATCAATCGCTTTGACATAAGGGATCTTTGGCAGGGTCTCCCTGAGGTGGGTGCTGATGGTTGTCATTGTAAGCACTGTCGTGATTCCTGTGAAAGAGAAAGACAACACTTAGCTGAAGGTGCCACTATTAAGTTCCTTTTTCAAGATTGAGAGGACAGATGCCATTTGCCACTTCCTTATTGGTGCCCCTGAGTGATCACAGTAGCATGATAAACCATTGGGCAAAAAGGGCAGATATTTTGAAAGACAAGGCATTAGCCTCCCTACATAGTCCATTAATGAATCATAAAATAGAATGTGTAGTTAATGAAGGGTTGAAACCATTTTTTTAATTGCACAAAATAAAAACAAAAGCAGATGGAAAAGCAGATCAAAATCCCATTGAAATCCTGCTATTGAATGTCGCTCACTTTGTTACATGACCACATCTTTCTTCCTTTTCTCAGCATCTCATTCACTGTGCTCCTAAATCTGTCTTTGTGATACTAATCCCTATAGCAGCCTCTACCAAACTGAAAGCTGGTGACTAGTTTGAGATCTACTTCATCCCATGAATCTACAGGACACCCAAGTTACAAGGTCAGTATTGCATTTTAAAATGATTGTGTGTCATTCTTAGCAAAACATCACCAAAAGAGGAAACATGAGAAATGTCATAATTTGTATCAAGTGCTTGATTTATGTATATTTTACATTTACTATAATCTTGTTGCTTTGATATTTCAAATATTCTCTATTTTCTTGGTTCCAGAACCTAGAATGAATTAGTTCCCTGATGTCAGAAAACAACTTCTTAAAAATTTGAACTTGGATTTGTTGAAGAAGTTTAAGTCTGTAAACTCATAAAAGACAGATTTTGTTTTATTTACTTTGTTATATATAGCATTCTTAATAGTATAATGTTTGTTTAGCTGTATAACAAATATTTTGTGTTGATGATGGTGGTGATGAAGTGATAATTGTGAAAAGCAAGAAGTGAAAAAGAAGTTGGAATCTAGTGTAGATATTTGTTCTGCAATACTAATATTATACATTTGTATAGTGTTGTACAGTTTTAAACACTTACAGTTATAAATTATCTTACATGGCTGTCATAACAGCCTGAAAATGATAGGGAGTGTATATTATTCTCATTTTATAACTGATAGGGACTGTATGTTATTCTCATTTTATAACTGGGTAAACAGAAAATCTGAGATTAATTATTTTGTTTTAGGCCACCCAGCTAGGGTCAAAAGAGCATAGAAATGTTACACAATAGCATTTAAAATAAGCAATGAGATGAAAAGGTAAAATCTAAAATTTGATAGAGGCTCTTAAAAATAAAGTCAGAAAGTATAAAATAGATAGTAAAGACAAAGGAGAACTTCCAAAGGGAATGGAAGGTAGCAAAATGAAATGAAGGGAAAAATAGTTTCGCATTCATTTTCCAATCAGATTATTCTAGATGTATATTCCCGGATTTGACTATTCAACTTTTAGAAGAACAGATAAAGTAGGAGGTCAGGGCTACCATACAAAAAATTAAAGTGGTTCAGATCAGTAATAAATTCTAATGTGCTGGACTGATACAAAATGTCATAATGAGTGGTCTTTCTTATTTCTTTGAAAAAACCTTTAAATTTCACCTGATACAATTCTAGCTAATGTGCTTCACAGAAATGAATGAGTCACTTATAAATTCACCAATTGCATTTCTGCTTCTACTCTTTGTTTTACATTTTTAAGCAAAAGTGTTAGTAAATGAATGCCATTTTAAATTACATATGTTTTAAAATATCTCAAGTTTTACCATCCAAAGAATAGCTTAAACAAGCACCTTTATATACTGACATCTCTAATATCTCCAATTAAAATAGTATTAGCTTTGAGGATAGAAGAGTAAGGAAAACCACAATTCATAAACTTACTAGTTATTATTCTCTGCTGTGGACATCATCCACTGTTTTTTTCTTAAGTGTAGCATATAGACCTAACAATACTCATGTTCAAGTAATATGTGCAGATGCATATGTGTGATAGATACTATTATTTGTTTGCTTTCTTTAATCTTAGGCTGTTCAAAGATTGATAAGGGGCTGCAAACACTTGACTTTGTGAGCTTTATGTATTCAGCCATTACAAATAAGCTGTAGTGATGACAATTAGTATAGCTGTGAACGGGTATGCTGATCATCTAGTCCAGCTTAACAGTCTCCGAAGTGAAGAGATGAAATATGTTAGTTTAGCCAGAAATGATGTGTGTGTGTGTGTGTGTGTGTGTGTGTGTGTGTGTGTGCATGCGTGTGTGAGAATTAGCCCCAGAAAGAGATAACTGAAATGGCTGTAGGATCAAATAATGACACAGACTTGCACATCCCCAGATTCACCAGACAGACCTTACACATTCTAACCTTCCAAGGAATCCTTTAAAGTCTCAAATATAGCCTGTCAGCTTTCAGCAATTAATTAACCATGACAGGATTAGTTCTAAATTTTGTTCCCCCAAGAAGGAAATCATTTTTATTCTGTCTTGACCACAGATTATTAATATAGCTGATGAATTGTCTGTGCCTTATTCAAGTGTAATAAACTCCATTTAAAGGAGACGTGGCTTGATACGATTTAATTTTAGTTAGTATTCAAAGGATAGTATTTCTCAGCAATTGACAGCTTGTTATTAGTCACAAGGTTTAGCTTTCTCCAAATTCATTTGAAAATAGTGCATTGTATATGTTCTTCACTGTTAAAAGCAGGCATTAAAGGGGAAGTCATCCCAAAGTTAGTAAAAACTAGTGTAATGAGAATTTAAAAATATATTCCATGAGACACTTAAGTAGTGCTAGATATATTCCAAGATTTTTGTTTGTTTGTTTTGGTAAAATGCTAAAAAGACAGTACATTGTAGAATATTCGTTGTGGACATTCTTACATTTAGATGTTTTATATTCAGGGACTTGTAAGATGATCTAATTCTTTGGCTTGCTATAAGAGAGCCCTTGCCTATAATTCCTGATATTGGTTATTTGTTTGAAAGTAAAATCTGTTAGCTCTCTGCAGTGCTGAGAATGTATTACCTAGTGCGACTCTGGCTGCAGATGCATCATAGTTGATCCAAAAAGACACCCAGGACAGAATTGTAATCAGTGTAGAAGGCATGTAGGTTTGCAAAATGAAGTAACCAATGTTTCTCTTTAGACGAAAACTTAGTGACAGTCGTGGATACGCTCCTGAGTTGAGAAACAAAAGACAAGTAATCAGACCATTATTTGGTTGGAACCATCTTCTTCCTTTCACAGCACCCCTAGTACATTTTGGGGGAAACAACCTCACCTGTTGTGAACTCCACCTTCTTAGACACCATCTTGTAGTCAACAATTGAAAATTGAGGAAGTTCGATTTTATTAACACCAGTGACTGCCCCTTCTCCTCCATTCCAGTAAAATTCAATGTCATCAGTGGTATAGCCATCTGAAACCAATAAAAACAGCACGGTTAAACAAAGTTTAGGAAATCATTTTGAATACCATCTGGGAGCTAGAGGAAAAATTCCCAGCACAAAAGTGGTAAGGTGGCATTGCTTTAAACTAGGGTGGTATGCAGGTCTCATGTGGAGTGCTATTTCTGATGGTTTGTTAGTAGCTTCATTGAAAGAATGGGTGCATCTGGCTTTACTGGACTTAAGCTCTGGATCGTTTAGTGATATCTGATGTCATTGCTGCAAATTTATTCTTATTGTATCTACTAATTTGCATTCCTTGATTAAATTGGGGGATGGCTGAATTCTAGGTACCTGGACATGGCTTTGGCTATGTGCTACTTAACAACAACAATAGCACAACAAGTAATAATAATTGAGCACATATTTGTTAAATGGATAACAGATAGTGTAAAGAGATGAAGTGTAATGAAAGACCAAGTTTATATATAGCCATTACATGATTAAGACATTAAAAACTACATATTTCTTTTAGAAAATTTGGCAAGCTTTTATTAATATCCTTTGATTATAGCTAATATTATTATAGCTAATATGTGGGTGAAAGTCTTAGGACTACATAAATTTTTGATAATGCTTTTATATCTTTATACTTATGAGAGTGAACTTTAGTTAATTTAAGGGGAATGTGTAGGGAACTGTAGATTGTAATAGAAGGGCTTGTCCTCAGGTCTTCAGCATGAAGGCCCTTTGCTGATGGCCTAATCTCTTCCTCTTCTCACTCTACTCCCACCTGGCAGTGGTCTAGCTGGGTTATCATTATGTATAAGAGTAACTTGCATAAGAAGAATGTACAGATACATTTTAAAAATCTAAAAATAATTTTAGGAATATTTTAAGACTATATTTTTCTCTACCAGCTAGAGACAAAGAAGCTCTTTCTAAATTCATTTTCTATTTAGGTTCACCTCAAATAAAAAAGCAAAAAATCTTTTTTTCCATTAGAATTGCAGGGGCTAGTGTTTCAAAGGTAACCACATAAGCTTTTTGTAGTGGACACCATGCTGATCTACTTTTGATTAAAGCCAGTAATACCTTTTCAAGAGATAAAAAATGATGTATTTGATATTTAGAAGTTGAATGCCAGGTGCCAAAGGGTCACCATCAACTTGTCCTTGCAGAATGTAAGAAATTTTAAGCTATTTTTCCCCACTCCCTTCCCCGCTTTTAAAAAGGAAAACAAAACTGTCTTAACTTTACTGCTTTAAACTGGCTTCCAGATATAATCACCAGTGTCTGAAAGACTAAGACCCTCTTTACTATTGGACTTAGAATAATCTACATGGGACTAATTGGCATATTGGGGACTTTACCAAGTTTGGGTATGATTCTGTAAGACTGATTCTAAATGTCTCCTTGAGAATTTGATAAAAACCTGCCAATAAAATCCATAGAAAAATATACACAGATAGATAGATAGATGATAGATAGATAGATAGATAGATAGATGATAGATAGATAGATAGCTAGATAGATAGATAGATAGATGGAATTTGATGGCAATTTCAGGAGATCATGGATCCCATTCATGGATTTTAGAATACAAAACTCCTTTCTTAGTTGAAATGGTTAGTGGCAATATGACAGCTTATATTCAACCCAGATTCCTTCCTTTCCAATTCCAATTCAACCATGAGTTACCTCTCCTAAGCCCAGCAGGAAGTAGTATCTGGGGAATGTGAGTTCTCAGCCCTGTCTGGATCCAGTGGACAATGGCATCATGGGATTTTCTTTCCCCCCTCAGCCACTAGAGAGAACCTAGGGACTGGTGGCATGGAGTCCTTGGGTGGGGATTAGAACAGTGAGATCAAAGAAGATAGCTGGGTGAAGGGGCTGTTGGGCCTACTAAAGAAGGAAGGGTATTACCACCTGTATGACTGTCTGGAGGAACTTCTGTCATCTCAGTCCTTTAAGGGGATGTGGGAAAGTTAAAAAAGTGGGCTGAGAAATCGCCATACTGTTTTCCATAGATATTGTGCCAATTTACATTCCTACCAACAGAGCATAAACGTTTCCATTTCACAACATCTATTGTTTTTTGACTTTTTAAAAATACAATTCGATTTAGCAATCCCACTACTGGGTATCTACTCAAAGGAAAAGAAGTCATTATATATAAAAGACTGCATTCGTACATTTATCACAACACAGTTTACAATTGCAAAGATATGGAGTCAACCTAAGTGCCCACCAACTGATGAAGGCAAAAGAAAAACGTGGCATATATATACACCATGGAGTACTACTCAACCATAATGGCCTGAACCCCGGAGGCGGAGCTTGCAGTGAGCGGAGATCGTGCCATTGCACTCCAGCCTGGGTGACACAGCGAGACTCCGTCTCAAAAAAAAAAAAAAAAAAAAAAAAAGAGAAGAACAAAAGAACAAAATAATGTATCTTGCAGCAACTTGGATGGAGTTGGAGGCCATTATCCTATATGAAGTAACTCAGGAACAGAAAATCAAATATTGCATGTTCTTATTTATAAGTGAGAGCTAAGCTATGGGTAGGCAAAGGCATACACAGTGGTATAAGGAATGTTGGAGACTCAGAAGTGGGGAGGCTGGGAGGAGGGTAAGGGATAAAAAAATCACATATTAGGTACAATGTACACTATTTGGGTAATGGATACATCAATAACCCAGACTTCACCACTATATAATTCATCCATGTAAGTAAAAACCCCTAAAGCTATTGAAAAAAAAGAGAGAGAAGAAAAGGCAGGTTGGGTCACTGAGAGAGAGAGAGAGAGAGAGAGAGAGACTACCTCCTGGTGCATCAACAGGCTGGAGCTCACTATGCTTTCCATCTACAACTTTGTTCCTTTTAAGGTGACCTGGCAGCTGGGCCCAAACCCCAAAGAATATGCAAGAAAAAATAACAATGCATATAAGGAACCCAGTAGCCCTAGAGAAGGAAAACAAGTGGAACAACTAGATTTAGGTATCATCTAGTGAAAAGAACTGAGGAGGAAGCAAATAATAGCTTGAACTCTTCATTCCTCACTCTTGGTAAAAATATAGGAACACTTACAGATATCTGATTACAGCACAGGCAACTTTTTATTCTAAAACTCAATGGTTTTTTTTTAAATATATGAAATGTCTTAGATAAATTGAAGAGAAGATGGCCACTGATGAGGCCACAATCTGTGGCTTGGAAGACAATTTTATAGATATTTGGAAAGCATGAAGAAACTATAAAAGCTTTGAAGGACTCATCTAGGAGATCTAATATATGAATAGTGGGCATTCCTGAAAGAAGGGAGTTATATAGACGAGGAGCCATAATAAACAAAAAGAAAATACAAATTCCCCAGAGCTTACTAAATAAATTATTTTGCAGATTGGCAAGCTGAATATACCAGGTCATGCCAGTATCATTCCTAAACTCCAAGGGTGTAATAATAGTCTTACAATCTTCCAGACAGAAAGTGCAAGGTGTTTTCAACGGAAAAAGTATTGAACTTCTTATACACAATGCTGGAAAGAAAAGATTATGGAATGACACCCACAGAACATCTAGAATATAGGCATAAAGGACAGCAACTATGAGACCCAAAAGTACTACTCCCTGCCAAAATACCACTTCTTTCCAGAGAAGATATATAAAGATTCAGAGGACATATCATCTAGGTACCTGCATGAGGAAACTCTTCTACAGAAGACTCTAATCAAACAGATCAATCAGGACAGATAAGGGACTCCACCTTAGAAAGAGAGGAACGGTAAAGAATCATGACTAATCAATTTCATACAAATTAATTTGAAAATGTGGATGAAATGGGTAATTTTCTCAGAAGAAAGCATTTTTTAAAGCTCAAATAAGGAGGCACAGAAAATCAAAACAGCTTGATTTCATCCCTACAAACAGACATTTAAGAACTGATAATTCTATTGCTACTTAAACAGTTCCAAAACATAGGCTAAGAATGAAAATTTCTAAATTATTTTCATAAAGTAAGCAGAACATATTAGCAAACAAAATCCAGCAGTATTTTAAATAATAAAGCATAATCAATATGGTTTATTCTAAGTTTAACATTAGAAAATCTAGTAATATACTTCATTATAATAACAAATCTAAGGAGAATAAAACCCATATGATTATTTATACAGACACTAAAATGGCATTTGATAACTTTCAACACTAGTTCTCTTTTAACAAAGCAAAAAACATTATTCAATAAATATGAGAAAGGGCCAGGTGCCGTGGCTCACGCCTGTAATCCCAGCACTTCGAGAGGCCAAGGTGGGCGGATCACGAGGTCAGGAGATTGAGACCATCCTGGCTAACATGGTGAAACCCCGTCTCCACTAAAAATACAGAAAATTAGCCGGACGTGGTGGCGGGCCCCTATAGTCCCAGCTACTCAGGAGGCTGAGGCGGGAGAATGGCGTGAACCCGGGAGGCGGAGCTTGCAGTGAGCCGAGATAGCGCCACTGCACTCCAGCTGCGGTGACAGAGCGAGACTCCGTCTCAAAAACAAAACAAAACAAAACAAACAAACAAAAAACAAAAAAACCTCACACAAAAATTTAGCCGGGCGTGGTGGCGGGCGCTTGCAGTCCCAGCTACTCGCGAGGCTGAGGCAGGAGAATGGCGTGAACCTGGGAGGCGGAGATTGCGGTGAGCAGAGATGGCGCCACTGCACTCCATCCTGGGCGACAGTGCGAGACACCGTCTCTCTCTGTCTCTGTCTCTCTCTCTGTCTCTCTCTCTCTCTCTCTCTATATATATGAGAAGATATTTCCTTAACATGGGAAGATATATCTTTCCTGGTCCCAAACCAGCATCATGTTTAGTGTGGAAACAGAAAACATTCCCATGAAAGTTAAGGAGAAGATGAGAGTGTCTACTACCATTGTTCATATTTAACATTGTTCTGGAAATACTAACCAAGACATTGGACAACAGAAAGAAAGTTGAGGTACAGAGTTGGAAAGCTGCTGGTTAAACTATCAGGATTTGCAAAGTATGCAATTGTATATTCAGTAAACTCCAAAGAATTAACTGAAGAGCTATTACAAACAATAAGAATTTGGTAGGGTAATGGGGTATAAAATTACTATACAGAAATTGATAACTTTAATATATAAAACAATAACTTATAACATATAATAGATGAAAAGGACCAGTTAAAAATAGAGACAAAATTATCCAGTAATAAATTTGGCCAGAAATATGCAAAACACATATGAAGCAACATTTAAAATAAATTTGAAGGGCACAAAAGAAGCCTTGAACAAATAAAAGGCATAGCATATTTTTGAAAGGAAAACTCAACATCGTAAGTTTCACAATTTAATATGATTGCCTCATAATGCCAACAGGATTTTTGTTCTGGGAACTAGACTAGATGAATTGAAAGTTAAAATAAAGAAACCCAAGAAAACTCTGAAAAAATAGTAGAAATAGGCTGGGTGTGGTGGCTCACACCTGTAATCCTAGCACTTTGGGAGGCCGAGATGGGTAGATCACTTGGGATCAGGAGTTCGAAACCAGCCTGGCCAACATGGTGAAACCCTGTCTCTACTAAAAATACAAAAAAAAAAATTAGCTGAGCATGGTGGCAGGCACCTGTAATCTCAGTTACTCAGGAGGCTGAAGGAGGAGAATTGCTTGAACCTGGGAGGTGGAGGTTGCAGTGAGTCGAGATTTCACCACTGCACTCCAGCCTGGGCAACAGAGCAAGACTCCATCTCAAAAAAGAAAAAAAAAAGTAGAAATAAGAAGCAACTAGCCCTACCAGGTAGTAAAACATTATACAATCTCAATACTTACAACAGTGTGATCCCAGTGCTGGAACTGAAAGAAAGATCAATGGGTAACAATAAAAAATTCAGAACTAGTGCCAAATACATAGGAAAATTTAGAATATGATAAAAGTGGTGCCTCAAATTATTGGGGAAAAGATAGCTTAAGAAATCATGCTGGCTGAGAAATTACTTGAAACAGCAGTTTGGACCCCTATTTCATGTCATAAACTATTGTAAATCTCAAATAAATTGTAGATCTATCTAGAAAATATGACCATGCTTATACTGCAAGAAAACATGGGAGAATTATTTTATACTACTGGCATGGATGAGGCCTTTCTAACTCTAACAAATAATTCATAAGTCATAAAAAATTAACACATTCAGCTACATTAAAAAAGTGTGGCAACAAAAATCTATAAACAGAATCAAAAGTAAATAAGAGACAAAAAATAATTGCAGTTCATATTTAAGACAAGGGTTAATGTTCTTAATATATAAAAAACTTCTACAAACAACAAAAAAGACAAAGACAAAAACCTTAATGAGAATATAGTAAAAGGATATGAACAGAGAGTTCATTGAAAAATAAAAATGCCTAAACTCAATTATAATCAGAGAAACTCAAATTAAAATTAAAACTGTATCAAGATACTCCTTTTTGCCTTATAACTTGGAAAAAATCCACAAAGTGATAACATATTTTGCTGAGCACGTGGGGATGCAGCTACTCTCATGTTGCTGATGAGGATATAATTTGTTATAACCCAAATGGAATGCAGTTTGCTTCAGCTATCGAAAGTATTAATGTATATACCCTTTCACCAAGCAACTCCTATTTTAAGAAATCATTGCTTAGGAATTACTGGAAAAAGTAGTTTGGACCACTCTTTCATGCCATGAACTATTGTAAATCTTAAATAAACTGTAGATCTGTCTAGAGAATATAACTATAAAAATTTCTAGAAATTAATCATTAAAGAAATTTCTAGAAATTTCCTTCTAGAAATTTGTGTGAATTGCACAATTGTGAAGAATGTGCATACAGGATTATTCATTAAAATACTGTTGTAATAGCAAAATATTTGAAACAAATAAATGTCCCCTGATATGGTTTGGCTCTGTGTTCCCACCCAAATCTCATCTTGATTTGTACTCCCATAATTGCTTCATGTTGTGGGAGGGACCTGGTGGGAGATAATTGAATAATGGGGGTAGTTTCCCCCATACTGTTCTCCTGATAGTGAGTAAGTCTCACGAGATCTGATGGTTTGATAAGGGGAAACTCATTTCCCTTGGCTCTCATTCTCTCTCTCTTCACCTGCTGCCATCCATGTAAGATATGACTTGCTCCTCCTTGCCTTCTGCCATGGTTGTGAGGCTTTCCTGGCCAGGTGGAACTGTAAGTCCAGTTAAACATCTTTCTTTTGTAAATTGCCCAGTCTCGGGTGTGTATCAGCAGCGTGAAAACAGACTAATACATCCTCCGACAGAAGAGTGGTTAACTAAATTATAAATTATAGCACATTAATGCACTATTATAAAGCCATAAAGAAGAACAAGGAATTTCTTATATATAATATTAAAAATCTCAAAAATCCACTTTCAATTAAAAAAATCAAAGTTCAGAACAATAATGTTGCAACATGCTAATATATGAGGGAAAAATCTGGGAAAAACAGAAACATATTTGCATATACTTGTAGGTGTATGAAAAAACTCTGGAGGGACAGATAACAAGGTAATAACAATTTCTTTTGGGGGGACTAGGAAGATGGATGATAAGGATGAAAGGGAAATTTTCACTCTAAACTTTTAATGTATTTTGAGTTTTGAATCATGTGAGTAAATTAACAGTCAAAAAATTAAATTACAAAGAAGGAAATCTTGGCATCCTATGTATTTTCTACATGTGGGCAATGAGATTTCAAATACACACCTCCAGAAGATCTAGAATGGGGTTTATTAAGAAAGAATTTTATGAGCAGGGAGTGATATGGTTTGGCTCTGTGTCTCCACCCAAATCTCATCTCGAATTGTAATCACCACGTGTGGGAGGAGGGGCCTGGTGAGAGGTGATTGGATTATGGGTGTGGATTTTCCCCTTGCTGTTCTCGTGTTAGCGAATGAGTTCGAATGTGATCTGATGGTTTAAAAATGTGTGTGTGGCACTTCCCCCTTTGCTCTCTCTCGCTTTCTTCTGCTGCACCATGGTAAGACATGCTTGCTACCCCTTCACCTTCTGCCATGATTGTAAGTTTCCTGAGGCCTCCAAGCCTTTGTATAGCCTGTGGAACTGTGAGTCAATTAAACCTCTTTTCTTCATAAATTACCTACTCTCAGGTAGTTCTTTATAGCAGTGTGAGAACAAACTAATACAGGGAGGTAGTGGATCACCAGTTGTTTCCCAAATTCTCATTATCCCATGGTTTAGGCTCATCAGGTAGCCTGGGTGCACTGAACCTTGCCTTGCAATGCTGTACATTTCACATTTTTATAGGATTGCAGGGGGTAGCCTTAGGAACTCAGCAGCTGAGACCAGCTTCTATGTCTGTCTACTTAACTCAGATCTGCTGAGTCTGCTCACTTCCAGGGAGGAGGAAATGAACTGCCAGCACCACCCGGACCTGCCTCTTCTCAGAGACAAAAAAATTGCTTTTCTATCAAGTAACACAAAAATCAGATAAGTTAAAGAATTCACCATGCCCATGAGATAAAAACAAACCAATTGGCTTGGAAGAAGGGGAAGTGCTGATGCCAAGCCTGAGAGAAATTTCTCCCATGGACTTTTTTTTTTTAATGTGATGAAAAATGCCTCAGCAAAATCCATTCAGGAAGATGGTGTGAAAGGCGAACTTTTTCATAAAGATAGATGGAATCAAAATAAGTACAATTTAGTTTTTAAAAATCCTTTAAGGAGACAAGGCAATACAGTCCAAATTTAAAGCTGTCTTCTTGTCTGACTTATCTAGGCATGGATTTTAGTAGCATATCTAAATATCCTTTGCTAACCTTTATATGGGGCTGGGGTGGCCTTTCATTCAGTCAGGTTCTCGTGCCTCACACTTCACAAATGAATGACTATCCTCTTCTGAGCTAGACTGCACATGGTTTTGCTTTTAGTTAGAAACATAGAATAATTACAATGGGTATTTGTTAAGGAGGGAGTTGTAAACCAGTATCTAGAGACTCTGTGGAGAGAAATACTATTTATAGATCAAAGCCTGAATAGGAACCTTTGCTCTTGTCCCAATTGAAGTCTGGATTTGCCTATAGCTTTTGACTTCATTATGCCTGTCATTAGTTTGTGATCCTGGGTGGCCCATTTTCAAGTAGGCAGTAAAAACAGGGCTGACAGAACACAGCTTCCATGTTAGCTTTAGAGTCACCCATCAGTGATGCTGGCGTGCTTACTTTCCCCTCCTGAGCACTCTAACATGAGGTCTTTGCTGACTCTTCTCTGCCACAGACAACTTCTCTGGATTCAGTCTCTTATCTTTCTAGATATCCATCAGGATCCCTGATGAAGCACAGAACAATACCTAGTTCTTAGGGATGGCATCAAACATACCTAATTCTCTAAACTGGCAAGCAAATCAATGGAAAATATACTTGACGTTGCAATACACCTACTTGTAGTGCCTGCTATGCATCAAACACTATCCTAGGCATGAAGGATATGCAGTGGGTTAGGTGTGGCCTTACTTTTCAGGATCTCATGGTCTAATAGCAGTCTAAGCAAACTATTGACCCAAGGGAGTTAAACTTCTTAGAGGATTTGGCCAGATGGGTAGAGCAGGCCTGCCTGGCAGAAGAAGTAACATATAGGATGAATACTGTATACAGGGAATAATATAAAGGTTGGATGATGTCAATGGAATATTGTGATTTACTTCATGAAATTTACTCAATAAGCAACTCAATTTTAGCAAGAAAACTGAACTTTGGCAAAGTTGAATCCATATGAACACCACAAAATCCTCAACAATTTCAGTATGCAAAGAAAAAACTGGGCCAAGAAGAGTAAGGTAATTAGGTAGCCAGGATTGAGTGTAGGGAGAGCTGTAGGTAGACTCCTATGGCCACTGGTCACAGTCCTTTCTGCTCCTAATTGACTTTTATAAACTCCACTATACACACGCCTCGAAAAAAGCACAGAACCATGTTGAATTTTACCTGGCTTATCTGTCTTTCCCCCACTAGGCTCTGAGCTTCTTGAGGTCAAGGACTGATTCTCATCATTTTTGCTTGCAGTCAAAACACTGAAGTAGTAGATTCCAGGCTGAGCCACTAGCAATGACTCCCAGAACCACAGTGCAGATTGGCCTTTCAAAGGGACCGATTGCCACAATCAGAAAGCTGTTAATCAAGTAGCTACAGCAACCACATTGATTCCAGGATCACAGAAAGCTAAAACCAGAATTCTTGGTTCCAGAGCCATCCATGAGTTATGATCTGCACCAGCAAAACGGATGCTTCAAACACTACCTCTGACATGACTTGACTCCATCTAATCCAGAAAACTAAATTATAGCCACAACCTCAGTTTCAAGAGAATCTGGGAGATGTAGTTAGCTTTCTCAAAGGAGGTTAGCATACATACTAAACTAGCTAGATGGACTTCTGCTGTCTGCAACAGACACTGGATTGACATACCTTCTTTCTCTTCTAGGGAAGAACTATTTGCTCCAGCATTGTGATTACCAGAGCTTTTCATTAAAACCTCTGTTGTAACCCATGCCAGTCATTCACTTGATATTTCTATGCTGCATACTCCACTTTCTGTGCTCTACTCTGTACTGCTGGGGCTGGGCTTCCTGCCTCTCTGGCTTCATGTTAGATACTTCCCCTAGGAAGAGCTAGCTGAAGATTAGAAGGTGGAAGGGAGAGGCTGGGCACGGTGGCTCACGCCTGTAATCCCAACACTTTGGGAGGCCAAGGCGGGCAGATCTATGAGGTCAACAGATGAAGACCATCCTGGCCAACATGGTGAAACCCTGTCTCTACTAAAAATACAAAAATTAGCTGGGCGTGGTGGTGCACACCTGTAGTCCCAGCTACTCAGGAGGCTGAGGCAGGAGAATTGCTTAAACCTGGGAGGCAGAGGTTGCAGTGAGCCGAGATTGTGTCATTGCACTTCATTCAGCCTGGTGACTGAGCGAGACTCCATCTCAAAAAAAAAAAAAAAAAAAGGTGGAAGGGAGAAAGAAGCTTCCTGTTCCTGGCTCTTGCAGCATGGTAGTGCCTCAGTTTCTGGCGACTGCTGCCAGGGCAATTGAAGAAGTCACCTCTCTTTTGGCAATTCCATAAACAACTAGGACAGTGCCTCTCACAGGATCACATCAGATTCAAACTTGTGCTCTACTGCAAGCATGTTAGCAGCCTCTGACATCTGCCCGTTTAGCACTCTTCTCCTTCTCCTTTCTGCGTTTTTTTTTTTTAGCCCTTCCAATCTTTGTAACAAAGTCTCTATTAAATATTAAATTCCCTTTTTGAAAAATCTTGAGTGGTTTCTGCCTCCCAGATAGGATCCTGTCAGTTACGTAGTACTGAACATACCATGCAGAATATTTCAACTGTTTCTATAGCTTTGTGTTTATCTCTACCCTTTGTCTTCTCTATTCCTCATTATATTATAAGCTCTTTGAAGAAAAGGGCCTTCTTTCATTCATTTAAAAAATTCCCGATGCCTAGAACAGATTCTGTCTATAGTAAAGTTTCAATACATATTTTTGAATAAATAAGTTAATATTGTTTGCTGCTTAGAGTTTTGAGTTTATGGTCCCAAACTGGTAATCTGATAGAGGGACCTATTTGGTATATTCTTGAGCCTAATTTACTCCCTGATGAAGGACACCTTCACAGAGGCCTTACAGGTAAGTCTGGGCACCAAGGAAATGCAAAAATCTGTGTATTAATTTTAGGCTTACTGAGTTAACTAAGTGACAGAAGTGATGGACTACAACCTCAAGCTGGTCTTTGAATTATAAGATCCTAGGTGAGAAACATATAAGCACCAGTTAGCTGAGAGTCAGTGATGGTTTGCCGCTTGCAGTTGAGGTGGGGAGAAGGGTGAGTCAAAACAGCACCTCACATTATCTCCCGCTTCTGAAGAGCAGCAGAGCATGTCAATACTACACAAAATAAAAAAGCTGGACTATGACTACTGATCAATAGAGATTTTAATAATATTCAACAATTTATCCAGTCAGTGGTCTGGGTCTTTATTTCCAAGCTCACACGCACTTTGTTTAACTAAAACCCATTAGGCTTAGTGTTCAAGGCAGAGGTAATTACAGATGATTTGGGGAAAAAAAGAAGGCTTACTCCTTTTCTTTCTTTTGTTTTTTTCTTTGAGACGGAGTCTTGCTCTTTTGCCCAGGCTGGAGTGCAGTGGGGTGATCCTGGCTCACTGCAATCTCCACCTCCCATGTTCAAGCAATTCTCCTGCCTCAGCCTCCTGAGTAGCTGGGATTACAGGCACGTGCCACCACACCCTGCTAATTTTTGTATTCTTAGTGGAGACAGGGTTTCACCATGTTGGCCAGGCTGGTCTCTAACTCTTGACCTCATGACCCGTCCCCCTCGGCCTCCCAAAGTGCTGTCATTAGAGGCATGACCCACCGTGCCCGGCCAGCTTACTCCTCTCCAAGTAGAAGCTTGAGTTTTCATGGGAGCAATAATGGCAGTTAGATCCAAAGGAAAGAATACTGGCTTTGAAATACACTATTATTTCAAAGGTTACACAAGAACATTTTGCCACAGAGTGAGAACATCAATTTACTCACACCTAAACAACCTATTTTACCAAAGGTTTTCTTTTATGAACCAGTGACTTCACACAGTATCTCAGAGCTGAACACTTGGATACCAAGGATGTTGTTTCCTAGCAACAATAACTATACAGGAACTCTTGAAATTTCCTTTCAGCCCCTGGGGATTTCTTAGTGGTGAAGAAAGTACAGATAAAATTAAGTTGATGTCAATGGATAAAGATGCATGGAGTTAGTACAATTGTAGAAGTATCTGGGATGTTAGTATTCTTTTGGTACTTGAAACACTCTATTTTGGATGCATTTTCTAATTTGAAAATAAAAATTACTCCCCACTGTGCTTAATAGAGCTAGGGGGATGGTCTAGTCTTGTACGTAAATGTGTTTCAGATAATGCAGACATTTAAGCTTCTAATCCATGGGTGGGCAGAAATAAGTTTATGTCCTGTTGTGGAGCAGTTGTAACCCAATCTCAAATTTCATGGTGTGGATCTTGATTGGCTTAGGCCAATCATTAAAATATGGTGAATGGCTCAGGGTTAGGCAACAATCCAGGTCTAAAACAATTATCTCATAGCAGTCCCCTGGCCAAATTAGTTGCTTGGCAATAGGCATGTGATCCAAGTTGATCCAGTCCCAAAGAAACCTAGAACTTTTCTTCAATAGTCGGAGGAAAGGTAAATTTCTTTTTCTCTTTTAGCTGTTTGCAAACATGAATGTTGAGTGGAGAGTACCTGGTCCTTACAGGAGCCAGTATGTTTCCTTCCTGTTTACATCAGTTGCACCTAATTAAAGTATCCTAAATGACACTCAAAATCAGCATTTCAACTATTGTTAGAAAATAACCTACTGAAATAAGCATAGTGGTCTACCACTCCCTAATTCCTCTTACTCTTCCCACATGAGAGGAGACATATTAGGAATTTATCAAGAGCTCTGCTGTTGTAGCAATGTAGATTGCTTTACACTACAGAGTTATTGGATATTTGGAATTGTGCATCTTAGCTTCAGATAAGAGAGTCAACTGGGTTTAATTTTTCCAGTGGCTCCAGATGTGCATAACAATTATTCAAAAGGCTACTTTGGGTTCCTTTCTCATGGAACTTTGTATCTCCATGACACCCCAAGAAGCAGCAAATAAACTATGGAAGCCAGATTTTTAAAACATTCTCACAGTTAAAGGCAAAATGCAACAACCCATTTAATGTTTGATTCCTGATAACCCACTGTTTGAATGGTCATCCACTGCTTACAGATAGCCATATTACTACTTTCTGAGTCTGCTCGGTAGTTAATTAGGTTTTTAGATAATTGTGAGAGAACATTTTCAACGGTCCATTTTCAAGGCATGATAAATCTAAGCACTGGCAGCCCGCTTGCAAATGAAACAAACCTTACAGCTCATGCACCTAGAAGGTCACAATAAGAGAACAGAATGCAGAGGAAGGGTCAGCCCATAAAAGGGAAGACAGTTTTGTTATTGAGAAATCAAATCTTAAGCAGGGAAGGGGATGGGGATAACCTTATAAGGGGATAATGAAACTTAGGTGATGTCCAGGAAAATTGTAACCCCACAGTACTCAACCAATGAGGAACTGGGGGAGGAACTTTGTGTAAGAGATAAATTACTTGATGTGACTTCCCCAAGTGTGCCTGCCCACCAAACACCCAATCTTGCAAAGCCATTATTAAAAAGTCTCACTTTCACTGTTCTTCATACCTCTAAGTCCATTCTTTGGGTTTGGATGGGTGAGTGTGTTTCTGATAATAATCATTAGAAAACATGTTCTATCATAAGTAAAAATTCATCTTCTTGGAGAGTATCCACCATGACATCCTTGCCCACCTCTGTGTTAACAGAAAACAAACCCAATCCTTTTTTTCTTTTTTTAACATAATAACACCTCCCATCTTTGAGAACACTTTTCATGCTCCCTTTCTTTTATTCTCCAGGCTCTGGTCCTTCCCAGGGTATGCTCAGTCTTAGGAACTTTTTTCTGCTCACAGTTTCCAGTTTGCTTACATGTCCCATGAAGTATGCAGCCCTAAACTTAGGGGTAGTCATGTCTACCTTGTTTCTTTTACCACTTTTTGGGTTATCTGTCTTCTTTCTCTATTGCACAGACCTGTCCCCAAGGTTAATTCTGCCCTTGTTATGGAGCCACTCTTGATTGACATAAGAATTAAGCAGCAGCAGATTTGGACGTATCCCCAGATTTGCGATCATAGAATCCAACCATGTTTTCTGATTTCTTTAGCATCCTCTGGAAAGCCCCATTACTTCCAACCAGATCTAGGACCTAACACACCTAAAGCAAGGTCAGGATACTCAGGCTTCTCCCTACTCCATTTCGACCCTGGCATTTTCTATGTTTGGACAATATGTAAATTCCCAGAGTGACTTTTCTAGAGCCCGGTTTCTTCATATCTGACTGTTTACACTGCCTAGTCTATTAATCCTTGTCTACACTAGACCATACCCATTTAAAGGCATTTAGACTCCAGGCATTATATCAAATACATTAAAATGTATTCACATTCCATGTTAAACATAATTTACATATCACTATAAAACATTTAATTGCAGCTTATTTGTTAACATGTTATACTAATTTTAATATTGTAATATTCTTTATGTATTTTGGAGCCAATAATCCGTTTAAGACCCTTGATTAATTTGTAGATGTAGACACTTTGCCTATAATGCGTGTTGGCTATATGGCTGAACCTTTGACACCAATGGGACTCTAGTGCAACGGCCAAGATCTCCTTCCGAGCTTTATTTATTTGGAATATGTCCAACTCCTCTTAAATTTCCCACTGATAGAAATTCTGCTGCCACCATTAGATCTCCTGACCCTGATTGTGGCCCTTCCTGACTTTTAAATTGGCTGTCTACCTGTAATTTCTCAAGATGAAATTGCCTGCCAGGTTGAACTGCATGTGATAGGCATCCATCTGGGCTATTCAGCTGGGGTTAAGCCTCTATACAACCCTGTTCTGACCTCCTCTACCATTTTTCTGGTCCCATGTGGATGAGATCCCCCCATGCCTGCCCAAGTCATGACATTCTTGGAGTGACTGGCTAGCAAAGTCTAGTCACTGGTCTTCCATTAAAGCAGCACAAGTTCAAATTCGCTTTTTCCACAATCAAATGGTTTTTACTTTCTTTTGGACTCACACATAAGAACTAATATTGTTCCCATTTAATTGTATCGAGCCAGTTTGATAATTTTATCTAATTCAATTTGACTTACTATTTTAGCCTATTGAGTTTTTGCTTTTTGAGATGGAGTCTCACTCTGTGGCCCAGGCTGGAGTGCAGTGGCACAATCTTGGCTTATTGCAACCTCTACCTCCCAGGTTCAAGTGATTCTCCTGCCTCAGCCTCCAGAGTAGCTGGGATTACAAGTGCATAACACCATAAAAAAAATTAGGCCATCTAATTTTTATATTTTTAGCAGAGATGGGGTTTCTTCATGTTGACCAGGCTGGTCTTGAATTCTGACCTCAGGTGATCCACCCGTCTTGGCCTCCCAAAGTGGGATTACAGTCATGAGTCACTGTGCCTGGGCTATTTTTGTTTCTGGATGCTGATTTGCTCAACCTCTTAGTTTCATGTTATCTGCAAATTTGAAAAACATGCCTTTTATCATTATTCCCTTGATTGAGACAAATGTGGACTGGCAGAGACAAAGACAGAGCCCTGTAAGATTTCCCTGGTAATATTCCTGTAGGATGAATCAGGTCTTTAATCAGCACTTTGTGGGGTGACACCATCATTTATCCATTTAATATTTTCCTAATTGTTTAGCCTTTCGTCTATATCTCTATGTTTCTCATATTTTTCTTGATTGATTTTGCAGCCTATCAGATAAGAAAGTAAGGTCTGTTAGACTTATTTTTAGAAACATCAAGCTGCTTCCATAGATTACTGATTCTCCTTTTACAGAATGTGGGGTTACTATATTGCCCAGAATGCTTCAATTTCATCAGCTTAAGTGTCTGTTGAATTTTTTTTTCCTTCCTTCTTGGACAATGGAATGATGTATTTCATTCTATAAACACAAATAGCCATGTGGTGTACTAATGTCTGTAGGCTCATGATAATATCCTCCCACTCACAAGGTCTGCTTTCCTTTATACATGCTAATGGAGCTATATTGCATTAATTTATGTAGGTACATATGTTTTAGGTACATTGCTAGCCAAAGATCACAGTGACGGTTACTCAATGGCCCCAATACACAGTGAAGTAAAGGATAATCACACCTGCAAATGCTAAAAATCTTATTGTCTGTATTGATGTGCTTGTTATCAATAAAATCTCAAAACAAACAGCTTGTAGCCTCTACATTTTATTTGTCTTCATAGTCAAAGGGGAGAATATTTTATGTCTCAGAAAAAAATCCTTAGTCATCTATTTCTGTGGCATAATAAATATATATGTGATTTTGTCCCTCATTCCTGACACAGAGCTCTTAAATATCTTGGAATTTCTTGGGTGACAGCAGCATCTCTCATTTTAATGCAGTGATTCTGGTGAGCATCTAGATGGCTTCAGGATGGGGGCTGGTTGTCAAAAAGACCATACCCAGATTAGAAGCCTGAAACTTTCACAGTCCCCACCTCAACCTCCAGAGAGCAGAGAAAAGCTGTAGATTGAGTTAATAATCCATCATGCCTATGTGATGAAACTTCCATAAAACCCACTAATGTTCAAAGACCTTCCAGGCTGGTGAACACATCAAGGTGCTGGGAGGGTGGCATGCCTGGAGAGGGCATGAAAGCTTTGCACCCCCACAACTCCCTGCCATTCTTTGCCCTATGTGTCTCTTTCATCTGGCTGCTCCTGAGTTGTATAAACCAGTAGTAGTAAGTAGACTGTTTTCCTGAGTTCTGTGAGACATTCCGGCAAATTGTCAAACCTAGAGGGAGGTTTGTGGGAGCCCCTGATTTGAAGCTAAGTAGGACAGAGTTGTGGGTAACCCGGGAACCCAATGCTTGTGAATGGCATCAGAAGTGAATGCAGTCTTCTGGGACCGAGGCATTAAACCTGTGGAGTCTGACTCTGGAGTCTAACTCTTGAGTGTTAGAATCAGAATTGAATTGTAAGAGATCCACTTGGTGTCCAGAGAGTAGGAGAATTGGTTGGTGTGAGGCAAACCCAAACATTTGGTGTCAGAAATGTTGTGAGTAAAAGCAGTTCAGAGTTTTCAATTTATTTTAATAATCACAGAGTAGATTTCTCTTAGATACCTGTGGTCAAATCTTTTACAGTCTTGAAATCCTGTTGCATCGTCTATACATGTAATAAACATCTCAATTCTCGGCACCTCCCTTCTTAAAATAATCTCAGGTGAGAAATGAAAATAAATTGTGACTGTTTACTCTTGTTCTTAATTTCCACTGAGATCTGGGTACAACCTTCTCAAAAAGATGAGTTTCACAGTACTGTAACCAAATAAAACATGTACTCCTTGCAAAGTTTGTGAGAAATCTCTTTCAAAATTCAGACAACCTTGACTTATTATTGTTATCATGGAATAGAGAGGATCTTGCTGTTCAACTAGTCTCAGATGAGGTCATGGCATTATTATGATAGGATGTTGCCTCTGCCAGTAATTTCTGCTCTGGTTAAAAAGGAAGATTGAAACCTCTTTCCACTTTGAAACATTTGTTTGGTTGTAGGCAAAGTCTTTCGTGTTAATATTCTCCGGAAAGTGTAATGACAGCGTTCACTAGGACAAATGAAAAGGAATTAACCCCATGTGCAAAGAAGCTAAACTAGTGTGTCAGTATCATAATGTTTTTAAAGATTGTTTTCAAATTGAGTGTTAAGAATGCCTAATCTATTTGGCATCCTTAAAGATGTGCATCATTGCTTTATTTTAAAAAATAAAAAACAAAATCAGGCCTAGTGTAGAAAAGGGAGTCACCTCTGATTTTGACAGGCACTTAGTGTGTCAAATATGCCTTTATTTTCTGAAGTGTAAACTACCTTTAAGGATAATAAGATCATGGACAAGTAAAATAGAAACAGAGGCACTTATCTAGCTAACTTAAATGTACTACTACTTTAACCTTACTGCACTAACAGTGTTATTCTTGGCCTGAAACCCCAGATTTGATAGTTTGGATAACAGTCTTATTTACCTAATTTAATTTCTAAGACCACCTTATATCCTCAATGTGGGAAACTATTCAGAATATCTCTATGGTATTTTTGGTTTGAAGAGTCATGTGTATCCTGATTTTATTGGTTATGAACCCACCCTTGAGTGGTTACTGAGTTTTGTTTTGTTTTATTTAAATTCACCTTCTTTCCTTTTTTTTTTTTTATTTTGGTGTGGGGGTCACTTTTCACTGAGAAATTCTGATGAGAAATAGTGATTTGTCAATAAAGCACATTTTTGGAAAATCCATTAAAATCTAAAAAAAATCCTCAACCTGCCAAAATCAGTGATGGCAAAATGTTTATGGTATGTTGTTAAGAGAAAAATATAATAAAAATGTATGTGTGTGTGTACATATAACAAAGATTATATATGGAAAGAGTTAATAGTGGTTATCTATGAATGATAATATTATGGATGATTTTTTCTTTCAAAAATTTTACGTGGTGAATATGTAATCATTTAAAAAATAAAACCTGATACGTTATTTTTACGTTCTAGAAATTGCCTGTTTGGGAAAAATAAACATCAAAGTTATTTAAATATCCTGTAGAGGGCACTCAAGATCTTCCAGATTCATAGGCAGCGACATGATACTGTGAAGATTTTATTCCTTTAGTTACAGGAGTTTTAGGTTTTCATGATGATTTTAGTTTTGGATCACTGATTCTCACAAGGTTTTATTTTAAAATTCATTTATGTTAAGTGACACTAGAACAATTATGATTAATAGACCTTGTCACATATTCAGATCTTTAGCTAGAAATATATCTGAATATATGCAACTCTAGTTGATTACTAAAGTAACTATAAAAAATGACCTGTTTGGTATATTTAATGCTTAAGTTATAATACTTTCACTAACATTTTGAGGAGTATGGTAGCTCATATGCCCGCTATTTTAGCTATGCATATTAATGAACAAAAATCTATGTGCCATAAATGATATGAACCCATTCTTCACATCTCTCAGTTATGATTTTACAACTGGAAGCAATAAGATGCATTGAATTAAAAATTACTAATATATCAGATCAGAATTTAATTTTCATTTTTATTAACTTATTTGCCTAGTCCCTGATTTTTTTTTTAGGTATAATCTATCATTTTAGTCTCATATCCCTTATTCACTCACTCTCAGATGATACTTATTGAGAGCTGCTACCCAATTCAATTTTTAAATTGGATGCCTTTCTCATCTGTGGATGCAAAGTTGTGGTCCCTGACCTGAGTTTTCACAGAGGTATTGCACACAACCTCCAATAATCATATTCTACCAAGCTCTTGTGTCTATAGAAAATAGTGGATTTTCTTTCCTAGAAAAATAGCTTTTCTCTGGCAATTCTCAGCTGTCTTCAAATATGGCATGGTTTTTGGATCCTCTCTAGAATCAGGTTGGATAGCCTTAGCAACTAGGAGGCTATGTGCTTTTGAGATTCACAAACTGTCATGCTTTCTTGTATAATTTCTTGGCTTTTGAAATCCATGTGAATAGAATGTTGTAAAGCTGACAGTTCACAGTTGTTTGTATCTATAGCTTATCTGCACTCATTCCCAAGTGCTAGATTGGTGTCACAGAGGTTATTGTAGTAGGCATGTTGGGCACATTAATGTCTGTGTTTTAAAAATTGCATTGTGTCTGGGCATGAAGGAAAAGAACTGATTCGATTATTATTGGTTTTGCTAGAATTGATTTTTTACTCCATGTAATTTGGCAGTTACATTGATGAAATACGTGGCTAGCTGCCAATTTTGTTTATGTTGAAGGCTTTATTTCTGATGTCCATGAAATAGGAAGTCCTGCAAATATGAATTGGTCTTTAGAGCTGCCTGGGATGGAACAGTTTGGGAATAGCAGTTAGGAAAGGGCAATGCTCTGTACTTATTGCTCAATCTCAGGCTTGGGAAGAAAAGCAGTGATGATACTTTTCACTTTTTCAGATGGAGAAAATGGAAGTACAGAGTTCCATGACCTGATTGGGAAGGCTGAATGCTTCCAAGTTTCTCTCTGTGGAAATGGGGCCAATAATCTGTGCTACCTGACTTACAGGAAAGATAAAAGAGGTTATTTTGCAAAGTGATAGCTACAGAGTGCTTCTTAGAAGCAATCCATCATCAAAACGCTTAGAAGAATGCTTCCAAGTACATAGGCATCACATGTTGTGTCAGGGTGGGTCTACAACAGTGATTCTCAACCTCAGGTGATTTCCCCTGCCAGAGACATTTGGCAATGTCTATTTTTGGTTGTGAAAGGAGTGCTACTGGTACTTAGTAGGTAGAGGCCTGGGATGCTGCTAAACTTCCCACAAAGAACAGTACAGTGGCCTAGAAAAAAGAATTATTCCACCCAACATGTCAATATTGCTGATGTTGAAAAACCCTGGCCTATAGCTATGAGATGCTGTGTTTGGTAGAATGGCTCATGTTAAAACCATTTGTTTTGGTGATGTAACATGTGGTGCATAATTATACCTAGATTCTATTCTATTAGGATAGAAGATTTAAGAAGGGAAGATGCAAAATCGTTTTGTAATTCAGTCACAATAGAATTTCTTCACTATAATCCAAGCACCTTATCCCTACCCCCAGCCTAGACAATAAAAATGTGGTCACACACTACTTGGAGGGGGGAGGATACAGGGGAAATTCGCATCTGACAATCTTTGTAATTTTTTGCAAATTCTTTGCTCTTTGGTTTAGAAACTGTTGGCGAGAAAGTAAGATAGAAGCATGTTTACACATACAAACTTCCTAAATAATTCTCTTCACCCATAAGTTCCCCAGCACATACACTAGTTAAAGGCACTTCAGGGCAGGGAAGGGGGGAAAGAGAAATAGACAGGAAAGAAAAAGTCAGATGTGAATTTAGGAAGGCCTGTGTCTGTCTCTGACCCTTCAAGCTGGGTTCTAGGGTAGGAATATGAGGTTAGACAGCCTCTTCCAAGTTCTGAGACATGAGTAGAAGCAAGCCTTGTAGGGAAGGCTGTTCATTCCACTGTTTGGGAGAATGGACAGGATGCTCTGTTAAGCCTGTGGAGTGTAAGAGATAATTTTGTCTGAGTTTATTAAACTAAGGGAGGCTTTCCGAGGAATCCTGATTATGAACACGCACGGGGAGAGAACCAGTGTTCCTGAAAGAGATCTCAGAGTCATCCCATTGGAAGATGCAGCATGGATGGTTCCTGCCAGGGATCAGACAAAGACCAGTTAAGTCTTGAGCACATCACTGGTGCAGAGAGTTGAGTGGGAGCTGAGTTGACACCCACAAAATGCCCAGTCACCAGTGGAGTGAGGACCTGATCCTGCTTGTGGTGAGCCCCAGACAGAAGTTACAGCTGAAGTTAGAGGCTGGCCCAGGACTCAGGAGACTCAGCATGATAGGTAGAAACTCTCTTCCTTAGCTCCCAAGGGTGAGGCTTCTGTAGTCACCTCCAGAGCTTACAATAGACTTCAGGGGTAGGTGTGGCACAACGGGGAGACAGTGCACAAGGACTAGGGCACATTTCCCTGCTCTCCTGGTGGCAATTACCCCTGTGCTATCTGAGCCCTCTATCAATGCCATGGGAAAGAACAGGAGGAAACATAAACCATCCTGGTGTTACTGTATTTACAATCTGAAGTGTCTGAAAAATTGCTGAATCGAGGAAGTATATGGCCATTATCAGACTGAACCATAGAGTCTAAAATAAAATCATAAAAACCAAAGAATGAATTTTCATATATCTTAGTTTGTAGACTTTGAAATTCTTACCCATTTTATCTTTATCTATAGAAAAAAGTACAGAGATTATGAAGTCCAGTGCCTCATTCCCAATCTTCATTGAATAACTAGTGTGCCTATATAAGCAAAAACCATAATAGAATTCTATCAAGGAGATGTACAGTTAAATTCCCATGAAACAATATATCTAGGGTTTTAAGAGGATGCTGAAGTACTCTTTTTCTTCAAAGAATTTCCATTTTTATCTTTTCAGTTGAATAGACGGATGATCAATTTCCAGAAGTTCATGTTAGTAAAACATGGATTTTTTAATAAAATTGTACTAGAAAAATTCTTTATCACCCACATCCCATAGTGCTAATTAAAGGACTCTGAGCATGAAGATGGGGCTTATCCCTTATCTAGATTGCTTTTGGACTAGCCACTTCTGGCTACTGATTTTCATTTCAAAAGGAAGACGTTGGCTAAGTTTCTTTTCTACAGCTTAGAGCAGTCAGTGCTCCTGGGAATTCTTTGATAAATTTCATATAAATATTTATCACTGAAAGTCCGCTGTGTGTCTACTTCTTCCCTGTCGAAGATTATCTTTTACTAAAGTTATTACTTGGCAGGCAACTGTTTGTTGATACTTGGTTATATGCTCCATAAAATAAACCTTTAATTCTGAGGCAAGTAATATGCATTATAACAAGCAATTCCAGAGAAATTATTATATTAAGAATATATACAACAAATTATAATTCTGCTCCGGAATAAAACCTGGAAATAAATACTAGTGATTAAATAACACCCTATATCAAAAGCATCCATGTTCCCTTGTGATCATAATTATAGTTGCCATTGATTTAGTGTCTTTAATGGGTCAGGTATAGAACTGGGCCTTTTACGTACATGACCATATCATTCAAACCTTACAGCAAACATTAGGGAAGAAATTATTATCTCCATTCTAGTGATTAGGGAACTGAGGCTTAGGAATTTTAAATGACATGGTCACAAGCCTTGTTAGGGCAGTATTAGTCTGTTTCCAAAATCTTTCTTCTTCACTCCACTGCCTAGTTTCATACTAATTATTTCATATTACTAATTCATACTTTTAGTTTCAGACTATAGAAAAAAATTACCCTATACCATATTAGGTTGAATCATATGAAAGTGCTGATATATTTGACCCTTCCTGGATGTAAAAGAACAACCTCATATGGTTAAACATACTACAGTACAGCATGTTTAGCTATAGTATAGTACACAGATGGTTTTCAATTTATAATGAGTTTGTGTCCCAATAAACCAATCATAAATTGAAAATATCATAGTAAAAAATGCACTTAATACACCTAACCTACCAAACAGCATAGCTTAGTTTAGCCTACTTTAAATGTGTTCAAAAACCTTACATTAGTTCACAGTTAGGCCAACTCATTTAACAAAAAGCCTATTTTATAATGAAGTGTTGAATATCCTAGGTAATTTACTGAATACTGAACTGAAAATGAAAAACTGAATGGCTGTATTGGTACTCAAAGTATGGTTTCTACTAGATGAGTATCCCTTTTGCACTACTGTAAAGTTGAAAAATTGTATACGTCAAACTATCACCAATCAGGGACCATCTGTGGTATAGTATGTTCAGCTATAGTATAGCATAGTTGTATAGTAGAGTATAGTACAGTATAGTATAGTATACTTAGTAATATACTATGTACTATAGTATGTTCAGTATTAGGCTCAGCTCAGTCAAGATTATGAATTCAGGCACTATGGGAATTGGCAGAATAGTTTTGATCTATTGACCTATCCACATCTCACATTGCATTGTTAATCTGTTATCTTGAATATAATGAGGGATTTGAAAAGCAACACATAAGTCATTTTGAATCTATCACGCCAGAAAAAGCAGTTCTGGTGTGACGGAGAGAAAAAGACGTTGAATCAGAAATTGGATTCTGGTCTCAGCTCTACCACTTGCCATTTCTAACCCCTGAGCCTCAGCTACCTCCTCTGTGAAATTAAATCAATTATATTTCCTTCACAGAGCTGTGAAGATTAAATAATTTAATTAAAAAAAAAACTCCGGCCGGGAGCAGTGGCTCACGCCTGTAATCCTAGCACTTTGGGGAGCTGAGGTGGGTGGATCACCTGAGGTCAGGAGTTTGAGACCAGCCTGGCCAACATGGTGAAACCCCGTCTCTACTGAAAATACAAAAAATTAGCTGGGCGTGGTGGTGCATGCCTGTAGTCCTGAGAGGTGACAGCATGCCGGCAGTCCTCACAGCCCTCGCTGGCTCTCGGCGCCTCCTCTGCCTGGGCTCCCACTTTGGCAGCACTTGAGGAGCCCTTCAGCCCACCGCTGCACTGTGGGAGCCCCTTCCTGGGCTGGCTGAGGCTGGAGCCGGCTCTCTCAGCTTGCAGGGAGGTGTGGAGGGAGAGGTGTGGGCGGGAACCCGGGCTGCGCGCGGTGCTTGCGGGCCAGCACGAGTTCCGGGTGGGTGTGGGCTTGGCAAGCCCCGCACTTGGAGCGGCCGGCCGGCCCTGCCGGCGCGCCAGGCAATGAGGGGCTTAGCACCTAGGCCAGCGGCTGCGGAGGGTGTGCTGGGTCCCCCCATCAGTGCTGGCCCACTGGCGCTGCGCTCGATTTCTCGCCAGGCCTTAGCTGCCTTCCCGCGGGGCAGGGTTCGGGACCTGCAGCCCGCCATGCCTGAGCCTCCCCACGACTCCCCGCCTCTGTGGGCTCCTGTGCAGCCCAAGCCTCCCTGACAAGCGCCACCCCCTGCTCTACGGCGCCCAGTCCCATCGACCACCCAAGGGCTGAGGAGCGTGGGCGCACGGTGCCGGACTGGCAGGCAGCTCCACCTGCAGCCCCAGTGCGAGATCCACTGGATGAAGCCAGCTGGGCTCCTGAGTCTGGTGGGGACGTGGAGAACCTTTATGTCTAGCTCAGGGATTGTAAATACACCAATCGGCACTCTGTATCTAGCTCAAGGTTTGTAAACATACCAATCAGCACCCTGTGTCTACCTCAGGGTTTGTGAATGCACCAATGGACACTCTGTATCTAGCTACTCTGGTGGGGACTTGGAGAACCTTTGTGTAGACACTCTGTATCTAGCTAATCTGGTGGGGACTTGGAGAACTTTGTGTCTAGCTCAGGGATTGTAAAGGCACCAATCAGCGCCCTGTCAAAACAGACCACTAGGCTCTACCAATCAGCAGGATGTGGGTGGGGCCAGATAAGAGAATAAAAGCAGGCTGCCTGAGCCAACAGTGGCAACCCGCTTGGGTCCCCTTCCAGACTATGGAAGCTTTGTTCTTTTGCTCTTTGCAATAAATCTTGCTGCTGCTCATTCTTTGGGTCCACATTGGATTTATGAGCTGTAACACTCACATCCAAGGTCTGCAGCTTCACTCCTGAGCCACCGAGACCACGAACCCCACCAGAAGGAAGAAACTTCGAACACTTCCGAACATAAGGAACAAACTCCGGACACGACGCCTTTAAGAACTGTAACACTCACGGCGAGGGTCCACGGCTTCATTCTTGAAGTCAGTGAGACCAAGAACCCACCAATTCCGGACACAATCCCAGCTACTCAGGAGGCTGAGGCAGGAGAATCACTTGAACCCAGGAGGTGGAGGTTGCAGTGAGCGGATATTGTGCCACTGCACTCCAGCCTGGGCAACAAGAGCAAAACTCCGTCTCAAAACAAAACAAAAAAACGCACAACTCCAAACACATTCACTGCGTATCTACTATGTTCAAGCACTGTAATGAACTTTTGTTATAAACAAATCAATGAACTCTCTACCCTTTTTTTTTATCCTGAAAGAATTCATTGCTAGAGGGAGATGGATAAATAAATACAATGTGATGTGAAAAGTATTAAAATAAAGGGCTATACAAAATGTTATAGGAAGACTGAGGAGAAAAGAAACATTCATCTACTTAAGAGCAAAATCTCAAGATTGCAAAGCTCATCTGTCTTGTTTGTATTCTAATAAATCCTTACTATTAATAAATATTGGTTGAATAAATACATGACTCACTGGGGTTGAGGAAGAAGGCTGGAAGTAGAACATTACTGTCACTGCCTCTTCCATTTCCTTCCATTTCCTTTCACTGCTCAAATCCTGTCAGCCTAGCTTGTGCCTCTACTCCTCCCAAGAACTTCTTCCTGCTGAGATCATCTATGGCTTCTTTTTTGTTTTTTGTTTTTAAGACGGAGTCTCGCTCAGTCGCCCAGGCTGGAGTGCAGTGGTGCGGTCTCGGCTCACTGCAAGCTCCGCCTCCCGGGTTCACGCCATTCTCCTGCCTCAGCCCCCCAAGTAGCTGGGACTACAGGCGGCCGCCACTAGGCCCGGCTAATTTTTTTGTATTTTTAGTAGAGACGGGGTTTCACCGTGTTAGCCAGGATGGTCTCGATCTCCTGATCTCGTGATCCGCCCGTCTCGACCTCCCAAAGTGCTGGGATTACAGGCGTGAGCCACTGCGCCCGGCCCATCTATGGCTTCTTAACCGCCAGATCCTCTGGGCCCTTTTTGGCCTTTATCTCACAGGATCTCTTATTTGTGTTTGTTGTTGCTGATCATATTCTCTCAGAAAGGCTCACCTCCTTTCACTGTTTTTGAAATAAAATTTCTGGGTTCTATCCTTATCTTTCTCTGACAGTCTCCTGTCCTCTTCTTGGGGTTTTCAATCAAACCCAAAACTCCAATGTTCCTTTGGGAACATTTTAGTCTTCTTGGATAGTATTTCCACTCTTGGTTTAATGACTGAGGATGATTCCTAAGTTTTGGTTCCAGGACAGAATTTCTGCTTTGAGATTCAAACTTAACATGTTCAACAATCTACCTGTTATCTTCAAATGAAAATTCCTTTGGCACATAAAAAATACAAATGTTCAGAATGGAAGTCATCATCTTCTCCTCCAAACATTCTGTGCCTCTTCTGGTACCCTCCTGCTCCCAGCTCATGGATCTATCATCCGCCCAGTCACCTTTGGGAGTTATCCTTGATTCTTTCTTCTGCACATACTGCCGAAATATTATCAATATTTGCTTTTCCTCCCCTTCCTAGACACATAGAGGATAATGGGAGACCCTTTGCAATTAGGCAGGTTATGTGACTCATTCTGGTCAGTAGGCTGTAACCAAAAGTAACAAGTGTTATTTCAGACCAAAGCCAGGATCTGAATCTCCATGCTCTTTTCCCTTGTAATGACTCAAGAAGCTCAATTTGCCAGATGGTGCTGCTATAAGATGATAGAATCTCCATCATCTGGATCGTTGAGTGATTCTGTGGAGCAGAACGCATCTCCCCACCAACAAATGATAGACATTTAGTGTAAACAGGACTGGAGCTTTTATTGGGGTAAGTCATTAAAGTTAGGGTATGTGTTTGTGACTGCAGCATGACCTAGCTCTCCCACTGATAACACTGACCTCATCTAACACATAAAAACATCTTTCAAATTTCCCTGTTTTCTGTCTCTATTACTTCATTTTTATTCATGATTGTTTTCCTGGATTGCTTCCACAACTTCGTAACTGGATTCGCTAACTACTCAAATTTTGGTTCTTTCAAATCTGTCTTCTTCACATCTATTAGAGTGTTTAATTTAAAATACAAATATGACAATGTCACTCCCAGCTTGAAATCTTTTAATGATCCTTCTTTACCTATAACAGTAATTTTTAAACTTTGTTCTCTGGAACAGTTCATTGATATTCTGGAAAAAGAAATCCCTAAAAGACTAATAATGCCCCTAGGTTCAAGAGGATTATGCAATAATGCACACCATTGTGGAGGTCTATAAATGCACATCGCTAAAATATTAAAATATCCATGTGGTAAAAATTAGTATGACTTGCTTTAAATTTTTCTTTCCCCAATTTTTTGGATCCTTAACCATTTTTGGAAGAATGCTTCTTAGTATTGGATATCAGAATAGTGTCTAAGCTCTTTTCCTGGACTGCAAGGCCCTTTATGATCACCCTCTGTCTATCCATCCCTTTGGCTTCTTTTCCTACCATGGTTTACTTAACAATTTATGTTTCAACACATTAAATGTGTACAGATCTTGCATACACTCTGTGGGGAAAAAAAAACTTGCCTTCAGCAGTGCTATTTACTCCAACTGGAATGCCATGACACCAATCCTGTGCCAATCACTTTTATTACTCTTAGTCAGTGTTATTTAGGAGTTCAGATGATGTTTGCTGCAGGAGGCTATGACTCAAGGGCTAAAATTCAGGCTCAATACTATGTGCTGTCTTGACATATGGTGAAATCAGGAGGGCTTCAAATGGTCCAACTGCAAGTTCCCCTCGCTACTCTACTCCTTTGGATAAGGTCTCCTAAACAAATAATTCTGTTCATCATGGGCCCAAGAACAGTTTTCCCTTATCCCTGAGTAGTGGGTTTCAGTTTCCTGTCAGCTTGCAGAATTATTTATTTGTTATTTTTTAGTTTTCTGAGGCAGGGTCTCTCTCTGTTGCCCAGGCTGGAGTGCAGTGTTACGATCACGACTCACTGCAGCCTCAACTACCTGTGCTTAAGTGATTGTTGCACCCCAGCGTCCTGAGTAGGTGGGACCACAGGTGCACACCACCATGCCCAGCTAATTTTCTTTTATTATTTGTAGAGACCAGGTTTCACCATGTTGCCCAGGCTGGCCTGCAGAATTATGTAAACAATTCAATCACATATACCTTGCGGGAACCAGAGAGTCTTACATCCTCTTGATATTACAAAGCTTCTGATTGTTCACTCATTTTCTGGGTGCAATTCTCAAGGGCTTTGCATGGTGTATGGTGTCTTTCCCTCACTCCCGACACTGAGCTGTGAGTATTTGTGATTAATAAACTGCTGATTTCTCTGTCCACTGTCAGGTTGTTCAACCATCCCAATACCTTAGGGCAGAAATACTCTTCTCACATGCAGAATGACTCAGAGGCAATAAAAACAGAGACCTTCCTTGACACCTTACCTCACAGCTCCCCTTGTTCATCCTGAGCTGATACGCACTCTATATGTATCTTTCTTTGCACTTACCAAATTTTATGTATCTGTGTCTATATTAGATTGTGAAATTCTTGACGTCAGAGCCCAGGCCTTACCTTCCCACATAGTTGCCACAATGCTGTTTGTGAGTCTGATGATAACATTAAATTTACAAATTTAATGTGCATTTACAAATCACAGCTCAAGACTCCACAAAGTTGGTATTGTCCTTATTCTAGAGATGACAAATGGAACCCTAATCAAGGGTTTTCTTTAAGACCACACAACACATTAAGAAGCAGAGCTGGATCTTGAACCCCAGTCTGGGTCTCACATATAAAGATGACATATTATAGGTATACAGATGTATTGCTCTTCTGAGTCCTTGAGGCTAGGATATGCCAAATTACTTGGTGATGTGACAGTGAAACTCATGTTTTGTCCCCAAAACTGGAACAAAAGAGGAACTAAGTATTTTACATTCTGGAGAGAACTACAAACATGTGTGATGACACATCTTTTCCTGAGTGTACTTAGGGGTAGCAGACACTGTCATTTCAACCACCATTCTCACCCCAACTCAAATAAAAAGAATGGAAGAAGCAGAAAGAAAAAGGGTTATGGATAGAGGAGGTATAAAGACAATAGAGAAAATAGTCAGGGTATAGGTTGTCAAAATGGAAAATGTTGTGGTTTTCCCTTCACCTCCTTGAGGAGAGATAAGGACACACTACTTCACTGGGAACAGCTGCAAGGAAGGGACACTTAGCACCTCATTCCCACAGGGATGATTTACTCAGGCAAAGACTTACTGACAAGTCTCTGTGTCTGTAGGGAGAAGGACATGTGGACCCTCTAAGAGGGCTGGCTACCTGCAGGGCATGTGGGTCCAGCAGAAAGAGGTTTGGTGACTCCCAAGGTCAGGGCATGTAGTGTGTGAGTATGGGGAGGGAGTGAGGAGGGAGAAGAGGAAGGTAGTAGTTGGTGATGATAGCTGTTTGTCTTCACATCAGGGAACTGTGTAGTGAGGAAGCCCCACACCTCCCCAGAACTCACTCATATACCCAAAGAGAGGCAGTCTTTGGATGCCTGCCATACAGAGAACATCTTTGGCCAGACTGTTAGCTGGGGAAGCATCGACATCTGGCACTGGATTATAATCACTCATCCACTAAGCAAAGACATTTCTCCTCTCAATGTCTAGTCCAGAAAGAAAAGCAGGGTGACAGAGCCGACTTGACTCTTTTCCTCCTGTTGCAATTCTTTCAGCTATAAGGTGAGGAGGAGTGGTGGATGGGAAGAGATTGAAATTTTAAATTGGACCAAGATTTCTATTTTTGTAAATAACCGAAAATGGCCAAAAAGTTATGGAGCTGGTTTGAGGGGTTCTCTAAGATCAGAAAGGGAGATTTAACAGCACAGTGGGGGCCAAAATTGGAGAAAAAACAAAGCTCTCTGCATCTGATGAGTTCTGACTGTTCAGTAAACCACTCATCTAAGTTGCTTGTGAAAATGGTAGCCTATACAATAATCAAAACAGTGTGGTACTGGTACAAGAACTGACACATAGACCAATGGAACAGAATAGAGAATTCAGAAATAAGACTGCACACTACAACTATCGGATCTTCGACAAACCTGACAAAAACAAGCAATGGGGAAAGGATTCCATATTTAATAAATGGTGCTGGGAGAACTGGCTAGCCATATGCAGAAAATTCAAACTGGATCCCTTTGTTACACCTTATGCAAAAATGAACTCAAGATGGATTAAAGACTTGAAGTAAAACCCAAAACTATAAAAACCCTAGAAGAAGATCTTGGCAATACCATTCAGGACATAAGCACAGGCAAAGATTTCACAATAAAAACACCAAAAGCAATTGCAACGAAAACAAAAATTGACAAATGGATCTAATTAAACTAAGGAGCTTCTGTATAGCAAAATAAATAATCAACAGAATAAACAGACAACCTACAGAATGGGAGAAAATTTTTGCCATCTATCCGTCTGACAAAGGTCTAATATCCAGAGTCTACAAGGAACTTAAACAAATTTACAAGAAAAAACCAAACAACTCCATTAAAAAGTGGGCAAAGGACATGAACAGGCATTTCTCAAAACAAGGCATTCATGCAGCCAACAAACAAATGAAAAAAAGCTCAACATCACGGATCATTAGAGAAACGCCCATCAAAACCACAACGAGATACCATCTTACACTAGTCAGAATGGCAATTATTAAAAAGTCAAGAAACAACAGATGCTCGTGAGGTTGTGGAGAAAAAGGAACACTTTTACACTGTTGGTGGGAATGTAAATTAATTCAACCATTGTGGAAGACAGCGTGATGATTTCTGCAAGATCTAGAGGCAGAAATACCACTTGAACCAGCAATCCCATTACTGGGTATATACTCAAAAGAATGTAAGTCATTCCATTATAAATGTACATGCACGTGTATGTTGATTGCAGCACTATTCATAATGGCAAAGACATGGAATCAATGCAAATGTTCATCAGTGATAGACTGGGTAAAGAAAATGTGGTACATATACACCATGGAATACTATGCAGCCATAAAAAGGAATGATATCATGTTCTTTCCAGGGCCATGGATGAGACTGGAAGCCGTTATCCTCAGCTAACTAACACAGGAACAGAAAACCAAACACCACATATTCTCACTTATAAGTGGGAGCTGAACGATGAGAACACATGGACATATGGTGGGGAACAATACACACTGGAGCCTGTCAGGGTGGGGGTGGGGGAGGGAGAGCATTAGGAAGAACAGCTAACGGAAGCTGGGCTTACTACCTGGGTCATGGGTTGATCTGTTCAGCAAACCACCCTGGCATATATTTACCTATGTAACAAACCTGCACATCCTGAACATGTACCCCAGAACTTAAAATAAAAGTTGAAGAAAAAAAAAATAAAGTGGTAGCCTGAATTGCTTCACACAGAGTGGCAATTGGAAGAAATTTTGTCTACTCATTAGGTGAATACCTGAGACCTCATTCCCGCCCACTAATGATCCACTTGTAAGCAGCATGGCAGTGTCCTTGGGATGTCAAGTCCAAGAATTTAGAGGCAACTACTTACTGTAAACCCTGAAAAGACAAGCACCTGGTTGGTCAATATTGTCTGTCTCTAGTGTTCAGATGGTTACTCACATTGAGCACAGAATATACCTGCATATCATTTGGTGCTCATAGCAATTACACAGAAACCCTAAGGCCAGAAGTATTGTAAAGTTTTTTCATCATAAACCCTAACTTCAGCTAATTTAAACTTAATTGATCATTATTCTGCGTGTTGCCTAAAGCCTCCCACGACTTTTCTTTTTCTTTCTTTCTTTTTTTTTTTTGAGATGGAGTCTCGTCCTGTCGCCCAGGCTGGAATGCAGTGGCGCGATCTCAGCTTACTATGACTTCCGCTTTCCAGGCTCAAGCGATTCTCCTGCTTCAGCCTCCCGAGTAGCTGGGACTACAGGTGCCTGGCACCATGCCCAGCTAATTTTTGTATTTTTAGTAGAGATGGGGTTTCACCATGTTGTCCAGGCTGGTCTCGAACTCCTGACTTTGTGATCCACTCGCCTCGGCCACCCAACGTGCTGAGATTACAGGCATAAGCCAGACTTTTCTTAAACTAAAAATGCCTTACTAAGATGCAGAAAGATTTTTTTAAACCAAATTATAAACAGCCGTTTTTGTAAACCTTGATGAGAAAAATAAAATTATTTTTGAGTGTGTGTGTGTTTGTGTGTGTCTCTTTCTGTTTCTTATAGTATAGGAAATCAGGTTTGGGACAGTTCTTTAGGAAATTGAAGAGAAGCATCTTTATATGTTTATATAAAATTTAATTTATCACTCTTTGTTTCTTTGAGTTTGACTACAAAATACAGTAAAAAGGAAGACAAATATTACAAAGATAAAAATAATAAAATAGCTACCCTTTTTTGCATGTTCATTGTCAGTAACTATTCTTGAAATTATGAAAAGTATGCATTTTTTTCTACTGCCATTTTATGAATGGTGATGTCTTGTGTGTTCATTATATTTTCATGGTACCAATTATTACTAGCTTAGAAGGGGACAAGATTAGGCCTGAAGAGGTTCTGAGTAAGAAAAGTATATCAGAATTGCAAGGAAATTTGGAAATTGGCTTCCTTAGTTTGCCAAGTGAAAACTAAGGCCCAAAGAGATTAAAAAACTTGGCTGAGTTCATACAATTAAGTTGAGCAATAACAAGTTTGGAATTAGAAAAAAGGATTAGATGAGGATATGGATAGATTTGCCCGTTGGCTTAATAACTGTTGTCACAAACTGCTACTGGTTTAATTCTAAGGAATATAAATTTGACGGAGGAAATTACCTATTTTGTAGAAATGAGTGTGTGTGTGTGTGTGTGTGTGTGTGTAAATAGAAAGAAAAGAAAAGTGAAGAGGTAATTATTGCAACAGGAGATTAGACACAAGAATAATAATTTCATGACTAAATAAGTCCAACTCTTCATTTTACTGAAAGGGAAGCCTGAAGCTCGGGACTGTGATTTGCTCAAGATCACACAACTAGTCAGTGGCAGAACAGGATTAAAAACCTCATCCCCAGTCCTATCCTCTGTCCACTAAGCTAAGTTCCTATATTTGTTGTTTGTTAGTATTGGGAACAAATTTAATATTTCTTAAGAGTTAGTCAATTTTGTTTTAATACAAAGAGCAACTTTAAAAAAAAATTTTTTTAAATTGAGACGGAGTCTCTCTCTGTTACCCAGGCTGGAGTGCAGTGATGTGATCTCGGCTCACTGCAACTTCTGCCTCCTGGGTTCACGCAATTCTCCTGCCTCAGCATGCCAAGTAGCTGGGATTACAGATGCCTGCCACCATGCTCAGCTAATTTTTGTATGTTTAGTAGAGACGGTGTTTCACCATGTTGGCCAGTCTGGTCTCAAACTCCTGACCTCAAGAGATCCACCTGCCTTGGTCTCCCAAAGTGTTGCGATTACAGGCATGAGCCACCATGCCTGGCCAAGAGCAACTTTTTATGAAAGTTTCAGTAGTGTATGACCACTAACATTATTTAAGTTTAAATAATGTTAGTGGTCATACACTGCTGAGACTATTAACATTCATAAAAACCTAGACTAAGGGTCTTAAGCAATGTGTGGTGAGAAAATCAGGTTAAAGTATGAGGGAAAAAACAACACTGGCTATCAGAATCCACGGTGCTGGGAGCTTGGGCCTGGCTCCCTGTAAGATTTCTGGGAATAATTAGAATTGTCCTAGAGCAAGATTTCTTAGTGTTATCACCATTAGATTTTGTACTAGATAATTATTTGCCCTGAGGAGCTATCCTGTGCATGGTATGATGTTGAGCAGTATCCCTGGCCTTTACCCACTCAATGCCAGTAGCACCTCCCCTCCCCTGTTATGACAACCACAAGTGCCTCCAGACATTGCCAAATGTCACCAGGTGGTGATGGGGAGGGATTGCTGCAGTTGAAAAACCACAGGCTTAAACTGATAGGCCTGAGCCCATGGGTGTTGGGGAGTAGATAATACCAACTAGGGACGTGGCCAGGAGACTGGAGGAAGTAGGCATGGTAGTTCTTGACACCCTTCAATTTGAGGATATTTATATGTTGACTCCTAGTTAGGCTGCATATACACATAAGCAGGGGTGGAGATTCCAATTATGGGAAATGCCTTTGGACATCTTCAAACAAGGGCTTCATGTCTCTGGATGGTAGTAGAGATATAATATTGGGCTTGGAGTTCCCACTCCCAGAGCTTTCTGCTGCCTATAACCATGGGTAGCAACATGATTCATCTTTAGGGTTCTAGTTATGGAAAGTCCGTTACTGTTGCGATAGATACTTAGGCAGATATTGGCTGCCCTCCACTTCCTTTTCCTTTGTTTCATGTGAGCTAGAATGTGGTTATAATCAGTCAGCCTTTACTGCAAGGACAAGGGCAACTTGTGGGGCATGGCACAGCCAAAACTGGCTGGGGTTTCTGTACATCCTTTTGGAGCAGAGCCATTTACTTACCTTGGCTCTGTTCTACAAGAGAAGAACAAGTGCTTCATTCCTGCTAGTGAATTGTGGGGTTTATTTGTTCTAGCAATCTGGTCTGTGTCCCACCTAATATACAGGGCAATGTGATAAGATGAACATTGAGGAGATAAAGGTTGGAGACTGGCAAGAAACTACAAAGAGCTGCCACACGGGACAGCAAAGGAGTTCTAGGGAAAGCAAAACATTTACTTGATTAGACTTTTCTGCATCTGTCATTTGTTGGTTCCTTTTGGGTAGAAGATCAATTACCAGCATTTTTCTTTTTGGGGTAGTCGAAGATCTCTACAAGCAGATAAGAGAAGTGCAGTGAAGTCATCTCTTTTCTGTCAGGTTGACTCCGTAGAGCCGCCTTTGGAGGATAGAATAAGCTTTGACTTTAGCCATAAATTACTTATTGAATTTCTATTTTCTGCCAATGGAGATGTGAGACTGACAGAGATACTAGACATGGTAGCTTTCTAAAGTTGCTTACAGTCTAAGCAGGGACTTCTAAGCTATTGGGAGACACATACCTTAAAATAGTATATGATAAATTAATCAGTAAGCAGTAAGATCTCTAGAGATAGTAGTGCTTGGAATGAGCTGTGAGTGGTGGATATAATAATGGTAATGCCTACTAATTATTTAGCACATGACATGTGCCAGCAGTGCTCAGATAAGCAGAGAGGAGGATAAAGGCCATTTCAGGCAGGTAATAGTGAGGTGTGGAAGGAGGGAAGTCAGAATGCATATGGTGGTAGCTATGTCCAGGTATGGCAGAAGCAACACCTTGTGTAGCTTTGGAATTGGGAGATGTCACACTACTTTGGTACCCTAGGTTATAATCCACTTACACAACCTAATATGCCACACATAATGTCACAAAATCTCAGAAAAAAATTTAATAGTCTAAAAAGTAGTATAAATTAAAATTTAATAGCACATGAAATCAGGTAAGTTGTGAAGCTTAAGTCACAGTTTTAATTCTTCCATGACAGTGAAAACCTTGCAACTTTTCATCATAATGGAAACTAAACTTGGAGGAAAATTACGAATGTCATCTCATGAAAAAGTCTACCTCTGCCACATGACATTATTCTTCAGTTACTGAAGAAGGCAAGAAGAAAATATGTTTCAAAAGGGGGGATAATGTTGAGATTTTTTTTTTTATTTTCCCATCTTATGCTATGCTCCTAATACAAGGTCTGTCTGTAGCAGTGGATAAAATAGGAGACTCAGTTTGGAGCCAGATTGTGGATCTCAAATGGTTGAATTTATCCTATGGACAATGAGTAGCAACTGAGGCTTTTAAAAACCAGTGGGTAGCATAATGAGAATGTCTTTACAGAGAAATGTATCTGGCTGCAGTGCTTAGAATAGGTAGGTGGAGAACAAAACTGGAGGAAGAGATGCTAGCTAAGAATTGTGTTTGGAATAATTCATGCTTATGTTGTAATTTGAGGGCCATTAGGAGACACTCTGCTACCTGAGTGAGAGACAATACATTTTCCGGCAGAGATTAGCTTATGGAGACTCACCTGCATGCACACTGAAGAGATCTGTGTCTTGGGAAAATGGTTCAATATACAGATAAATTTGGACAAGAAAGGAAGTCAGACACATTCCAGATGGCACAATAGCTTTATGAGACCTGGAATTGTTCAAAATGGGAACCTATGTTGAGTCTATGGGTAGTATGAGGGCACTGAATGTTGGGGTGAAGAATGCTAAAATTAAATTTGCCTATGACATACTTTTACCTACTGTGTCAATCAGGGTCCCAGCAGGAAACAGATGGCACACTCAATGTGAATAAATTGAGGAATTAATCAAAGGGCTATTTACAACTCTCAGGACTGGGCTAAGAGAAAGCAACAAGGTAAGAACTGGACAACAAAGCATCCTGAGGCAGGCAACAGCTAGGGAGCCAGTCACCACCACCTCTGGGCCTGAAGAGTCAAGGGAGAGAGCAGGTTAGCTGTGCTCAGAATCCAGAGGGTGTAGCTCAGGAGAAGGCCCTCAGGTAGGAGCCGTGGTCTTGGCAGAGGGATGGAGTCAATCCATGGCGATGAGCGAAATACAGGAATAAATACCTTGATCTCACTTTCCTCTTATCCTTTAATCTCCTGCCCATGCCTTTCATTGGTAAAATCAACCAGAAGACACGGAGTAAACAAGCCCATGACTGCAATCCAGATAGGTCACCCTCCCAGGACACAAAGCAGGCAGAGAAGGGAGGCAAGAGAAGGGGTATAGCGGGGGTGGAGCAAGGAAGACATCTGACATCAATCTTCCTGGTGTTGCTAATCGCTGGGTGGGAAGAAACAATCCTTACCCCAAATCCCTCTCCAATGGGCCTTCTTGTAAAATGAAAATTATCCTGAAAAAGGGTGAATTAAACTAACTCAAACTAAGTGGTAATTAACTAATAAATGAATGAGTGATAGATTAAAGGGCAGGAGGATATTGAAAGGACAAACAAACAAAAAAGTGAAACAGACTATCATTTGGAATTTTGCCTAGGGTTCACTGTATCTAAACTGCTGAAGCTTCTGTCTGTGTCTCTTAATTGTAGCAGTCATGCAAGCTGAGCTGAGGATTAGAGAGAAATTGTATTTTGTTTTCTATTCTTGGTCAGAGGGACCTCCATACAGGGACCGGAGAGGTGGAAGGATGTACAGGAACTGAGGATAGGTTTTCAGAGTGCAGTCAGCTAGGTGCTCACTGCTTTCCTCTCTTTGTCCTATTCCTTTTGTTTCCCTGTTATACCAAGAACATATTCTGTGGTGCAAATCAGCATCCTGATATTATTTTAGAATTTCTTGTTGCCATGGTGTATGTTGATTATTTAATTTTTTCCTTATTTCTATTTTAGTTTGTTCTGCTTCATTCTTTAGGGTTCTTATTTTTCCTTGTCTGTACTTTCTATCTCAAATTCTTTTTTTTCTATTCCATTTTAAGAAGGAAACAAATTTTAAGCAGTCTTTAAAAGAATTTTATGCGCATCTTCTAAGTATTGCTTTTAACTTGAATTTTCTTGTTTTAGCTTTTATCTTTCATTCCTTTAACTTTCATGTTTCCAGCTTTTTATCTCTCTGGTTCTAGCCCTTTATGTTTTTTATTTATGCTGGTTTTATCTTTAATCTTTCATCCTTCTTTCATGTTTAAATTTTTTTTAGTCTCACTGGTTTTAGTTTTTCTTTTCTTTTTTTTATTCTTTAAGTTTTATCTTTGTTGAACCTTCCATTTTCAGCCTGAAATTTTGCTTTATTTTCTTATCTTTTCCTTTTCTTTTTATTCTCAACTTTATTCTTTCATTTGCCTCAACTCCCTTCTCTGTCTTTATCATTTTAATAGCTTTTTTGCTCTTCCTCTTCTTGTTCTCCATCCCTTTCTTTTACTCCAACTTCTACTTTGTCTGATCTTTTTTTCTTTATTTTGTAATTTGCTTTTGTGCTACAAAAAGGCAAGAAGCTTGGCAACATGAAGAATACTCATAAAGTAAATTGGACAGTTTGGAGGCCTTTGTCCTTCCACTTTTTAATTATTCCCCTAATGGCCTCTCAGTTAACTGAGAGAGAATCTCCCCAAAATCCTCACTCTGGAAATCTCAAAAAATCCAAGGCAATGCCAGCCTCTTCTAGTGTCTTCTCTGTTGGTCTAAGTCCTAAATGTAAGGCTGCTGTTATATTGTGTCTCTGATGCATGCAGTTTTTATTGTGTGAATTTAGACCATTTCTATCTCCAGCGATCAGATAAATGTGTTATTGCATGAGAAGTAGATTAGTTTCTTTCCTCCCTTGATCTTAGAACTGTTGTTGAGATCTCCAGCTCATAAAAGAATATTCTCTGTCCTGATTAAGTGTTCTGGGAAGCTAGGGATGATTAACCTTAATATCTTCCTGACCCTGTCCAGGTGAACACTGTTTCTCTTTTATGATCTTCTGTTTATTCAGTACATCCCAGGGTGGTATTAATCACCTCTTATGCTCTAAGTACCATGACTGCCAGATGGTCTGATGGAGCTTAACTTGGAAACATTAAGAAAGGAGCAGGATTCCTTCCTTATTAGCCCTTTTGTTCCCAAGAGGAACTTATTAACCTAAATACAAAAGTATCCTCTAGTCTATTCATAGCAAACTTTACTTTAAAATGGACGAAACCTGTAATCCATTCTGTTTCTATTCTCTAATGGTAACCAGGGGACCAGATCATAGATTATTTTATAATAAGCCTCTTTCTGCTTACTGGTATTATAAATATGACCTGGGAGAGTGGTCATGTCTCCCTCTTTTTAACCCTGGGATAGCTGTTTCAGGATCCTGCAATCAGAGTGGGATGAGAAAACCCAAAAGTAAGAGAGACTGATTTTCGGGCCTGAGATGTGCCTTTTCCTCCCCCATAACCGACACATACAAAATTTGGCTAATCTCTAATTTTAAGTCATGGTCCATGGTATATGGTATGTAGCATGGTAGTCTAGAAGATGGGCTCTGAAGGAAGACTGGGTTAAAATTCCAACTCTGACACTCAGTAGTTTGTGTCACTATGGACAAGTTACTTCAACTCTATTTGCCTCAATTTCTTTATCTCTAAAGTGAGTATAATAAATTTGTTAAGGTGTAAAGTGCTTACCACTCTACCTGGCACATTGTAATCTCTCAATAAATGTAAACTAATAGTTTTTAAGACTCAATTCGGAAGTCTTCATCTCCATAAAATATTCCACAACTGAGCCCCTTGGACACACACACAAACACACACACACACACACACACACGCTTAGACACTCATTCTCATTTATCAGTCTGGTGCTTCAGGTACCTTTCTTCGTGTAGCATCTTGCACATATCTCTTCATGGCATGTTCACAGTGTACTAGCAGTATCTGTTTACACATATTCATTTCTTGTTATTTGATGAGCATCTTGAGGTTAGGAATTGTGTCTTATTCACCTTTGTATTCTCAAAATCTAACACAATAGCTGATATGCAGTGTGTGCTTAATAAATATTTAATTAAAAACAGTGATGAACAGTTGACGCCTGAGGACTTTTTAAGTATCTATGTCTTAGGTAACTTAAAAGATTGTTCCTTTTACTTCCTCAGCAACAGAAGGACAATAATTTAAACCTCTATAGGCACCCTAGTCTGTCCTCTGAGTGCATACATGAATTGGGCTTCTATGTGCCACAATCATAACCAGGTTAATGGATCACTATATGAAAGAAAAAAGAAGTCTCCTAGAACCACGTAAAATTTATGATGGATTACAAACTACTCAAACCTTCGAAAATGCTCGAATTTTATAACTTGATGTGAGAATCACATCAATAGCCTAGAAATGTGGGCGAATTCTGAGATACTCTCATTACAGATATAAATTTTATGGCTGAGGTCACTCCACCTATCCCATTTTTCTCTCTTGCTGCCACTCTACTCACTCTCCCTCATCCATAGCCAAATTTCTAGAGTTATCCATAATTCCTGTGTCCATTTACCTTACTCCACTCTGACTTCTAGTTCCATCAATCCCAAACAGTTTGTACTACTACGGCTCTGACCCTCATTTTGCTATATTCAGTTTTTGGTTCTCATTTTCTTTGACCAGTCAGCAGCATTTGACCTGATTATCCTTGCCATCCTTCTTGTAACTTTCCTCCAGTGGCTTCTCTGATATTGTTTTCTCCTAGTCATCCTGCTATTTATACGGAAGCTCCTTGTCACAATTCTTTGCAGACTTATGCTCTTCTCTCAAGGTTGGGTTCTAGGTCTTCCTCTCTTCTCATTCATTTTCCATTTTCTCACTAGGCAAATTATCCATGTCATTGGCTTTAACAACTCTCTCTGCCTTGATAACTTCCAAATGTACATGTCCAGCCTAGATTTCTCCTCTGAGATCCAGGTCCATAGCCTCACTGCCCACTTGACAACCCCAGTTGATGACTTAAAGCCACCTCAAGTTCAATATCTTCAGCATGACTTTTTGATTTCCCCATCAAAACCTATCATCAACAAAGTTGCACCATTCAGAAACTTGGAAGTAATCTTTGATGTCTTCCTCCTTTTCTCCAGTATCTAATTTGTAATTTCCTATTTTAACACTGGAATTTCTCTTAAATCAGTCCAGTTTTTTTCCATCACCACTGCCATAACCATTTTTGTCATATTTGGCAGATGCTACTGAACTGGTCTAGTCACTTCCACTCTGTACTTCTCCAAACTGTTCACTATTGTGGCAGCCAGGTGACAGATTTCAAAGTACACATCTGTTCACTTTACCTCTTGCCTAAGTTCCTTCAGTGGTTTCTCATTTTGCTCCGTCTCTTCTACAACCTCAACTCCTGCAGGCTCCCCTCACTCTGACTTTAGCTACCCTGGCTTCAGCTTTAGTTTCTCAAATACCCATGTTCCTCTTGCCACAAAGCTTTTGCATATGTTGCCATTTCTGACTAAATCCAGAATATGTTTTACCCTTTGCCTTTTGGCTTGTTTACTATTAGTCCATGAGATATTTTGTTGGCACGCTTTCCTTAAGTCCCCAGAAGAAATTTTTTGTTGTTACGGCCAGGAACATCATTGCGGTTTCCTTGACCTCCTTTTTTAGTTGTTTTGTTTTAATCTTATAGACACAAAGAACCATGCGATGCACCACTATTTTTTTCTTGTCACTAGCTTCTGAAGAGTCTTCATTATATGGTGGTTACCTGGAGCCAAATTAACTAGGTTTAAATTCTGGCCGCAGTATCCAGTAGCAGTTTGATCTTTATCAAGTTATGCAAAATTTCTGTGATTTCAATTTCTCATTTATGTAATGGAAATATTAATAGTATTTATTCTCATTGGGTTGTTGTGAGAGGTAAATAAATTAACATGCATAAGGCATTTAGAATGTGTTTGATGTATAGTAAGTGTTCAACAAAAATTGGGATTATTATTATTTCTGACCACAACTTGAATTACCAGAGTAAGTCATGTGAAAGTGACTTATGGGTCTTAATTATGTGGATTCTTGACCCAATGCTCCACTTTACTCTCTATATAATAACACATATGGTAATCGAAGAGTAGTTTTGAGTATCCAAATTCAGATTCTAAAGAAATACAGTAGACTCCTCATTGTAATAATAGAGATTTTACATTAAAATAGTAGTCATGCTATTTGTAGGACTAACTGTAAAGGCATTATGATTTGCTCCATAGAACTGTATAATCAAATCCATAGCAGAAAATACCTTTGAAACAAGGTTTTATCTGCACTTTTACTCCAACAGATACATTACTGCACACCATAATTAGAACTCAGGATTAGAGCCATGTTATATTATTAACACAGGCAGCTATTCAAACTTGTTGTAGGAAATTGGCTATTTCCCTACATATGAAAAGAGGCTGGATTCCATTTTTATTTTCTAACACCAAAAAATGAGAGAAAAAAAAAACTCTGAGTTGCAGCACTCTTGTCATCAATTGTTTAAAAAAATAGGCAAAAATACAGTTATTTCTTAGGTTTTCAATCCTAAAAATGATGTTTCCTACTCTCTGTATTCTTCAAATTTTCTGGAAAAAAAAATCTTCCTTATCCCATATCACAGATGTCTCCGTAGCTACAGACTCCACCAGCAGAATAATAAACGGATTCTCGAGATTATGCTGGGTCTGTTTATCTTTTTTTTTTTTAAAGCTTTCCTGCAGAGAGTAGAAACAGCCAGTGCCTTTGTTGTACATCTTGTAATTATATTTGGCCATATTAGGTGATCCTCCCCGCTCTCATGTTGGTTAATGTAACAGGCTCCCAGAGTGAAACAAAATAGAAATTCATTTTTACTTCAAGTCTGATGCAGAAAGCACACAGGCAGAAACACAGATCATTTTTTGCTTAAAAAAGAAATCACCATCTGCTTTGTATAGGGATTAATATTCAGGCACCATCTCATTGAGGTGTTTCATGTTAGAGTCTTTTGACCACAAATTACCCTCAGTTTTTCTTTAAATGGAATGTGTAGGTTTGGCTATTAACAGAAAGGCAGAATGAAAATAAAGGCAGGGTTTTGTCTGAAATTTTTAATACAGTGAAATTGGACTTGAGAGCTAGGCTTACAGAAAATAGTGTTAAAAACAAAGTAAACAGTAAAGGATTGAAAATCTTCATATAATCCCCAGAATTGTCTTATGGGTTTAACTCAGCTTCACTATTTATGAATTTGTGTAATAATGGTGCTGTGATTTTACAGAATGCTTTCAGAGCAATTTCCTCACTTTGGGTCATTTTTTTCTTCAGCTCCAAAAGTACTCTCTATGATTATTAGGCACGTTGGGAAGCTGATTTAACTTTTAGGTCAATCAAGGGCCATTTAGATTAAATGAACTGATGTATGTATAAGCACTTTGAAAAGTACAAAGTTCTCTACAAATTCAAGATGATTTCACTGCTATTAAATAAATGATACAAGAGTTAAGGCAGCTTTTCTAAACACTGAATAACAAATCTTCAGATGAAAAAATGATAAATGTTTCCATCATGATGTTCACTGCTAAGGGGTATACTTCAGATCTCATAATACTGTCTGGCCCCCTTGAGATTTGAAATCTTTGCAAGAGCTGTGAGATTACAGCCAAAAGCCATCAGTACTTGCACATGAAGAATATTTTGAGAAGCCATTTCACTTTCTGTGCCATAATGCAGTTTATTTTATTTGATTCTCCCAAAGGGTTTAAGTACCGAGAAATTGTAGTCCAACTTGTTCTTGTCCTATTGCTTGTGGGACAAAACCTAAAATTTCTATGTAGTTGGGCATCATCATCCCTAAGCTATTTTAATCAGGATACAGGAGACCTTGGCTTCCAATAGTGTTATGGTTACCATTTTAATGGTGGTTATGAACAGGGCTGGTATTTGAAAAACACCGGGGGTCCCCACACAAACTATAGATATATCACCCAAACTCAGAAAAATTCCTAAGATTACTTTAGAATTCTATCAAGTTACATTTACATTACAGTTACATTCGGGTTCATTGAAATTACTACTGTTATGGGCTGAATTGTGTTTTCTCTACCGCTAAATTCATATGTTGGAGTTCTAACTTCAGATTCTGACTGTGTTTGGAGATAGGGTCTTTGCAGAGGTAATTAAGTTAAAATGAGGTCACTTAGTGTGGATCCTAATCAAATATGACTGGTATCCCTAAAAGAAGAGGAAATTTGGGCACAGACATGTACAGAAGTAATTTGGCATTCAGACTGCCTTTGAACTTGAGCTGTAACAGCAACTCTTCCCTGGGTCTCTGGCCTGGTAGCCTACGCTATTGATATTAGACTTACCAGCCCCTACAGTTACATGAGTGATTTCCTTAAAATAAATCTCTCTCTCTCTCTCTCACTCTCTCTCTCTCTATATATATATATATACATATATACACACACACATATATATACACACACACATATATAATATGCATATATATAGCATGTATATATATACACACACATATATTTATATACATATACACACATACATCCTACTGGTTCTGTTCCTATGGAGAACTCTACAACTAATATAACTACCTATAGACATTTACATCCTAAAACGTGAATGCAAGCTACCAATACATTATATATTCTAGTTTACTGGCTAAGTGAACGGCCTTTAGAGTCACACTGCTGAGTTCAATGTTAGCTCTGCCATTTTCTAGGAATGTGTCTTTAAGCAAGCCATTTAACCTGTCTGTACTTTAGTGTCCATATCTGCAAAATGGAAATAAGGGGGTGTGATGAGGTTTTAAGGAGAAAAGTGTTTCTGAAGCATTTAGCATAGCACCTTGTCACATCATAAGCTCTCAACATATGCTAGTTATTAGTATCATATTGTGATTATTTACATATTGTTTTAGTTAAGACTTTTATTTGGGTTAGTGAGAAGTGAATAAGGCTAGTTTGAGTAGAAAGGAGTTGATTAAAAGATGTTGTGCAGCCCACAGAATCACTGAGAACATCAGAGAACCAGGCTCTGAGGCCACAAAGCCAAGAACCATTGCCAAAATAAATGCTGTAGAACTGGTCTCAGGAATACCTCACTGCAGCTCTCTGAACATTACTTGTACCATCAACACTGTTGAGTCTGGGTACCAGAGGAGGACCCCAGAACCACTTTAGAAGCTGCTGTTATGGGGCTTCTCTTGTACCAGCACATTCTCTGTACTCCCTTCCTCTTTACATCACTAACTTCCAATTTGACATTTGCAATGAGTGTGAGTGATTCGTGGAACCTGGCTTCATGCTCAGCTGCAAGGGGTGCTGGAAAAGCAAGGCATTTTCAGTTTTGATGATGGGAGATGGGCTCTGCCTTACAAGGTGGGAGACAGATAAGACACAGGAATGCTGGGAGTTCCAAAAATGACCAACATTCACCACATATGTAGATGGATGTTGACATCAGCTGACTACTGGCCATAGAAACTCTTCTCTTCACTTCTGGTTTTTACAATCTTTTTCCAGTCTTCTCTCTGTGTCACTTTTAACCACTGCTGCCTATAACAACTCCCCAGATCTTACTCCTAATCGCCCTAACTTTTTTGTATGTGTTGAATTGGTTTAAGTGCTTTGGTGTGATAGTGTCAGGTGAAGGATACAACATTATTTTACTGCCTATGAAAATATTTAATTATGACTGCTAGGGAAAACATCTTATTACAAGAAAGAAAGGTATTGAAAAACATGAACTTTGAAATTAGAAAAAATGAGGTTTGTATCTTGGCTTTCTGCTTAGCATCAAAGTGACCACTGGCACATTTCTTACATTAGGTCTCAGCCTCTCCATTTGAAAAGCAAATAGCATTAAATGACTGACCCTGAAAGATGTTTGTGAGAATTGGACAAAACATATGTCTTGTAATATGAGACTGACATATAGGACCTACTGTAATCATTTCTTAGCCTTCAGGGGCATCAAAAATATCAATCAAATAATATTTTTAAAATCTGATTTTATCAGATTTTTATACACAGAGCAACAACAAATAAATGTCAATTCTGGGTGGCATTATCAATGAACATTACGGGATGGAAGCTTTCTGAATAAAAGGACCGTTTGAAAATAACCAAAACTAGATCAACATCTTCCAAGCCATTTCTATTAAGGTTTATGACCCACTTTTCTCTGCCATGTCAAACTAGCATCTCCATCACACAGGCAGCAGAAGGGCCATTTTACCTACGGTACATACTTTCCAAACCCTAAACTCAGGATTTCCCTGTTTCTTATTTTGTCCTTAGTATAAATGTAGCTAGAGATGGCACAGCAGACAAGATTGACTGAGTACTTCATTGGACATGATCAGAAAATAAATCTTTGCCTAAAATTTGCTCTCTGGAAGTGTTTGGAAATCAAATTTTGAGGAACAGAGAATGCTTTTGTAATAGCAAACTGACATCCCTAAATACATGTACTTGAAAGTTTTCGGGAAGAAAAATTTTGTATCATGAAAATTAATGAACAATATATGTCTATTTGCTCAACGCTTTATGGTAAACTTATTTAAGGAGTAGCTGTCAGTTTCTGCTTTGTATGAAGCACTGTGCTTGGCTCCAAGGATATAACGATGAGAAATACAAACACGATGTCTTTAGTCTTAGGGTTTACAAACCCTTTGGGGAGCCAGATCTTAATCAAACTCTTTGTTCATTCATCCATCCAATTAATTCATTCAACAATAATCTATTGAATGCCTACTAGGTGTCAAGCAGTGTGCTATGTGCTGTTAATGATTGCCATATTCATTGCATGCTTATTATGCATTAAGCCTGGTTGCTTTACATACCTTTAATCCTTGCAACAAACCTGTAAGGTACACATTATTTTATAGAGCAAACACAGACTTAGAAGGGTTAAATAATTGGCTTAAGATGATATATCTAGAAAGTTGTAGAGCTGTGGGGCCCAAACTCACCCCTGTTCTACAGCCTCTCAGGAAAAGTCCATCTTGTGACTCACACAGTTGATGAACCAAATGACTAGATCAATTTAAGTGTATAGCAGAATTATTGTTCCCTCAGGGCCCTTGATATATCTGCGCTAATGGTGCTAACAATTTCTATAAATTAGGAAAACAGTAATTAGGCCTACCAAATTGAAACCCAGGGAAGAAATGTTACTGTAATAGTTATAGCCAAAGACAGGGAGGCAAAAGCCATAAAAAGCAATGTATTGCCTTGTTGAATGACCTCAGAAACCCTTTAGACCACAGTGTTTCTCTGTTTTTTGTCACTGCAAAATCAAACAATTCTCTACCCCCACCTTCACATTCTTTCTAAGGTTATTTTCATTTGTGAAAACTGAGTCCCTTCATTCTGAAAGGATATGATCAAGGTCTGGAAAGGCACAGTGGAAGCATAGAAGATGAGAGCGAATGAATTCACGGACATCTAGACACTACCTGCACATTGTGCACATGTACCCTAGAACTTAAAGTATAATTAAAAAAAAAAGAAGTTTTCCTTGAGTTTCAAGATGATATGACTAGGCCATGTGTGGTGGCTCACGCCAGTAATCCCAAACTTTGAGAAGCCAAGGCAGGCAAATCACCTGAGATCATAAGTTTGAGACCAGCCTGGTCAACATGGTGAAACCCCATCTCTACTAAAAAATACAAAAATTAGCTGGGCGTGTGGTCCCTGTAGCCCCAGCTACTTGGGAGGCTGAGGCAGGAGGATCACTTGAACCCGGGAGGCGGAGGTTGCAGTGAGCCAAGATCGCGCCACTGCACTCCATCCTGGGTGACAGAGAGAGATTCTGTCAAAAAAAAAAAAAAAAAAAAAAAAACAAAGGAAGAAAGAAAGAAAGGAAGGAGAGAGAAAGGAAGGCAGGCAGGCAGGCAGGCAGGCAGGCAGGCAGGCAGGTAGGAAGGCCTTCAAAAGCAGGGGGTCAGGGTATAAAAAAAAAAGCCTGCCACAGAAAAGCTTTATAAGAGGCTAATATCTTTTGATGAAGGAACTATACATCTAGAAATTAGGCCCCAAATTTGCAGTTTAAAAAAAAAGTGAGGTAAATTGCTTTCTAACACAAAATCATTGCCAGATATACAAAACCTTAAAGAGTTTATCTTCTCTGCAGCCACTTTCAGGAAGCTACGGGGGAAGGATCCACCTTAATAACAAATATCAAGAAAGATGACATGGAATTCAGGACACAGAGACTGCAATACAAAACACAGACAAAAATTCCTAAGATGAAAGGAAAAGAGAACCTAACATAATGATGGTACAGGAAGGCCTGGAGAGCACCCGGTTTAGATTACAGCATGAGAACACAGAGTTCTGGGAAAGATGTCCCTAAGAAGATGAATTTGACAGAGTGTGTGTTTAAGAAGAGATGTGCATCAAGAAGAAAGAGTTTGTGAATAATTTAATAATGGGAAACAAGCCAAGTTGTGCAGGAAAGGGAATTTACACAGCACACTAGCTCAGTTGTGAACAATGTTCATACAGTTATAAAAACGTGAACAGTAAATATAAGTATAATAAAAAATTGTGATCTATTACACATTAATATTAAGCATATTAAATACTCACCAACTGGTCATGAATGGACCATTAAACCAGTCAATGCTGGACAATAGGTCATGTTGAGGGCTGCCCCCTGTGCTACGTATTTCTCCCCTAATTGCTGGATTATGAGAGAAGACCTGAGGGTTCTAGGGGTGGGACTAGGCTAAAAGAGAGAAGATGGGTTGCTTGGGAACTTCAGAGCAGTAACTATTTCCCAACCTATAAAGGAGTACTTCAATATTTTAATACTGGTGGATGCTGATTGATCATTAGTCATCAATATTTGGGAGATAAATGTGTGTGTGTGTGTTTGTGTGTGTGTGTATGTTGGCAGGGAAATGTGGGAGAGTATAAAAAAATAGTATAATGCATAAACCTGAAAAACCAAGAAGTAACAGTACAATGGTGATGTCACTTGGAAATGTGAAGGTAAATAATAAACTAAAAGAGTTGTGAACTCGGTTACTACTGGTTATGGGAATGGAAGGAGATGGGAATGTCGAAGGTGATAAGGGACTGCTGTTTTTATAATAGGCTTTGGAAAATATTGAATTCTTAAACCATGTATGTGTATGCCTGATGAAAAATAAAATTGGAAATGAATGTCTACTGTGTACTAGAGTCAATGATATTTCAAGATAGGTATTCATTCCCATTTTACTATTAAGAAAGGAAGAGTAATTGGTGGAGCTGGTGTCCTTTCTATTATATCACTTCGCCTATAAAGGTGGGAAGAGGCAGTATTTCTTTATAGGTTAGAAGACCAACTCAAGGCATTTATACCAAGATTTGCAAAAGCATTTATTAAAGATTGATCCTTGATTTACCTTAACAATAAGTTAGCAATAATCAAGTTATGAACTTATTTGTAAGGGAAACATCAAGGGAGTCACTTATCATGAGCTTCCCTAAAATGTATCTTGACTTCACTGATGGAGAAAACACTGAAATGGAAGGAACTTTGATGAAATTCATTACACTTTGTAGCAGTTTGATATGGTTTGGCTGTGTCTCCACCCAAATCTCATCTTGAATTTTACTTCCATAATTCCCATGTGTTGTGGGAGGGATCCAGTGGGAGATAATTTGAATCATGGGGGTGGTTTCCCCCATACTGTTCTCATAGTAGTGAATAAGTCTCATGAGATCTGATGGTTTTATCAGAGGTTTCTGCTTTTGCATCTTCCTTATTTTCTCTTGCTGCCATCATGTAAGAAGTGCCTTTTGCCTCCTGCCACGATTCTGAGGTCTCCCCAACCATGTGGAACTGTAAGTTCAATTAAACCTCTTTGTCTTCCCAGTCTTGGGTATGTCTTTATCAGCAGCATGAAAACAGACTAATACATAGTTTTTGCTTAACTAAAAAACACTGGAAAGAAAATGGATCTAGAAACATGCTGGGAAAGATCTCTGAACATCCTATACTCTCTTCTCACCAAACCCTCACTACTATGAAGAAATAAACAAAGTATCTCAAATAAGCAAACCCAAATGTGCAAACCAAAATAATGTGAGTGTTGAAATGCCAATCAGGCAATAGGTAAATTAGAATGTAACAATGTACTGAGAATCTAGAATAAAACAGTATCCTAAAGAAACCAAAATTCTGTTTATATGCTGGATTACATTTATTGATTTGCGTATATTGAACCAGCCTTGCATCCCAGGGATGAAGCCCACTTGATCATGGTGGATAAGCTTTTTGATGTGCTGCTGGATTCGGTTTGCCAGTATTTTATTGAGGATTTTTGCATCAATGATCATCAAGGATATTGGTCTAAAATTCTCTTTTTTGGTTGTGTCTCTGCCCGGCTTTGGTATCAGGATGATGCTGGCCTCATAAAATGAGTTCGGGAGGATTCTCTCTTTTTCTATTGATTGGAATAGTTTCAGAAGGAATGGTACCAGTTCCTCCTTGTACCTCTGGTAGAATTCGGCTGTGAATCCATCTGGTCCTGGACTCTTTTTAGTTGGTAAGCTATTGATTATTGCCACAATTTCAGATCCTGTTATTGGTTTATTCAGAGATTCAACTTCTTCCTGGAAAGAAGACATTTATGCAGCCAACAGACACATGAAAAAATGCTCGTCATCACTGGCCATCAGAGAAATGCAAATCAAAACCACGATGAGATACCATCTCACACCAGTTAGAATGGCAATCATTAAAAAGTCAGGAAACAACAGGTGCTGGAGAGGATGTGGAGAAATAGGAACACTTTTACACTGTTGGTGGGACTGTAAACTAGTTCAACCATTGTGGAAGTTAGTGTGGCGATTCCTCAGGGATCTAGAACTAGAAATACCATTTGACCCAGCCATCCCATTACTGGGTATATACCCAAAGGACTATAAATCATGCTGTTATAAAGACACATGCACACGTATGTTTATTGCGGCACTATTCACAATAGCAAAGACTTGGAACCAACCCAAATGTCCAACAATGATAGAGTGGATTAAGAAAATGTGGCACATATACACCATGGAATACTATGCAGCCATAAAAAATGATGAGTTCATGTCCTTTGTAGGGACATGGATGAAATTGGAAATCATCATTCTCAGTAAACTATCGCAAGGACAAAAAACCAAACACCACATGTTCTCACTCATAGATGGGAATTGAACAATGAGAACACATGGACACAGGAAGGGGAACATCACACTCCGGGGACTGTTGTGGGGTGGGGGGAGGGGGGAGGGATAGCATTAGGAGATATACCTAATGCTAAATGACAAGTTAATGGGTGCAGCACACTAGCATGGCACATGTACACATATGTAACTAACTTGCACATCGTGCACATGTACCCTAAAACTTAAAGTATAATAATAATAAAAAGAAACCAAAATTCTATGGTGAAATTAAAAACAATGGAATGAACAATTTGTCTTGGCTTTTAATTTGGTTGGATTGGATATTTTTTGGGGGGAATTATTATAGACACACTTGGCCTAATGTGGATGGATTATATGAGGATTAGATGAAGGAGGCTACATTTTTTTGGCTAGCTTTTGAAATAATCTTGTGATTATGTCACAGTTTTCCAATATGGTGCCATGGCAGAGACCTATAGATGTGATTCTTTTTCACCCTAATCGTGTCTAATCTGGTAGCCTTGTGGTAGGACACAGTATTTGTTGATTGAATAAATGGCTGCAGAGCCCAGTGTAAGTTTGCTTTCCCACAGAGCTGTGAAGCTTGCAAAATCAGCACAATCTTTAATTTTTATACATTTTCTAAAATGTGGAAGAAACTTTTATCTCATCCAACATCACTTTGTTCATCCACTCAACAAACCATTATTGAGGAAATTATCTGTGAAAGCCTCTCAGTTGGGCATCCTTCACTGAAATCTAGTGTAGGAGAAATCATCATTTTCTTCTTTCAAATCATGTGAAAGTTAAGTGTTCACGTTGATCAGGGTCATGAAATATTTCAGTTCACAGGTTATGAGATGACCATAAATCCAGAGTTGATTTGTTTGCATCGTGTCATCAGGGTTTATAGCACTCTACATATATTTTAAAAAGGGATTATTTTTCTGGGTGGTATATGTGCTAATTCAATAGCTTGCAATACAGTCACATTCTGTTACCATTTCAAGTGTCAATTTTTGTTTTTTTTCTATCTTGATATAATATTATATAATTATGTAAGTAAGGCATTAATATTCATTGAGTGTTTTGATGTGATACACATTTTTTAAAAGAAACTCCATGAAGTAAACATTATTGTCCCTATTTTATAGATGAAGCAATTGAGGCATAGGGTAATGTAATGACCCGCATAAGTGGCAAAGCTAGGATCAAGCTCAGAAATGTTTGATTTCTACTGCATTATAGGGGAGTTTGTTAGTAGTGCTTGCTAGCTTTATGATAAATTAATATATATTAAAATTGTACACATAAATTTAAGTTACTTGCAGAAACATATATTGAAAAGCCAGCTCTCTCTCTCTCTCTATATATATATATATATACACACATTAATGAATGCCTTAAAACCTCTCTCTCTCTCTCTCTCTCTCTCTATATATATATATATATATATATATATATATATATAATCTGAGCCCAAGAGGAAATATTTTAAATAATCAGAAAATAAGAACTAATGTAAAGTAATAAATACAATATATTTTTTCAAATATTAATTTATCTGAGACCAATAAAGCATATTGCAGTCACTTTGCTAAAGGTTTTTTATATTGTGAAAGTATAGATTATTGTATTCTCTCTCCTTAGCATTTTCATGGAAATAAAGTCAGAAAATGTTTCTACAATCTGTAAATAACAACAGAAGCAAAGACCACTATATGTAAGAGGGCTATAAAGTGTGTGTATATTCTGACATAGTTTTCATAATTTCAATGAGGGAAATAAATCAGACTGCCTAGGGTCTAAGAATTAATATCAGAGCTGGGAATCAAAATCTATGCTCTTTCCTCTATTCCATTTTGAACTTGACTAGAAGGCCATGTAAATCTTATTAATGAGACAAATCCGCATGGGCGTACATGTGTATTTTTTTCAGATCAGAGCTTGTTGAACCTAACCTTATACATACTATGTTTTGTTTATCTGATAACTGAGATGACTACTAAGTAACTAGTGGATGGGTGGCAGTGTATACGGCGTGGATCCACCGGACAAAGGGATGATTCACGTCTCAGGCTGATGGAGCAGGATGGCATGATACTTCATCAGGCTACTCAGAATGCTGGGACATTAAAAACTGATGAATTGTTTACTTTTGGAATTTTTCATTTATGATTTTCAGACCACAGTTGACCCTGGGTAACTGAAATTGCAGAAAGAGAAACCATGGGTAAGGGAGGTACTACTGTCCTTTCTTTCCTTGGCCTCTGTGACTCAACACTCCATGGTTTTCCTCCCATTTCTCTGGCTGTTCCTTCTTTCTTTCCTTTCCAGTCTTGCTTTATTCTATCCAGTTATTAAATACTGAAATTCCCCAGACCTCCCAAGCCATCTTCCTTACCCTGTGTCACCTCCTTAGTAGAACTCACCCATGCTGATAGCTATAATTATCATCAAAATATGCAAATAATTCACAAATTTATATCTTCAAGGCAGACCTCCCTCCCTCTGTGCTCCAGACCTGTATCATACATCAAAATGTCCAAAATTGAACTTATGACCTCTTCTTCACCTTCCACTCAGAATCTAAAACATTCCCGGTATTCTCCTTTTTGGTAGATGGCATCCGTGTTTATCCATTAATTCAAGCAAAAACCCAGGAAATCAAGTGAGCAATTCTTTATTTCTCTCTTGCTTATTCATATTGTATACTTTACCAAGTCTCATCTAGTTCACCTTTTACCTCTCCCTGGAATTCATCTACTTCTTTCCATTTCCACCTGGTCCAAGCTAGCATTATTTCTTCCTGGTCCATTCTGACAGTCTTCACAATGGTTTTCTTTAATTTATCGGAGTCAATCCATTTTCCATACCACAGCTAGAGTGATTTCTGAAAACACAAATCTTATCATATTAACTATCCTTCCCCTAGTTCAAAATCTTCAATGCTCCACTATTCTAGGATAAAGACAAAACTTCTACAAAATCTGGAGGGTCAGTCCTCTACAAGTTGAGTATCCCTTATTTGAATTGTTTGGAACCAGAAGTGTTTCAGATTTTGGAATTTTTCAGATTTTGGAATATTTTCATACATAATGAAATATCTAGGGGAGGGAACCCAAGCCTAAACACAAAATCCATTTGTGTTTCATATATACCATATACATACATGCTGGAGGTAATTTTATGCAATATTTTAAATCATTTTGTGCATAAAACAAAGTTGATATACATTGAACCATCAGAAAGCAAAGGTGTCACTATCTTAGCCACCAATGTGGGCAATTCGTGGTTTTTTGGCATCACCATCATTCCTGACTCTGAGTTTATATGCTGCAACAAGCAATCATTTTCTTATATTTATTCACACCTAAGTACTTAGTAGAAAATGGTGTACCATTAATACAATTAAAAATAATGTGTTCAGGGTAACTGAACAGCATGATAACATCACCAGAATACCTGCATCAGTTGATGAACAACAGCAACAAACAGGACAGCCTCCACCTACAATACCGTGTTTTGATTAAAAGGTTACTGTGTTTTTCTGTCAGGTGAGGAGAAATACAAGAAGAAAGCTAGGGACCAGGAAGTAGGTCTTTTAAGAAGGAGGAGGCATTCTGTTGGATGGCTTTTTAAAACGTTTTCTCCAGAGTCATTTGCCTCATTAACAATGATTTTTATGTTAGAAGTCTTTCTTTGATTTTTATAACTGATATGATTTCTTGTTCTATTATGAATGCATGCTAATCTAGTCCTTCAATAAGCCCATCACACATTTTTACCCTGTTGTCTGTAACACTTTTTCTGTAGTGTTAACATCATCTTCATTGTCATTATTATCACAGTCACCTTGATTTAGAACCATTTTGGCTATTTCACCATTGGTCAATGAATGAACAACTGAAGCCTCATAATTACGTTAAAAACTTCAATATCCACATTTTTCAGCTTATAATGGACTCTAAAAATATATATATTTGCAAATGTAAGCAAGTCAGACATCATTTTTTTTTCACTTGACATATGGGATCTTTCAAACTTAACACTTTGTTCATCAGCATTACTTAACATAATCATAGGCCAGAGATTGTGCCACGAAGGCAGAACTGTGTCTTTAGTTACTATGTTCCAAGGGTTGGCAACAGCATATACGGCATTCTTCATGCTACGTTGCTTTGAAAACCTTCTATACTCACACTTCTGTTCACTGCTGCAAGCATGCTGTTCAAGAAAGTGTTTTTATATTTGCTCTTCAATATAAAATAAGGATACCCTGGTCATGTGGCTGAATTAATGAAGTCACATTTGGGGGAAATACATGGCATAAACATTATTATTATTATTAATTATTATTATTATTATTATCTGTGAGATGGAGTTTTGCTGTCACCCAGGCAGCAGTGCAGTGGCGTGATCTCGACTCATTGCAATCTCTACCTCCTGGGTTGGAGCAAGTCTCATGCCTCAGGTTCCCAAGTAGCTGGGATTACAGTCGAGCTCCACCACACCTGGCTAATTTTTTTATGTTTAGTAGAGACAGGATTTTGCCATGTTGGCCAGGCTGGTCACGAACTCCTGACCTCGAGTGATCCACCCGCCTCAGCCTCCCAGAGTACTGGGATTACAGGAGTGAGTCACCGGCGCCCTGCCATAAACGTTATTTTTGATGAGAATTTCAGCTGGAGGTTGAGCAGAACAGTTGTCAAAGAATAACAAGATGTTACACTCATCCTCCAGTCCAGCTTCCCTGCAGTGAGCATGAGGCTGCTGGTACAAAATGTTTACAAAACCAATCAGAGAAGATGCCCCTGGTCATCCATGCCTTTTTGTAAAATAATGGACTAGTAAGAAATTCACTGTTTGAAAACAGCAAGGATGCAAACTTTCCAATCACAGCAAGTTTACACTTATACCTGCCTATAGCATTGGCACGGGCCAGCACAGTTATTTTGTCTTTGATTCTAAATTCCTGTAGGGACTTTCTTATCAGCTGAAGTCAGTGTCTTTCTGGGGCAATAATGCTGAAATAGTAATGTTTCATCAGCATTATAGACTTGTTCTGGCATCAGATTTTCATCAGCAATGATGTTGGCACATTCATCAATGAATTTCTCCACTGCTTCATGATTACCAGATGCCTTATTACCACAAATCTTGAAAATTAATGCCATGTCTTTTCTTAAATTTCTGCAATCAGCCTGTTGAATAGTCACAGTTTCTTTCAATCCAGGTTCATCATAATAGATACTTGATTGTTTCATGATCAGTATCCCATTAATTGGCATATGTTCACCTTCCATGCTGACAAATCGACTTTTTCAATACACAGTCAAGATCTTCATTTTTAGTTTTATGTAGAGTTTTCTATTTTTCATTAACTCCTATTCATCTCTTTTATCATAGAACTTCAACAGTTTCTTCTGTGTCTTCAGGTCATATGTGGTGGTCCTTCCAATGCCTTACTCTCCTGAAGGATGTTTCACACTTACAGTGCTGCCCAGTTTCTCCAACAGCTTGGCTTTCTGTGCTATAAACAAACAAATTCTTTCTCTTTTTCTTCTCACTGTTATTGATAGGGGTATCTGCAGGCCTTTTTTTTTTGCCATTTTCAACAATATCTTTATACCACAGAACAAAGAATAAGCAAAAAATACACAGTGAGTAATACATGTAGGTTTGTGGCCTCATGTGGGGCATTGTGGGAAAACTGCTGTTGGCATGTCTGGTCTGCACACATGCCATTTTATTATGCATTGTGGGTGTGCTTGTTTGGGGGAATCTGGGCATGTGCAGAAAAAATAAATCACAGCAGAAGGAGCTGGAAGGGTCTTTTTTTCCCTTTGGGATGCTGAATAAACTATTGTGTTCCTGTATTTCGACTATAACCAGTGACATGAGGTCCGGAGTAACATTTTCTACTTGTGGCATCATGTTGGTGCTTAAAAAGTTTCAGATTTTAGAGCATTTTGGATTTTGAATTTTTGGATTAGGAATGCTCAACTTATACCTACATTTCCAATTTCAACTCACACCATGGTCTTTTGTATCTTATTACTACAACCACATTAGATTTATTTTCATCCCTTATGCTTACCAAGATCCTTCCTACCACAGGGTCTTCAACTTGATGTTTTCCTTACCTGGAAGGCACTTTCAACTCCTCTTTGCCTAGTTAACTCTGTACTCATCCTTTAGATTTCTAAGCAATAGACACAATCTCAAAAAAACTCTCTTTACCTCCTTAGTCCAATTCTGCCAATTCACTATTTCATAGCAATTTTACCTTTATTGGTGTAAGTCTTTGACAAGTGCCTATCTCCTTTACTGCTTGAAAACTCCATTAGGGAGGATAGGGGCCCTCTTAACTTTTGCTCTCTGTTGTCATCTTAGCATAGTGCCAAGGGCCCACCCAGCCTATAAGTACTTGTTGAATGGATTAATGAAATAATTAACCTAACATTTCTGATTATTTGATGCCAATTCTAAAAACTATGTCTTCAAGAGAGAATATTCAATTGTTCAGGAAAGAGGGAAGACACATTAGACATAGATTTTAATAGTGTAGATAAATGCTTCGCCAGGCACTGAAAAACATTTTACAGACTGAGAGTTACGTAAAAGAATGCTGCCAGGCATAGTGGCTCACGGCTGTAATCCCAGCACTTTGGGAGGCTGAGGCAGGCGGATCACCTGAAGTCAGGAGTTTGAGACCAGCCTAGCCAACATGGTGAAACTCCGTCTCTACTAAAAATACAAAAATTAGCTGGGCGTGGTGGTGCACACCTGTAGTCCCAGCTACTTGGGAGGCTGAGGCATGAGAATCGCTTGAACCTGGGAGGCAGGGGTTAGAGTGAGCTGAGACTGTGCCACAGCACTCCAGCCTGGGGGATAGAGCAAGACTCTGTCAAAAACAAAAAACAAAAAACAAAAAAACACACACACAAAACAAAACAAAAAAATGTGCCAGTAACAGATTGGTTGGAGACACCCCACTGACACTTAAGATTTTTTTTAAAAAAATGTAAATCCAAGCATGAGTTATAGCGCTTGTGTTGATATTCATTGCTGAATGCAATAGGTGGTCATGTAAAAAAGATTCAGTAAGTTTGATTTTGTAACCTAGTTATACATGACTTTCTATATGTTTTGGTATTGTTTCCTCCAAACTAAAAACAATAACCTTTGAATATTCAGGTCATCAGGACATTTTCATTACAAAAGCAGAAACCCAGCTTCCAGTACTCTAACCATATAATATCATGATGGCACATGACAATATATGGTAAACCTGTTTAGGAATCTTTTTATACCCGAACACAGTTCCTTTCTCATATTCTACAACTAATTGTTGACTTGCCCCAGAGAAGACAGCAGGGAAGAATTTTGAAGTACACAGTATTGTGAACCCAACCATCAATTTCTCCATTAGCCAGGTCTAGCAGTATTCTGAGTTGCTCACCTTTGCTACCACTCTTTGACATATCATATCCAGAATTAGAAGACAGGGTTAATGATCCCTCAGTGAGCCTTCAAATTTCAGGTTCTCAGCCTTCAAATTCCATGATTATTCTCTGAGAAATTGCTTTCCTTTATTATGCTCTATACTATCAACCAAAGCACTTTAGTAATATAATCTAAAGCAACAGCCCCTAAGAAGCTGACAGTCTATGTTGTACAGAGATTAAAAAGCTAGCTTTTAAGTCAGAAAGGCATGAGTTCAAGGTCTTTGACATTAACTAGATGTGTAACTCTGAGCAAGTTACTAAAAGTTTCTGAGTTTCTGCTACCACTTGTAGAAGCCAGTGATACTTCTTACTTCATAGAGAGGTTGTGAGGATAATATGAATACGTGGTACAGGTTTAGATTTCAATTAAGTATAAATGTAACTACAATTCTTTTGGTCCTCTGACCCTACACATGCTCTCTAGTGAGCACAGGCCTAATTTTCTGGTATATACATGCCAGGCTGCAAATTTCTAAGTCTCATTTTGCAACCAGGGTCCATCAGTCATTCTCAGCCATTCTCTCAATCAGGACAGCTGACAGAATCCTCAGTGAGGTCATTATTTTTAGCTTTGGAACTGTTAGAAAGTCTGCAGGGGATTTTCACAGCATTCAACAAATTTGGAAAGGTCATCAAAACAAATTCACTTACTGAATTCATTGGCTTGAAACCCTATCAAACCAGTGCAGTCATATTAAATTAAAGAAATTTCTACTGGCAATATTTCCATAAAAAGGGTCAAGCTGAATTGTGTTTAGAGTTGGTCCATTGTTGCTGCATTTTGAAGTCACAAACATTGATCCCAAACTGACTTGTCTCCTACCTGTACCTCCCCCAACCAAAGTGGTGTGTGATTTTATCCTCGTTTAAAAATTCCTCACTTCTCCTTGTCTGTCCAAGTTCAAGTCCCATTTCCTCCAAATAGCCATTCCTAAATTCTCTAACCCTGTCTCGGGTCTGTTTTCTGCTTGACCCAGAACAGACATTTTTTTTTTTTTAAGTTGAGTGAGGGTGACTTTAACCATACTATTTAGCCGTGCACAAGCATATTAAACAGGATTCAGTTAGGTCCTGGCATTTTCTCAGATGCCCTTAATGACACTCGCCTCTACTTGGCTGATTATCCAAGCTTGTGGAGCATCCATCAGCCAGCGTGATGGAATCTTCACACCACACATCTTGCCAAATATGACAGCATTGAGGTCTGTTTCCTTGCTTTCCATAGTGCCATAAATAATGTTTTGGAAGAAATACTTAAGGGTCAGGTAATTGATCCATTTCTCTACATACCCTGAATGGTGCCTTTCAAACAAGCCAGACCACAAGGTTGTTGGACCCCTTAGTGACATCATTTTGGATCTAATATGCTGCTTTATGAATTGTACTTTGGTGTCATGCTAATGGACCACATTGATGGATTCTGTAAGAAAGAACTGGATGAAATTCAGGGCCCTCTTTCTGAATACCTACAGGAGAACTATTCCTCACACCTCATTAGGAAAAGCTGTACATCTTCTGAAAAGTAAACTAGGTTTTTATTTTATGGAAAATTTGAATCATAAGTTGTATTTTATTTACTTCAGCCATTAGAAAACTAAGTGATAAAGCTGAGGTCTGTTTCTTTCAACTGTATGGTCTTTCAACTGTAATGACAGGTCTGGCTTTATTATTTTTCTATCCATAGTTTTCCTTTGTTTTTGTCACCATAATTGCTAATTTTAATCCTTTTGCATTGAAAGTATTTTTTTGTGGGGTGCCTCATGTCTTTTGTAGAATAAGACAAGTATTAAAAATAAATCCCTGATCTATTCCTTCAGTGAATTACAGAAATTCCAGTTTATGGACCATTATTTAGCAATTATTTATTTCTTGCCTTTTGTTTTTTAAGTAGTTTTAAGTTTCCAAAACTAGATTTTAAGCAAAAAGATGTGTTTAAAACTTTCCTTTCTAAAGACTGATTCAGATAGAGAAAAAAAGAAAAAGTAAATGAAAAAATAACAAAAAAACTTTTCTGCACCCCTCACATACTGACAGCATAGGATATGCTCACTGAATCTTTAAATCAGACTTCTGCACACTAGTCCACTTCTAAGTAACTAACTGTGTGAGTTTGACCTCAATGCTATTGAGCTTCACAGGATTTCACTCTCTTCATCTATATATAAGGGAGTTGACCTAAATAATCTTCAGTGTCCTCTCTGGTTCTAAAATTCTGTTATAAGTGCTTGTGTTCCCTAAAAGGATTTTTGCCAGGCATAGATCTTTTAGGGCAGATGTGACTTAATAAACTACTCATAGATATGAATGTGACCAGGTGACCTATTTATTGCAGGGGATGTTCACGAAAGGAAGGGCTCTGTCCAAAGAAGATTTGTTCATTTGTTCATTAAACAAAGAAAGGAATATTTCCAGACACTTTGGTTCAGAATTTAAGCCAGAAAAACAATTACAAGTGCGAAAAAAAATGATTAGAAGGTCAGAGTTTTAAAAATTCTATAATTTCTCATATATCAAGTGCTAATTCTAGTTCTTTTAGTACGAAACAGGCAGTGTGATACTGTAGAAGAACACTAATTTGAGTGAAGACCTAGCTTGCAGACCACCATTGTTCATTAACTAACTAGACAATTTATTGCTCTTTGTTGTGTCCCAGATTTTTCAGTAATGAAAAGAGAAAAATTACCCACCTTTACTTGCTAGATGTTTATGAGGGTCAGACAAGACAATGCTAGAAAATACATTTCCATAAGTGCAAAAGGTTATATAAACGTTGTGGATTATTGTGATTAATTTCCAGAGAGCATGGCCACTGGTGTTGTGGGATCGAAACAATGAATCAAGAAATGACATCTTATGACTTGGTGGGTATTTCGGATTGCTTTTATAACTGAACTGAATGATTTTGCAGTTGGTTATTAAAATGGCTGAAGTAATCTTAAACTCTTGATGCTCCCCAAGTCCGTGAATGACTCAACAGCTTGTAAATTCCCCAAAATGCAAATTTCATGGAGTTGAGAATAAAGCCCTATCAATATGCAGGTGCCACAAGGGCTGGGTCCTTCTCTGTTTTGTTCACTGCACATAAAAAGATCTTATCAAATATTTACTGACTACATGGTTTGAAAGTTGAGTGATTGATTTAAGTTATCCTCCCTGGCTGTGTGGCTTGCTCCTGTGCTATGCCAGTCAGAGCATAAGATCCCAGGTTATGCTTCAGCAAACTTACAAATAATGTAACATGAAATTCTGAGGTAACTCTGACATGCTTGTCTTAGATTGCTTATGTCAACTTGGCATCGCTACCACAGCTATCATAGAAAAGATGGTGAAAATTTTTTTTCAGAATCTCCTTTCCCAGGTTTGAGTTTGCCAAAGAGATGTATTGTTACCTGCTATGGCCTGAGTGTTTGTGTTTACAGAACATTTTTATGTTGAAATCCTATGCCCTGAGGTGATGACATTAAGAGGTTGGGCCTTTGGGAGGTGATTAAATCATGAGGGCTCTTCCCTAGTGAATAGAATAATGCCCTATAGAAGAGACCCCAGAGATCCAGCTAATCCCTTCTGCCATGTGAGAGAGTACAGTGAAAAGATGCCTGTCTGTGCAGGAAGTGGGCCCTCACCAGGAGCTGAATCTACTGGTGCTTTGATCTTGGACTGTAGAACTGTAAGAAATAAATTTCTGCTGTGTATAACCTACCCCCTCGAAGGTATCATATTATACCAGCGCAAATGGACTAAGACAGCACCAGATTTGGAACATGGTGGAGGAAAGGCCATTATTTTGGAGGCAACTGCTGCCAGATGAATGGGCTGATGTGAGATTCACAAAGACTTACTGGGGAGCATTTGAGTACCTCCAACTTGTTATAGAGACTAAGATAGTTGGTAGGAGCTTCCCCGAGATCCTTGAGTATTACAACACCTTCCTTGCTTGGGTGCTGCAGGCTGAAATTACCAAGGCTGGTTTCTCTGACCTCTCCTCACCAGATTTTCCAAGCTTTGTGTAAGCTCTTAGTTCCCTATATTAAAACTTGTAACACCTTGAATATATTGAGTGACTCTTCTGTTTTCTTGACAAGACCTTAACTGGCAACAGAATGTCAAATGTTAAATTTTGGAATGTTAAGTTTCAACTAAATGCATTTATATGCACAAAGTTATAGTTAGCACTTTGGAGGAAACTAGAATTCTTCTTAGTCACTTATTACTTAGTGGACTATGGCTTTTCAGCATTCAGAAATACCCTTGAGACCTAAGAAAGTTAATTAAGTTTCCCAAAGTGGGGTGTGTGTGTGTGTGTGTGTGTGTGTGTGTGTGCATTTATTTATTTTTGCTCTATGAAAACAACCTGTTCAACAGGGTAAAGTTTCCTACAGTGGAAAGAACAGATTTTTAACTCATATAGCCCATAATGTAGTCTGGGCTTCGCCACTTTCTAACTGTATGTATTTGGTGAATTCATTTAACTTCTCCTGGGCTTGGTGACTCCATCAGCATGATAGAACTAATGACAACTCTCTTACTTTTCCTATAGGTTGTTGTGGGACTAAAAAATATGTATAAAAGCATTACACACACACACACACACACACACACACATATGCACACATACACACATAAATATGTCATTACTTTCTAGGTACTTGTTCATAATTGGTTGAATGCAATAATTAGTGGAGATTGATAAAGATTCAATAAAAGTAACTTCCAGGGCACTGAAGCATGTTCTGCTCTCCCTAAGCCACAGTTCAGAATTGTTGAGTTTCTTGCTGGCACTGAACAGAGCTTTCAACAGCTCAATGCCTGGTTTTCATGTCTATGAAATGTACACAGATGCTGTGGCTTACTTTCCTCGAGTAGTGTTATTGGCTTTTCATAACTTCCCTATCCAAAACAGAATGTCTGTGTACAGCACATACTCACAGACCACATACCTCTCAATTCTTCCACCTGGATTTTCTTTTCTTTATCACTCCTGCATTACATTTCCTACTGTTTTGATTATTTTATACTTCCCTATAATAGATAATAAGGTACATTAGAGCTGGGGCTTGTTTTGCCTAGAATAGTTCATGACACATGGTAAGGAGTCTAGAAACTTTGTGGGTGAATAAATAGATTTATGGGTATCTGAATTATTAACCAAGTTTTTTTAGCATTCTGTTTGATTCCCCAAAGTATTAGTTAGGAACTGAACTGCTAAATCTACAAATGGATATTTTTGGAAAATGTACCAGCACATCTGCCCCCAACTCCCATTTTTCTTCCTTAAAAAAATGGAAGATTTATCTAGAATTGTGTATGAGGTAGAGTTGTTCAGTGCAACAAATAGTGGATATTTCTTTCCTGGGAATTAGGAAGAGGAACTGTGAGCTAAATTCCTTATCACATCACCTCCTTTTCTACCAAGCGGGCTGAGCAATCATCTGCATGGTGCTTCGTAGAACACACAAAAGAATGCTGAAAAGTTGTCTGCTTAGCAATGAGGTACACAGGGATAAGCTGAAACTAGTAGCTGTATTAATATTTGACCTGCCAATAATAGGGAGAAATACGTGTCTTCAGAGTCTTTTCAAGTGATCACAAGCCTAAAAGGAATTGAGTCGCTAGCCTGTGGACTTGACAAAAAAAGCACATTGGAATTTAATGCTTAGTTAAAATATCAACGAAAGGTTTCTCTAGTTACTGGTCAATGATCTAATTTCTAATAGTCTAAAACGCTTGAGAATGGCGTGGTGCATCTGTAAAAATGCTACTTTGGGAATGTAAGCTTTTGACGGACTAGGATGTAGTCATCTTGTCATCCTAAAAGTACTGATGGTGTCAGAAAAGGCATGTGCACAATGAACACTTGCAAGATGAAAGAATCAGAAACATCTGGGAACTTAGATAAATACAGCCAGGAAGAGTGAGACAAATAGCACTTTGTCATCAGTCAGCTCCAGAGCAAAGGAGAAGAGAGCTTTGATTTGATTGGTGATGTATAGAAAGATCAGCTTTTTAGGTGGAAGCCAAGAGATATGGAAGAAAATGGCTAGAATTGAAGAGGGGAAAGTGATGACGACATTGACAGCAGCAGTGACAATAATCACAGTGATGACAAATGTGAGAAAACTGAAGAGCAGGAGCATTCACAACTGTTACAGAAAGAAGTTGAAGCCGCTCAGAATTCTGGGGGAAGCAAATAGCTGATTGCCCTGTACTTTCATGACAGTTGTTACCCCCATTTATTGAGTAGTTAAAATGCAGTAAGGACTGTACTGGGCACTTTACATGATATTTTAATGACATCCCACAAGGATCTATCTTTTTTTTTTTTTTTTTTTTTTTTTAGACAGAGTCTGGCTCTGTCGCCCAGGCTGGAGTGCAGTGGCATGATGTCGGCTCACTGAAACCTTTGCTGCCCAGATTCAAGCAATTCTCCTGCTTCAGCCTCCCAAGTAGCTGGGATTACAGGTGTGTGCCACCAAACCTAGCTGATTTTTGTATTTTTAGTAGAGGCGGGGTTTCTACTAAACCTGCTTGCCAGGTTGGTCTCGAACTCCTGACCTCAAGTGATCCACCTGCCTCGGCCTCCCAAAGCGCAGGAATTATAGGTGTGAGCCACTGTGTCCGGCCAGATCTATGCATTCCTTATTCTGTCTTCAGTTCTTAGCCCTCCATGATTCCAAAACCCTCCTTTATGCCCACTGAGGCACACAGTCCATCAAAAGTAAAATCCCCATATCCTCAATGCTCTCATCCTCACCACCTCCTCTTATCAAAACCTTGCTCTCCCTTACAAACATAGCTTATCCACCAGCTCTCTGAAGTCCTAGCTGCTTTTTCTCCTACATCCCTGGTATTAGGCCTTGGAGTTATATGAAGTGACTCTTTGTCACTTCTTTCGGGGGATGGGGGGATGGAGTCTTGTTCTGCCACCTAGGCTGGAGTGCAGTGGAGCTATTTCAGCTCATGGCAACCTCTGCCTCCCAGGTTCAAGTGACTCTGTTTCTTATTGTCCCTTCCAGACTATTCTCCCTTACTCCTTCCTAAATTTGAATCTTATGTCATCTTACTGCTGTTGTCATCTGCCAATCCAAGGTTAATTATTCTCCTTTTTCTATGTTTGGCTTCTATTTCAACTTCAAACTCCTGTCTTAGTTCTTTGTGAATCCAATATACATGCGGATTATTTTTCTATACACCAGACTTTAAATTCCTTGGTCTCTGCAATGATCATTTCCTGCATTTCACCTCACCACTCACTCCCATCTCTAGACCTTGTTATGACCAATAACTGCATCACATCCAACTGGCTTATTAATTGGCCACTTTTTGACTGTGTCTTATCCCCCTCATAACTGTAATTATCTCCTGGTCTAGCTTCCATCCACTCCATTTAGACTTTCACTCCAGCACTCTGTGTTGCTAAATCCAATTGTCAGTTATCAGTTGTCATCCAACTTGCACTATCAGGGACATTTGTCCTAGGTGATCACTTCTTTTTCTAGAACATTTTTTTTTTACCTTGATTTCAAGCATACCCTTCTCTCCTAGGTTTTCTCCTATCTCACTGTCATCTCTTTTAGTTTGCAGATTTGGCTCTGCCACTTACTAGGTATGAACAAAGGCAAGTTAGCTATTGCCACTGTGTCTTGGCTTCTTCATTGGTAAATGGTAACAACACTTCCTCCTTGGAAAAATGGGAACGGTGGCACCTACTGATAGAGTTATGGTTGAGATTAAATGGGATATTATTTACAATGTGCTTGCACATAATCATTGCCATGCTTGTGTTTTCTATTATCTCCCCAACCTCTAGCACCGATTTGACCAAGACTAAGCACTTGGACCTCTTCTTGAGGTATACTAATTACCTTGGAAATGCCGTTCAGATTCATGGGTTTAAATATATCTACAAGATCATGACTTGTAAATTTATATTTCCAGATAGAATCTCTCCTCTGAACTCTAAACTTAGACTTTCACTTGATATCTCCACTTAAATGTCTAATTGATGATATAAATTTAAAATGTTAAACACTGATCTGGGCTCTACTTGCAGCTTTCTTCCACTTGGTCGATGGCATTTTCTCAGGGCTTTGATTTAGAAAGACCAGTTTACTTCTAAGTGTAGATCTTGAATGTCTAAAACAGAACTTATGACAAAAAGATGCTTCCCATGTGAATTCAGTCAGAGTAATGCATAAGTCTCAGAGCTGGTGTCCAGTGTCATCTTTGCCAGGTTTAAATCTTCTGTATTCATGCCTCCAAATACATTCAACATACATCTCACCTTGACCTACTCTTGGATTGCCCTTCTCATGGTCTTCGTGGCATGTGAACATGGTATCTGAGATTCAATCTAAGCATGCTTTTGCTTTAGTTTTTGCTACTTCTAGTCATGCTATCATCATAGCATTATTATTCATCTTCAAATGGAAAAAAAGAGAATTTTCAATGTTTGTTATGCATGAAATTCTCTGCAAAGTAAAACTTTAAGAAGAGTAACATTATAACCTGGTATCAACGTAGCAGAAGAATACTTCTTAAACTTCATTAAACTAGGAAGAAAATTTAGTTTTATTGTAACTGTACATACTGGTCAAGAAGCTGTGAAAATGTAGCAGAATCAGGCTTGTTCCTTTTATTATGCAACTAGATGAACAGTTGGAAGGAAATAATCAGATGGACAACAGGGAGAGTATCATCTTGCATTTGTTGGGGCAAATGGGAGGACACTTCCGAATATTTCCAATCTAAAATCAGATGACAATTATGTAACATACCTTCCCTCTACATATAACATGTACAAATTCAAAGAGGAAGATATAAAATAATGGCAACAACAACAAGAATAGGGGAGTTCATGTAGAAAACACTTATATATATATATAACTGGATACTGAGTGAATGCAGGTGACCCGTGAGAACCTATCGTTACTGCAGACAGGATGGAGGAAGGTAAAGAGGAGGTAGACATTCAGGATCTGGACCATGGCTGAGACCCTGAAGCTCACAATTCATGCTAAAACGATTACTGATTCCTAGTAAAGGGACTAGGTTACTTAAAATGAGAACTATGCCAGAAAAACACCTATGTCCTAAGTTGTAAAAATATGCCTAATGACTAAGATGGACTTTTCTACTGTTGACACATTAATTACATAGAGAGGTGATTCATCACTCTGCCCAGGAAGATATTACAAAAAGATAGGTTTTCAGGTCACTAAGAAGATCAGAGAACAAGTCCTTTACATCTGCCTTTAATTCATGTGAAGCTAGAGCTTTAACACATCATGAGAAACGCCCACAATTATGACCTTGAATCATCAAAAAAGGATAAATGCTTTTCAGAATTCTGTGTTGAGAAAGATTTACATCAAGAATAGTTTAAATAAAGTCGGGAAAACTTGTGCTCTCCAGAATGACTCATTAAATTGCAGACCTCTAGATAGCGGAGGTGTAAACTATGTGCTCCTTCTACTAAAAAATCTCTAGTTTCTGGACACAGAGTCAAATAAAATCAAATAGAGTGTTTAAAATTTTTTCTTTGTTAAAATAAGTCCTTTCTACATAGAAAATATTTGCCCAAATATTATTTTTAATGCGGGTTTAGGAGTATTAATGATACTATATTTCTGGAAGTCCTCCACACATAAGAAATGCCAGGAATGTTACTTAACAAAATTTGCTGTTCAGGTGTATGTATTTCAGGTAATTTGAAAAAGACTTTTCTGCCTCAGTTTATTTAAAACTCAAACTCTCTGATTCAAGGGCTGAGCAAACAGTGTGAAAAAAGCCTTTTAGCTAACCATTTAAATCACATTAGGAAGCAAACAGGCTGGGAAAATAGATTGAGGAGGACAGGTGAGACAGGCTTTTTAAAAAATTTTCTTAAAATTATTATTTATTTATTTACTTATTTATTTATGCTGACTCCAGATTTTGACTACTCAAAGTTGAGTCCATCAACCAACAGCATTAGTATCATCTGGGAAATGTTTGAAATACAGACTCTCAGGCCCCAGCTCAGGCTCACTAACTCAGAATCTGATTTTAGCAAGACCCTGAATGTTCGACAAGCACTGCAAGGTGCATCTCACACATGTTGTGTGATTCTGCTCTGATAGTGTCTAAGATGAGGGCAGGCAAGCCCTTGGCTCTATTCAGTGAAATTTTTTTGTCTACATTGTAGGTACACATAATCTAAATCCTGGGAATACAATTGATTTGGAATCAATGCAATAACGTACTAGGAGTTTTCTGAGAAATCTACCTTTTTACACAATCAAATGAGTACAGCCAGTACCTATAGGGCACAGTGTGGTGGGATGAAGATTAACACACAGAAATTATTCTTATATAATTTTTTATGTTTGAAAGAAATAGACTGTGCTTCATTTCTGTTTGACAAGCTATTCTTTTTTTTGGGGGGGTGGGGTGATGATGTTTCACACTGGTTGCCCAGGCTAGAGTGCAATGGCACGATTTTGGCTCACTGCAACCTCCATTTCCTGGGTTCAAGTGATTCTCCTGCCTCAGCCTTCTGAGTGGCTGGGATTACAGGTGTATGCCACCATGCCCAGCTAATTTTTGTATTTTTAGTAGAAATGGGGTTTCGCCAGGTTGGCCAGGCTGGTTTTGAACTTCTGACCTCAGGTGATCCACCTGCCTCAGCCTCCCAAAATGCTGGGATTACAGGCATGAGCCACTGTGCCCGGCCTGAGAAGCTATTGTAAAAACCGTTGTCTATTCATTCAAACATACATTTTAACTTGCTTTATTTCTTTTACATGGCAGAGAATGTTGCTAAAGTGGCTGATGACCATGTCTCTCCCAAGTATAGATAACTCCCCTTTCCATAGCATCATTATTCAAATTAATGTTTATTGGTCACATTCATATTAATACGTGGTGTGTATATATATATATATATATATATATATATATATATATATATAAATAAAATGGGTTTTAAATATATATGTATATATTTTTAAATATATAAATATAATATATATTATATAAATATATTTATAAATATATGAATATAAAAATATGTATATATTTTATATATATGAATTTTAAAAATAGATTAACATCTTGTAACAACTTGACTTCTTATTACATAGATTTGAATATTAAGCTGGAGCACTTAATTCTAATGTAAGGCAGGGTCCATTGGTCCACCTATTTCAAGGCATGCACTTTAGAGAGAAAAAATGGAGCCTTCTGCCAGAGGAAATAAAAGAAAGAATAGTTTACAATTTTTCCTTTGATCATTTCAGTGATTTCTTCCTTTGAAAATCATGTCATTTTCTGTTCTTTGCTGTACTTTATTTCATTTCTATGTTTCTATTCTGCTTTTTATTTAGAGAACTGGGTCTATTAAAAGAGGAGGTTAAAGTAAAAGAGAAGAGGAAAAAAAAACAATGCATGGCAACCTTAGAGCAGTGGCTGTCAAATGTGGCTGCATATTGGAATCAACTTGGAAGCTTAAAAAATTCTTGTGCTAGGACCCACCTTCCACAAATTCTGATGCTATTGGCCTGGGGTGGGGCATAGTATCAATAGTTTTTAAAAGCTCCCTTTAAAAGTCTTTCATCTTAAAGATAAGAATAATGTAACTTAAATGTGGAAATTGACACCTATATGGGAACTAAATTATATACTTGTTTCATTATTCGTATGTGGATGTTGTTCATAGAAAATCCAAGACCCCTCATAAGAATATGTCCATTTCCAAGGTTGTAGATGTTAATGCATATATATGAATAATAAATTGACTTTGAATATAGTGCCTGTTGCACTATAATTATGGATAATAAATGGACTTTGAAACTGTAGCACCATTGTTGTCAGGCCCAGCACCACACTGATGTGATTTGGGGGAATAGTATTGGTAGCCATTTAGAAGAGAAAGGGTTTCTGACCATTGTGTGATCTATTGCATTTATAGAAGTGATTTGGCAAAATAATTGTTATTCTAAAAGTATATGAATATTTGGTTTAACTGGCAAGAATGTCAAAAATAAAGCCTACTTAAGAACTGAATTGGGACAGATTCGGTGAGAGAGAAGGACCAATTAAAATGTGCTTTCTTCTCAGGTGTTTGCTTCCTGTCCAGATAGAGTACACCTAAAACCACCCAACTCACACCTAGTGGGGAAGCCAGAGAAAAAGGTTTTGTGAAGACAGTATTAAGAAGCAAGTTTTCTCAAGAGACTATAAGGGCTAAATCGTAGACTTGCCAGTCAGATTGACTGAGTTCAAATCTCATTCAAACCTCTACAGATTTTTGTCTTGAAGCTAGTTACTACCTTGATGGTTCGATTTTCTTCTTGTGAGAGAAATCAGTGGGGAATCTTTATAAAGTGCCTGGCCCATTAATAAATATTAGATATTGTTATTATCAAGTTTGGATCTCAAGTGAATCAAAAAGTTCCTTAGTTCAGCAAGGGTGTCCAGTATTAGAAGATCAAAGTTCCTGTATAAAATGTGTCTTTAAGTGTTTGGTTGTTTCCTAAAAGCTTTAGATTTTAAAAAATGAGCTTTATTTTACACTTCCTCTTTGGAATCTAGTTGCAAAATGGTCATCCATCATGACACCAATGGAAGAACAAACTTCCAGAATCTAAATCTGTAAATCTGAGATATTCTCATCAATCTACACAGCCGCTTGCCCATGGATGGAAAATAAACTGTCTGTAGTATAGAAGTGAACAACTATGAGGCTAACTTTATAGTCAAGTTGATTGCAAAACTAATTTTCATAAAAGGAACTCCATTCCCCCACTGGCTTTTATTTTATAACTTTGAAAGATCAGATACTTTTCAGAGAGAGTACTTTTTCACAGTTTCAAAGAAGCAGGCTGGAAAAAGGAATAAATTAATTCTGAAAAAATATTCCCTTCCTCTCTCCACCCACCCCTCTTCTCATCAAAAAAGCTACAGGCACTAAAATTCATTAACATTTCTATGAACATAAATGTGAAATATTCATTTTCATTAAGTAGTCTACTGAATATGGCAAAATCAGATTTATCTAAGGAGATATCCAATGCTGCTAATTTCCTTGACAATGGGGACATAAAGCAAAGGAAGTCATGAATCATTCATGAAGTTCAATTTACTTCTGTTATTTTTGGTGTTTTGCATCCATGAATAGAAAGTGTGCAGCATGTTGTAGATGCTGGTTTTACATTATTTCAGATCAGAACTAATGATTTGGCAGGCAGCAATAAAAGTAAGAATGGTTTAAAGGCTTTTGCTTGTAATTGTCCTATATTTCATGTTTTCCTTGTGAGTATTTACATGTTTATATATTCATATTTTTTTCTATATTCTAATTTCCTTTATAAATCAGGATCACTTTAGAATTAATATTTGAGATAGGCACAGAAAGCAATGTATTAGTGATGTAACTAAATTTAATAAACTCCCAGCAGTCTAGATTTTGAGGCTAAAAGAGACCTTGAAGTTTATAAAATTAAACTGGCCTCTCAATGAGGAATGTCTTCTATATTATTTCTGGTATGTGGCCATTTCTTATTAGTTGAAGTGTCTCTGTGGTAGGGGAAGTTCCTTCTTAAGCAGGGATCTATTTCATGAATGAACACTGCTGCTCATTGGAGAGTCTCTTAACTTCTAAATCTACCTTCTTGCAGCTTCTGACTATTGTCTACTTGTTGCTGCTATATCACCAGCACTTAGTAGTACAAAGAGCCACATATCGCTACTTAAGAAGTGCTAGTTGAATTAAATGGAATTGAATGGGTTCAAATCTAGCATTTCTAGATGTGCTGGTTAACTTTATGTGTCAACTTGGCTGGATCACGAGGTGTCCAGTAGTCAAATATTATTCTGGGTGTTCCTGTGAGGGTGTTTTTGGAGGAGATTAACATTTAAATCAGTAGACTGAATAAAGCAGCTTGCCCCCCACAACGTGGGTGAGCGTCATCCAACCAGTTGAAGGCCTGAGTTGAACAAATAAACTGACTCTCCCCTGAGTAAGAGACAATTCCTCCTGTCTGACTACCCTGAAACTGACACATCAGGTTTTTTCCTGCTTTTGAACTCAAATGGAAACATCAGTACTTCCTAGGTCTTGAGTCTGTTAGGTCTTCAGACTAGAGTTACGCTATCAATTCTGGTTCTCAAGCCTTTGGACTGGGACTGGAATTACACCATTGGCTCTCTAGTTGGCTGACTCACTCTGTAGATCTTGAGATCGTCAGCCTCCATAATTGCGTGAGCCAATTCCTTATAATAAATCTGTCTTTCTCTCTCTTTCTTATTTCTCACTCGCTCTCTATATATAGATATATATCTTATCTGTACTTTACCTATCTTTCTCTCTCTCTCTGTATATATATCTATATACATGTATTGGTATATAATATATACTATTATATATGTAGTGGTATTGATAGCTATGTATCATATATATGATATCTATATATAGAGATAAGATACATATATATTTTATATATATCATATACCAATATTTATATGTATATATGTGGGATATATAGACAGACAGAGAGCAAGAGAGAGAGAGGGAATAGTATTGGTAACCATTTAGAATGGAAAGGCTTCTATTCTAAATATATATATATTTCTAAATGTATACATTTCTAAAAATATGTAAATATATATTCTCTATATTCTTTATATATGCTATATATTCCATATATATGTATGTGCTATATATGTCCTATTGGCTTGATTGGCTGTATTTTACATTAAATTATATATTTTATATTATACATTATATATTTTATTCTGTATAAAATACAGCCAATAGGATATGTTTAGCCTACTGGCTCTATTTCTCTGAAGAACTATGAATAACACACTGGGCAACTCTGATCATAGTTTCATCTGCTATATGATAGCACGTTAAAACATTCAGAATGTCTGCTATGCCTTCTTATATTTTTCTTACAGATATCTTGGTCTCCTCTTTCTGAATGAAATTACCTTAAAATGGCATTAAAAACTGGACTTAATTCTCCAGATGTGACCATTCAAGGGCAGACTTTTATAGAACTACTCATGTCTTATGTCTGAAAACTATACTTTAAAAATTTTATTTCCAGTTGTTAATGTAGTGCTTTACTTGAATAAAACTTAATATTTCAATTCTGCAAACCTCCCATTTTCTCAGAACAATTTCCATATCTAAGCTAGGCCATTTTATAACACTAGGTGGACAGATATTTCTTTTTTTTTTTTTATTATACTTTAAGTTTTAGGGTACGTGTGCAAAACGTGCAGTTTAGTTACATATGTATACATGTGCCATGTTGGTGTGCTGCACCTGGTAACTCGTCATTTAACATTAGGTATATCTCCAAAGGCTATCCCTCCCCGCTCCCCCCTCCCCACAACAGGCCCCAGTGTATGATGTTCCCCTTCCTGTGTCCATGTGTTCTCATTGTTCCATTCCCACCTATGAGTGAGAACATGCGGTGTTTGGTTTTTCGTCCTTGTGATAGTTTGCTGAGAATGATGGTTTCCAGCTTCATCCATGTCCCTACAAAGGATATGAACTCATCATTTTTTATGGCTGCATAGTATTCCATTGTGAATACGTGCCACATTTTCTTAATGCAGTCTATCATTGTTGGACATTTGGGTTGGTTCCAAGTCTTTGCTATTATGAATAGTGCCGCAATAAACATGCGTGTGCATGTGTCTTTATAGCAGCATGATTTATAAAACCCTAGAAGAAAACCTAGGCAAGACCATTCAGGACATAGGCATGGGCAAGGACTTCATGTCTAAAACACCAAAAGCAATGGCAACAAAAGACAAAATTGACAAATGGGATCTCATTAAACTAAAGAGCTTCTGCACAGCAAAAGAAACTACCATCAGAGTGAACAGGCAACCTACAGAATGGGAGAAAATTTTTGAAATCTACTCATCTGACAAAGGGCTAATATCCAGAATCTACAATGAACTCAAACAAATTTACAAGAAAAAAAACAAACAACCCCATCAAAAAGTGGGCAAAGGATATGAACAGACACTTCGCAAAAGAAGACATTTATGCAGCCAAAAGACACATGAAAAAATGCTCATCATCACTGGCCATCAGAAGAATGCAAATCAAAACCACAATGAGACACCATCTCACACCAGTTAGAATGGCGATCATTAAAAAGGCAGGAAACAACAGGTGCTGGAGAGGAAGTGGAGAAATAGGAACACTTTGACACTGTTGGTGGGACTGTAAACTAGTTCAACCATTGTGGAAGTCAGTGTGGCGATTCCTCAGGGATCTAGAACTAGAAATACCATTTGACCCAGATATTTCTTATCACATGCTATTTTTGTAGACAAGAAAATAATTTTATTTTGGAAATAATTAAATATGACTATTGCTTTACATTCTGTGTACATGTTGTTACTATCAAGATATTTATATAAAGACAATGACAATCTTCTGAGAGTTAAACAGATGGATTAAGTGGATAGTTCATTAAATTAAATACATACGACAAGGACTAGGTTAAAAGTTATCAAACCATTTTTTAAAACAAGAAACCAGTGTAAAAGTAACCAGGTGTCACTAAGTGTTACCTTTGTCTGAAAACTTGGTCATAGTGTAAGTAGGAAGAACATAGTTAATGCCTTATGATAAAACAACAACAAAAAAATTCATAGTTTCATTACACTTACCACCCTTCAAAATTCCTAAAGTAATATAAATGTTAGATCTTTCCTTACCTGGCTGTTGGTTAACACTTTTATAATTTTTGAAATAGTTTTTTTTTTCTTTTTTTCTTTTAAGAGATCCTACTCTTTTTTTTTTTTCTTTTAAGCGATACGGTTTCACTATGTTGCCCAGGCTGGACTCAAACTCCTGGAGTCAAGTGATCCTCCCAGCTCAACCTCCCAGATAGTTGGGACTACAGGCCCATGCCATCGTGCCCAGCTGAGATGGTCTTAAAACATGAATATAAAATTATACAAATGAAAGACTGTATAAAGTATATAAATGAATGTATAAATGAAATGATATTTTATTGCAAGTAAAAATATCCTTCTTAAATCTCATCTGAAAAAATTAAACTAGACTTATATTCTAAAAGTCAAATGACTTGAAAAGTTTGAAGCCAAGAAATTTAGCATACATTCACTACACAAATATTTATTTTCAGGTACTAGACTAGGTTTAGTGATTGAATGGTGAGCAAAACAATGATCCCTTCCCTCACAGGAAGTTTATAATCTATGGGGGAAAGAAACAACAAGCATGGAAACAAATACTACTATGATATAGATGTCTCAGTTCATTTGGATTGCTATGACAAAATGCCGTAAACTGGGTAATTTATGAATAACAGCCATTTATTTCTCATAGTTATATAGGCTGGGAAGTCTAAGATCAATGTACTGGCAGATTTTAGTGTCTGGTGAGGGCTCACTTTCTGGTTCATAAAAGGTAACTTCTAGCTGTGTCCTTATATGGTGGAAGGGGCAAGGTAGATCTCAGGGCTTCTTTTATAAGAGCACTGTAGTAGTTTTTCCTTACGTTCAGGAGATATATTCCAAGACCCTCAGTAGATATATGAAATTGCAAATAGTACCAAACCCTACATATACTATGTTTTTTCTATATGTACATATTTATGATAAAGTTTAATTTGTAAATTAGGCACAGTATGAGATTAACAATAATTAATAATGAAATAGAATAGTTATAAAAATATAATGTAATAAAAGTTACATGAATGTGATCTCTCTCACTCAAAATATCTTATTGTACTGTCCTCACCCTTCTTCTTGTAATGTGAGATGATACAATGCCTGCATGATGAGATAAAATGAGGTGAATGACGTAGGCACTGTGACATAGCTTTTGGTTACTATTGATCTTCTGAAGATATATCAAAGGGAGCATCATCTGCTTTGGGTGATCCTGGATCATCAAGCCATGATGATGTCAGGAGCAGATGGTGTCAATGATTAATAGGTAGGAAGTATAGACAGCATATACATGTGGATACACTGGATAAAGGGATGATTTATGCCCCAGTCAGGACAGAGCAGGATCGTAGGCGATTTCATCATGCTCCAATCAAGGGTATAATTTAAAACTGATGAAAGTTTATTTCTGGAATTTTCCATTTAATATTTTCAGACAAAAAGCAAAACTGTAAATAAGTGGGGACTACTGTTTTCCCATTCATGAGGACTCTGCCCTTGTGATCTAATCACCTCCAAAAGCTACATTTCTTAATATCATTATATTGGGGGCTAGGTTTCAACATATGAATTTTTGAGGGATACAAACTTTCAGACAATAGCAATGGGAAACTAAAAAAGAATTTTGAAAGAGAATAACTACTGGTTCCTAACTTAGATTGGAGGAGTCTCAAGAAAGCCTCCTATCGAAGGTGGCATGTGAGGTGAGGACTGAAGGATGAGAAGAGGAAGCCAAAAGAACTATGGTGGGGAAAAGCATTTCAGCCAGAAGAAACGAGAAAGTTATGATGATGGGATATGAGAAAATATGGTCTGCCAGAAACAAAGTCTATTGTGCTGGAGTAATGTATACAGTAAGCAAGAGGAAAATGATGACAGATGGGATTCAAGATAATGAGGAAGATAATGAGGAAGGTCAAGTCACACAAGAGCTTGAAGATCAAGTTAAGAAGTGGACAGTTTTACCAGTGTAGTGGGAAGTCTTTGATTTTTTTTTTTTTTTGAGATGGAGTCTGAGGCTATCCCTCAGGCTGGAGTGCAATGGTGCCATCTCAGCTCACTGCAACCTCTGCCTCCCAAGTTCAAATGATTCCCCTGCCTCAGCCTCCCAAGTAGCTGGGATTACAGGCATGTGCCACCATGCCCTGCTAATTTTTGTATCTTTAGTAGAAACGGGGTTTCACCATGTTGGCCAGGCTGGTCTTGAACTCCTGACCTTGTGATCTGCCTGCCTCGGCCTCCCAAAGTGTTGGGGTTACAGGCGTGAGCCACTGCAACTGGCCTGAATATTTTAAAGCAGAGAAATAATATGACCCAATTTACATCTTGCAAAGATCACTGTGGCTGCTGGGCAGAAATTGGGTTAGAGGGAGTCAAAAGTGAAAGCAAGAAGACTGTAAAAGGCAGCTACAATGGTCCAGGTAAAAAGTAATGATAGTTTGGAAAAGACTGGTGGCAATAGAGCGGGGGAGAAATGGACGGGCCTGATAAATATTTTGCAAGTAGAATAGATGATACTTGCAATAGAACGGATCAGCGGAGTTTGAGAGAAATGGAGCTGTTAACAATTAATCCCAGGATTATGGTCGGATAGTGAGATTAAAGTGACTGAGGAAGAAATTCATTTGAAAGGGAAAAATCAAGAATAAAGTTTTGAGCAAATTAAACTCAAGATGCCTTTGAAACATCAAAACAGACATGCCAAGAAGAGTGCTAGTACATCAATCTGGGGCTCAGAAGAGATCTCAGTTGGAGATATAAATCTGAGAGCCACAGCATAAGATTGAATGTAAAGAGGTCCTTTGTGACCTTTCTGAGAACAGTTTTAGCAGAGGCGGGAGGTGGGTAGGCAGGTGCCAGATTGCAGTGGGTTGAAAGGAAGTTGAGGCAATAGACAACAGATATAGATTATCCTTTCAAGTACTTTGGAGAAAAAGAAAGAGAGATTAGGAAAAAACCTTCAGGGAAATGTGGGGATAGAGTGGAGGTGTTTTAAGATGAGAAGAGTTTTCAGCTTGTTTACAGGCTGTGAGAAAAGAGGTAGACAGGGCAGGATTGAGGATCTGAGAGCTCAGGGGTGAGGTATGTGTGTGGACTAGAGATAATCAATTTCCAGAGGAGGAAGAAAGAGATGGAATTCTAAGCACAGCGGGCAGGGCCAGCCTAAGAAAGGAATAGAAACACATCTTCCTGTGAAATACAGAGAACTAACTCGGAATGGTGGTGAAGAATAAGAAAGTTTAAAGAAGATAAGTGAAAATGAGAGATTTCAGGCCTGAAATGGCTTTTTCTTTTATTATTATTATTTTGGTGTGGTGAGGTGACAACATCTACTGTAAATGAGTGGATGAGATTAAGGTCCGGATCTTTTTTAATCTGCACTACCTGATTCCTTCATCATTATTACTCCAAGCTCTTTCCACATCCATGATGCTTGTGGCTATCAAACCCTCACATGATACTGCTATTGATTTCAAATTCCAAATACGCTTTAGACTAAATTCCTTGATTGATTTTTGTATATGCCATTAACTCCTTTTATAGCATCCCAGGGCTACAGAGCTATTAATCTGCTCCAAGTTCAAGCAAACTTTCAATTTAACAAGCCTTTATGGCTTTTTCAATTTTACTTGATTAGATGACATCAAGTTAAACAAAACATCTTTAATTTGTCTCAAAGGACCCAACCAAGGAAAACATTTTGCCAGCCTTGAGATTGTGATGGGAGAGCATACGAACTAGTGGATTTTGTGATGCAGGCAAAGTTTCCACTCTGTTGGTCACAAACGTACGATTGGTTCAATCTTACATCAGTGGGATGTCTACCTTATCATTCTTATTTCCCGACTGACACTAGAGCCTCTCATTTGTAATCACTTTAAGGCTCAGTATAGTCTTGATACACTGTCAAGTCAGAAAGAGCTGTTTCAGAAAATAACACGTTTCTTTGTGAAAAGTTAAAAAAATACATGAATAATCTATTCAGTATTTATTAAAACCTAGCAACATATTGATTATGTACTTAGGTAGAAACAAGCAAAGCTCATTGAAACTCCACATTGGCATATGCTAATTCACTTTTTAAAATTATTATTCTTAACATTTAGGAACTCTACATTGGTTTATCTATTGTTAATAAGGGATTCATTTTAAGTAAAATGTTGAAGTTAAATTATGCTGTCATCAGAAGCTTCTCTTTTTAAGGGTAACATCAATAGAATCAAGGCCTGCCTGGTTTTCTGCATCCACAAGCTACCTTCTCTCTGTAGCTGCAATTGTTTGACCCTTGATCTAAAAGCAACATTCAGCTTCTGGGATCTATACTGAACTTTATCAGGGATAGTTTAGGAAATACAGACCAGTCTTTGGTTGAGTCAGCATTTCCAACCTAGCCAAGAGTGTTTCCAGTTAACACTATACTTCTAATTATTATTATTATTGTTGTTGTTGTTGTTGTTGTTGTTGTTTTGAAATGGAGTCTCACTCTGTCACACAGGCTGGAGTGCGGTGGCGTGATCTCAGCTCACTGCAACCTCTGCCTCCCAGGTTCAAGCAATTCTCCTGTCTCAGCCTCCTGAGTAGCTGGTACTACAGGTGCATGCCAGCACCCAGCTAATTTTTGTATTTTTAGTAGAGATGGGGTTTCACCATATTTGTCAGGCTGGTCTCGAACTCCTGACCTCAGGCGATCCACCCTTCTTGGCCTTCCAAAGTGCTGGAATTACAGGTGTGAGCCGCCGTGACAAACCTATACTTCTAATTATTGATGCCATGGTCCCTTACGCACCTGTTGATTCAGGATTCCATGATGAAGAGAAGAACACTTGGGCTTGAATTCTTACTCCATTACTTTTTTTGCCCTGTGACTCTGGGTAAGTCATTTTACTTCTTTGAGCCTCAAGTATATCATCTCTCAAGTGTTGTTACAAATACTTATGTCACAAAGGTGTTATATAATACCCAGCTTTAGTCATGCAAATCTTTCTCCTAAGTTCCTGCCTCTGTAGACTCCTCATTATCCAAATTCTTACAGTCAAGAGTTTTTGCTTTGTTTTAGGTAAGTATCTAGGAATTGTAGTTCTGTGACCAGCTGCTGGATCACTTTGATGATAATTACCATCTTTTCAAATTTGTACATATTAGCTTATTTTAGTGTCTCAGTTACTGTGTTCATCTATATGTCTAGACAACTAGTTGCATCTTGCTAAACTGCCTCAATGATTGTCATATGCCTGGGTCACCACCTATTATCTGACATCATATTTGATGATTACTTTGGGCTATCTGGGTGCCTGGGCTTCCCTCATCCCTTCCCCACAAAAGTTACATTTAATTTCTGCTTCATTTATAGTTTTGATCATTATATGTTATATTAAATGGACTTAAAGTCATCTTTTAAAAATATGATTAAAGAAATCTTCAAACTTAAAGAAAAATATCAACCTATAATAGAAAAACTCAGTATCCATCATAAATAAAATATGCATTTTGGGAGAAAGTGTTGATAATTTTAGAACTTACAATTTACAACACAGAATCAATTTCAAGTATTTGTCAAAATTCACTGCTCCTTTAAGCAAATGATACAATTCATAAGGTCTTGGAATTTCAAGAGGTTGCTGTATGTCAATATTCTCCAGCAGAAGCCAAGGTAAAAAAATCACAAAGTCAATGGAAGAGTGCTCAAGGGTAACAAACAACTAATATGTATGGGAAATCCATGAGTTATCCTTCTCTTTCTATATCAGTTCCAAAAGTAATGATTTACTTGTCGAACTAATGTTCTGCCTTATTTATAAAATGTTATTAGCTACTAGTATATGATTGGGTTTACATAGTTCATTCCTATGATTTGAATGTGGTCATTTTTGATATCTGAACCAAAAGTTACCATCAATACTTTATATATAAACACCTTTCAATACTTAATAACTTCTTTATATGATGAGATTTAAAATTAGAATATTGATTAGAGAATATTTCATGAATTTTCTTGTTCATTCTAGGTTTTAGTGGTAGTAGGTCAATGTCTATGTGTAAACTTGTAATTATATCTACATTAACACCTTCATCTATTTCCATATATACAGTGGAACTAGAAAGTTAATGTAATTGCTCAGTAATGAGACACTACTCTTCAACAATACTATAGAATCACCTGGAATTTTTCCATTTTCCTTTACTTTCTTAATGTTTAGATCTAGAAAGTATTTTAGACTATCTAAATAAACATCTGTCAATTTCTAACATTACATTAAGTGGTACTATAGTAATGTTCTGATTAGCTACTGCATTTTTTTGCACCTCTGAAAACCAAGAAATGGCTTAGCTTTGGTATTCACAATTAATGGTCTCAAATACCTATAGGCTGATGGCTGAGAAATAATCACAAAAAGATAGTCAATCAGACTAAATCTTCATGACTAAAATATTTGAATTGTTAAGAAAGCGCCATCCTGGCTAACAAGATGAAACCTCGTCTCTACTAAAAATACAAAAAATTAGCTGGGCGTGGTGGCGGGCGCCTATAGTCCCAGCCAGTCTGGAGGCTGAGGCAGGAGAATGGCGTGAACCCGGGAGGCGGAGATTGCGGTGAGCGGAGATGGCGCCACTACACTCCAGCCTGGGCGACAGAGTGGGACTCCGTCTCAAAAAAAAAAAAAAAAAGAAAAAAGAAAAGAAAACAATCAGTGAAAAAGCAGCCCAAGAGGACAAACGAAAATTAGTCACTAGACTTAAAAACCATTAAGTCTTTGGCACAAAGCATAAGCCCCATGAGTGCAATTTATCATCTTTTTCTTTTCATGAGGAAAGACACATTATTCACACAAGACACCAACATAATGTTTTTCTAAAAGACAATTTACAATAGTTTAGGTCAACAGATGATAGAACCCAAAACAATCTCACAAACTCTTTTCATATTAAAATGTCTTTCCTTTCTTTTTAATGCAGCTTGGATATTGGAAGGCTTTGGGAGAAACTACGTTCTGAGAAGGAGAAAGTATGAGTTTATAAATTGTTGAGCTAAAATAAGTGAACTTTCCCTAATTGTTCAAAATGATAACTTCATTGAAATGACCCTTGAGCTACCAATATAAACCCTTTGAAAACTTATCAGGCAAGCGCAGCTAGAAAATCCTGGTGCTAATTAACTCAGTGAGAAGTTGAATTCAACTGGGTCAAGGAAGAATCCCTCTTTTTCATTCCCCTGTCCAAGTAACTCACAACTTTCGATCTCCAGGGTGCAGTTCTGCTCATCCAATGGATATCTTCGAAGATCCATCATACATGCAGCTGTGGTTGTGATTCTGATAGAGAGGAGAGAGAAAAAAGAAAACATTACAAAAGTGATGACATTTCATTTCCAGGCTTCCTAGCCCCAAATCATGTTTACCAGTTGGCAGAAACAAGGCATCAAAATTTTGTGAGATTTTAAGAAACTATTATGAATAATTATACGTCAACAAATTGGATAATCTAGATGGACAGGTGGAAATGGATAAATTTCTAAAAACATACAACCTACCCAAACTGTGTCAATAATAAATAGAAATCTGAACAAACCAATAACGAACAAGGAGAGTGAATCAGTGATTAAAAACTTTCCAACAAAGAAAAGCCCAGGGCCAGATGGTTTCATGGATGAGGTCTACCAAACATTCAGAGAAGAACTAATATTAACCTTTCTTAAACTGTACCACAAAATAGAATAGGGAAAACTGCCAAATTCATTTCATGAGGCCAGCTTCACTCTAATTCCAAAGCCAGACACACAATACAAGAAATGAATAGTACAGGCCAATATCCCTGATGGAATTAGATGCAAACATTCTCAATAAAATACTAGCAAATGAAATTCAACAGCATGTCAAAACAATATACACCATGACCCAGTGGGATTTATTACTGGGATGCTAGGATGGATATGCAACAATCAACAACACATACAAATCAATCAATGTGATACAACATATTAATAAAATAAAGACCACACTATCATCTCAATAAATACAGAAAAATTAAAGCTTTTCCTCTAAGATCTGGAAGAAGGCAAGAGTGCTCACTCTTGGCCCTGCTAGTCAACATGGTACTGAACTCCCAGAGAGAGGGAGAGAGATTATGCATATATATACAAGTAAATGTATATGTAAATATATCAGTGTGTGTATGTATATACACACTTATACAGTATACTGTAGTACAGTACATATGCTGTGTACATAAAGTACTACAGTATATTCAGAGCCCTTTCATTTGAAAAAATAAAATGGAAAACAACACAAATGCCCACAAAAGGATGATTAGAAAATGAATTATGGCATTTCCACACAATTGTAGTACATTTTTAAGGATAGCTTATTATTTATTAATACAGAAGCAAATTCATGATGCATCGTTAAATAAAATAAGCAAGGTGCAGAGTAGTGTGTGTGGTAGGCTACTATCTTGAGAGGTTTTCTCCCTAAGAAGACACAGCTGTGCTTCTATTTGCATAGAGTATTTTTAGAAAATTTCAAATTGTAGCTCCTGGAGATTAAGATAAAAAAGAAACCATTTAATTTGAATTTTTGTGTTGTTTAACTTATGATTACACTTTATGGGGAGGACCGTTACATTTTTAAAAGTTCTTTGTCAATTCAAAAGTGAATCAAAAACTTGTAAATGTGGACTCACCATCTGAATTTTAGTTACTCTCACACTTCACTGACCAGAAAAACATCCCAGGCAAGAGAAAATGGAGAGATAATGAAGTCCAGATAGGATATGTAGAGTTAGGGTCCTTGAGTTTGAATAAACACAAAAGCTCAACTGGGAGTGGTGAATATGGTATGAACTCTCATCCTAGGATAGTGTTTCTTCCCTGCTTATATGCTACCTGCTGAATGTAAGTGGACCAGAGTTTCAGAGATAAATCTTACAAATCTCTCTAATAGTGGGAAGTGTGAGGCACCATCAGTCACAGAAGGCTGGTTTTGTTGTTGTTGTTGATGATGATGATGATGATGTTGTATTTTGCTGCAGCAAGAGAGGAAGATATGCTTTTATGTATAACGTAGATTCCTCCCATTCACAAATTCTGCAGATAGTAGCACAGACATTGCTAAGGTGATAATAAAAATGGAAAGGGTCATGAGATAATAACAGCTATAATAGTGATCATCATTTGGGGAGCACTTCTTAAGTATGGGGCACTGGGCTAAAAGCTTTGCATACATTATCTCTTTTAATTCTCACAGCAATGCTGTGTAGTAGGTGCTTTGATTAATGAGAGGACTGAGCTGCAAAAAGATAATTTAATTAATGCAAACTCACACCACTTATGGGCAACAAAGTTAAGACTCAAACTCAATCTGCCTATCTTTAAAATTTTTAGTCACAAAATATTTTAATAGCTTTACTGGGATATCATTAAAATATGGCTATTGCAAATGATAAATTTGTTACGTAAGTTATGAAAGTAATGTAATCCTCAACAAATATTAGCAAACTAAATTCAATAGCACATTAAAAGGATTATGTACAATGACCAAGAGGGATTTGTTACTGGGATACAAGGATGATTCACCGTATGTGAATATATATATATATCAGAGTATTTTTGAGGCTTCCAAGGTGAGTTATTGCTTTGGTCATTTGCGCTAAACTATCAGCAATAAAGGCTTCTTTTTCCTAAAGGAAAAAGAAAAACCCTACCTCTTTCCAATTTTCCTTTGGCTTTCATTATGAAAGATGAAAGCTCACAGATATGAACATTTTCACATACCTTTTGAAGCCTTTCTTAGGACATTGGTTAATTTACTTGAATTTATTTAAGCATTACATCAGAGCAAAAGGAATTTTCAAGTTTAATTAAATTTTTTTTCAAAATGTTTTACAAAACACTATGCTTTCTGTTCCTATGATCATATGGGTTAATTTATTCACTTTATTAAGTGTATCTTTTGTTGTCTAAAAATACAGTTCTGCAACATTCTTTTTTTTAGTCTCATAGTGATTCAAACACCCTAAATAAAACACCCACAATAAATATTAAAAATTCATTTGTCTGCTATACTCTTTTACCATATTCTTTGTTTAACAGCTTCTTATGAATTAAAAAATTGTCAAGAGGGGAATATTCTCTGGGAATTACTAAAATGTGGCAAGTCCTGTGATTCTACAATTTAGCTGATGCTTTTCAGTCAGAGATGATTTTGCCTCACTGGGGACATTTGGAAATATATCTGGACCTAAAAGTTTGAAACTGGAATCTAGTAGATGGAGCCCAGAGATGCTGTTAAACATCCTACCATGCACAGGACAGTCCCCAACAACAAAGACTTAGCTTTTCCAAAATGTCAATGGTGCCAAGGTTAAGACATCCTGCTACAATGATGGTTTACAAATTTGATAAGGGACCTCAGTATGTAAAGTACAAATGAAATAAATAAAAGCCATATTTTGTTAATATAAAATCACCTTGTAAGTTCTAATGTTGATCCATTTTAATGGGCACATACATATAAAAGCAGGGATTATGATGAGAATTATGGTTTTAAGCCTCTGTCATTACCAATTTATTTTTTATTGCATTTTATTTATACAGCATTGAGAAAATCCTTATAAATAGTGAAGTACTTGCTTCTAAATTCTTAAATAACCAAGCAAAGGCTACCCTGAATTGGGAAAACAGGAACAACAACAGCCCCAACCCCTGTGCCAAGAAATCACCTTTATAGTCAATGATACCACTGCAAATGGTTTAGGAACACCCATAAATTGTTGGTCTCTAGAAGTACTTAATGATGGATTAAAGGCAAGCTTTACTTGGTGCTCAATGCTCTGCATAATTTAACCTGGCAGCACAAGTTAATATAGTGATCTTGAATGTGTTAACATGGGGCATAGGACATTCTCATATTTATTGCAACATATTCACAATAGCCAAATATGGAATCAACCTAAGTGCCTATTAACAGATGAATGGAGAAAGAAAATGTGGTAGATATGGACAATGGGATATTAGTCAGCCATAAAAATGAAATCCCGTCATATGCTGCAACATGGATGGAACTGGAGGCCATTATGTTAATTGAAATAAGCCAAGCACAGAAATACTAATATTGCATGTTCTAATGCACATGTGAGAGCTAAAAAAATGGATCTCAAGATAGAGTGTAAAGTGGTAGTTACCAAAGACCTAAAAAAGGGAGTGATGAAAGGAAAAATAAGCATATAGTATATTAATTACCACCAAACTATACATTTAAATGTAGTAAAGATGGTAAATTATATATGTATATTTTACCTCAATAGAAAAAGCACCTAAGACATTTAAGAAAGTAACATAGGACAGGTGATAGTGTAATGCTTCTTATTATAGTTTAAAATATTTATTATATAATTTTTAAGTTTTATTTTAGGTTCTTGGGTACATATGCAGGTTTGTTATACAGGTAAATTGCATGTTACAGGGATTTGGTGTACAGACTATTTCACCACCCAGGTAATAGTCATAGTATCCAATAGGTAGTTTTTCGATCCTCACCTTCCTCCTTCCCTCCACCTTCAAGTATGCCTCAGTGACTGTTTTTCCTTCTTTGTGTCCATATATATTAATATTTAATGTTTAGCTCCCACTTATAAGTGAGAACATGTGGTGTTTGGTTTTCTGTTCCTGTGTTAGTTCACTTAGGCTAACGGCTGCCACCTCCATCCATGTTGCTGCAAAGGACATGATCTCATTCTTTTTTAAGGTTGTGTAGTATTCCATGGTGTATATGTATCACATTTTCTTTATCCAGTCTACTGTTAATGGGCACTTAGGTTGACTCCATGCCCTTGCTATTGTGAATAATACTAAGATGAACATATGTGTGTATGTATCTTTAAGGTACAATGACTCATATTCCTTTTGGCATATACTCAACAAGGGAATTGCTGAGTCAAATGGTAATTTTGCTTTGAGTTCTTTGAGAAATCACCAAACTGCTTTCCACAATGGCTGAACTAATTTACATTTCCACCAGCAGTGTATAAATTTTCCTTTTTCTCTGCAACCTTACCAGCATCTCATATTTTTTTACTTTCTAATAATAGCCATTCTGACTGGTGTGAGATGGTATCACATTGTGGTTTTATATGCATTTTTAATGATTAGTGAAGTTGAGCATTTTTTATATGCTTGTTGGATGCGTGTATGTCTTCTTTTGAAAGGTGTTCATGTTCTTTGCCTACTTTTAATGGGTTTGTTCATTTTTTGCTTGTTGATTTCTTTAAGTTCTTTATATATTCTGGATATTAAACCTTTGTCAGATGTGTAGTTTGCAAAATTTTTCTCCCATTCTATAGGTTGTCTGTTTGTTCTGTTGATGAACAACATTCTAATGATGTTTTGCTGTGCAGAAGCTCTTTAGTTTAATTAGGTCCCATTTGTCAATTTTTGTTTTTATTGCAATTGCTTTTGCTGTCTTCATCACGAAATCTTTGCCAGATCCTCTGTCCAGAATGGTATTTCTGAGGTTGTCTTCCAAAGTTTTTCTTTTACATTTAAGTCTTTAATCCATCTTGAGTTGGATGGCCCCACACATGATTTTCTAAAGCATGATTCTAGAAAAGATGTGATTATAAGGGCATCCTGATTTTCTGTTTAAATGTGGATGAAAAATAGGAACTATGGTGTAAGAAAGGAGTGTAATTTCAATCTTCTGGATATGGCTAGCCAGTCATCTCAGAATCATTTATTGTATAGAGAGTCCTTTCCCCATTGCTTGTTTTTGTCAACTTTGTCAAGCATCAGATGGTTGTAGGTGTGCAGCAAAAAGTAACAATAGTTTTAAATAAAATTAGAATCCAATATTTGTGGCACCATTAAAGAAAAAGCCTTAGGGATACTTGAGAGTGTTATTTGAGCACCACTGGTCAGCACATCTCACTTTATTTAGTCCATTTTCAGAAAAAATGTCATCTGGTTAGTTAACCACTCCATTATTAAATCAGGACATGCATTGAAATATAATATTGAACCATTGATTCAGAATTGTGAATTACAATAGCTTTTACAAAGTAGTTTACATAGCCAATTTAGCATTGTCTACAAAATAACTAGTTAATGTCTCATGTGTATGGGTACTTAGAGTTGTGAGTAATTTTTAAAAAACCCAACTTTTAGGAAGCATAACTGAATTTACTGTTGCTAGCCATTATGACCAATCTATTCAACAATCAATAGTTATAAGGAATATAAATGATATCACCTAGGGAAACTATATGTCACACCAAGACTTTACCATAACTCATTGTTTTTTAAACTACGATCACCTCGGCCAATTTACTTTTATTCCTCCCAAATCCCAATATAATATTAAAGAGAATTGAGTAATCATCACAACTTAGCAAGAGAAGAAATCAATAGCTCTAAGAACTTACTCTTAAAAAGTCATCTGATTTCCTTTGGAAAGTACTGAAACAACTTCCGTCTTGGAATATATATGTTCCACATTTCAGACTCACAGGAGGATTTCACTGGTCTAACTTGAATTAGGTACCAACTCTCCCACAACTATTTAGTAAGGGTTGGAGGACAGCACTAATACACAAATACAAATATGGTCACCAAAGACCCACAGGACTCTCTGAGAAGGGAGGAATTATTGAGACTCAGACAGGGCCTCCCACACAAGCACATATTCATGAATCTATGTTAGGCTATAGAAATCTGTGTAATACAGTGTTGAACTCTGCTGATTTAGGAGTTTGGCATTTCTAGATTCTGTAATGCTTATGGTTAAGTGAGCTGAGTGTATGAGCTCTTTGTGAGAAAAAATTGTTCAGCAAGAATTCCCCAGATCATCAACAAAAAGAGAGATGTCCCTGGGCAGAGTTCTGTTCAGCTCTCTTGTCTTCTGGGTGAGAAGCAACAATGAGTATCTCTAAGAATGATTGCTCTTGTATTTCCATTTGTTCTCCTTGCCTAATATGACTGCTTCACAGTTGTTAGTCACTTCTACCATTAATTAACACATCCACATGGAAATGTACTCACACTGTGGCTGAAACTGGCTGATTATAAATTGAAAAGATTGAATTGTTAATTCTGTCTTTAGTTTTTTAAACTCAAGATTTTCATTCTGGTGTGTGAAAATATTTTTGTTGGTGGATAGCAAATGAAAGTATAGGATGGTAAAACCAGCTAAAGGCAAAAGCATTAACTGACTGTTCTTCTGCAGAGAGATTTCCCAGAGGTAGACTCATGACAGCATAACATTCATCTGTCTTCTTTCAAAGACATTTAGAATGGATTACATTATAATCCCAATTTATTGACATTTTGAAAGTTAGGTCAGAACACTATAATGGGCTATTAGTTAGAAACTATGGTCTCATGATACTTTGGAATGAACAGAAATCATGTCACTGTAGTATTCATTTATTAAGGTTAATGATGCATGGTCATTGGCCTTAGGAGTCATTGTAATAGCAAATCATGTATATTTAATGTCTGAAGGTGGCATGATTCTAATTGCTGACAAAACATAATCCAAAAGCCCTGGCCCATAAGTATCTTGAAACCTAGGTTTTTACACACACACACAAATACACACGTGTGCACACATATACACATGGAGAGGGTACATTTGCAAATAGCAATGTGAACTTAAATTAACAAATTATGTATGCTCAGTTGAGGTTTTCCTATAATCATGAATTTTATCAGGAAGAACTCCCAAGTTTTAAACCCCATCTCTGTATAACATAATTGTACAGTTTAATAGAATCTGTATGAAAGAAAAATGTGAAAGAAAATCCCCTAAAAATGCTGAACCCTATTTATACTCCTAATATTGGTGAAATTGAGAGTGAGTAGCTGTTACAAGATTGATATCAGTATCACTCAATAGAGTGTTTGAAGAATGGCTTGTTTAGCCTCTTGGATACACCTTTAATTCATGTTAGTTACATTACACAAAGAAACTGATGAGAGAAGATGGATGGGTTAGTCTAAGTTATGACTAAAGAGTACATAGATTTTTTGCAGCTAATACTCATTAACTGCTCAGTGCAATAGGGTGAAAAGAATTTGCATTATCTTCATAGTTGTGACAGGATTTTGGCTAGTCTGTTTAGAAAAATACATTGGTATTTGAAGGTGAAATCCTGGGAGCGTGAGACATAAATGATAAGGAAACCAAAGGAGATAAACTGTTTTGTGAGATTTAAGAGGAATTTAGGTGTGAGGAAGCAAAATGTTGGAGTAGTAAAAAACTTTAAAGAACGGTCATATTGATATTTAATTTTAAAATTTTTGCGGTGCAATCATAATACATTTTCTGTATTTACTCAAACAAAGCCTGATACACACCAAGCATGCCTGTATGCACGCGCACACACACACACACACACACACACACACACACAAGCCTTGGGTAAATGTTTTATTTTTATACTTGGAATACTGGGAAGGGGCTGAACTTCTTATCCTGACAGCATTATTGGAACAGTAGTCTATAAACTGAAGCAATTCAAAGCCAGAGATTACATAAGCCCTTTGGAAAGCCTCAGCAATCTCGGGGAGGGCATTGGACTCCCACAAATAATGGATTGCGGGTTCAAGCTACTCTTACCTAGATCTAAAGAGGCAGAGTTACTTTGGCTAGTAGTATGTTAGAATCCTAGATGACAGGCACTGTACTAAGCACCTCACATACAGTATTAGTTTCCTCTTGCTACTGTAACAAGGTACCACAAGCTTAGTGGCTTAAAACAACACAAATTTATTCGCTTACAGTTCTGTAGATCAGAAGTCCTAAAATCAAGGTGTTAGCAGGGCTGTGTTCCTCCTGGAGGCTCTAAGGGAGAACTTATTTATCTGCCTTTTTCAGCTTCTAGGGGGCATTTGCATTCCTTGGCTTATGGACCCTTCCTCCATCTTCAAAGCACATCTCACTCTCCTGCTTTCCTTTCATAAGAACCCTTGTGATTACATTGGGCCCACTAAGATATTCCAAGATAATCGACTATCTTTTTTTTTTTTTTTTTTTTTTGAGACAGAGTCTCGCTCCGTTATCCAGGCTGGAGTGCAGTGGCACGATCTCAGCTCACTGCATCCTCCATCTCCCAGCTTCAAGAGATTCTCCTGCCTCAGCCTCCCCAGTAGCTGGGATTACAAGCATGAAACACCACGCTTGGTATTTTGTTGTTGTTGTTGTTGTTGTTGTATTTTTAGTAGAGACGGGTTTTTACCATGTTGGCCAGGCTGGTCTCGAACTCCTGACCTCAAATGATCCACCCGCCTTGGCCTCCCAGAGTGCTGGGATTACAGGCGTGAGCCACCGCGTCCTCCAGCGGACTTCATCTTTTTTTCTTTTCATGTTTTTTTTTTTTTTTTTTTTTTTGAGACAGAGTTGCTCTCTGTTACCCAGGTTGGAGTGCAGTGGTGCGATCTTGGCTCACTGCAACCTCTGCCTCCCAGGTTCAAGCTATTCTCCTGCCTCAGCCTCCTGGTCTCAAGTGATCCGCCCACCTCAGCCTCCCAAAGTGTTGGGATTACAGGCGTGAGCCACTGTGCTTGGCCACAGACCTTATCTTAGTTACATCTGCAAAGCCCCTTTTGCCATGAGAAGTAGAATATTTACAGGTCCAGAGAATTTAGGACATGGACATCTTTGGAGGAGAAAGCATTATTTTACCACACGTGCATTATTTATTATTTATAATAGCCTTATTATGTTGAAGCCTTTTCCACTCCAATATCAAAGATAAGAAAATTAACATCTCACTGTATTAATAAATTTTTCCAAGTTTACATAGTCTATGGTAATGCTGAGATTCAAACCCAGATAGACTAGATTCAAGGGTTAAGTTCTCCCCAGTTATTGTAGTTAGGCCAGATGAATCTAAGCAGAGAAGATTTGCTTCAGTAACATTTCTTCCATGAGCAGTTAAACAAAGCACAAATATTAAAAGTTTACCTTACCATATTTTTAGTATTAATTTAGTTATCAGTAATTTATGACATTCATTACCAAATACATAGTGAGTATAAAATGATATATGACTAACCAGGAATCAGGCAATTCTGTAAGCATTGGCTACAGCAATTAAAAACATCCAGCTACATATTCATGCTGTCATATATATGTATATATTTTAATACTGTAAGGTCTCAAGAGAGAAGATGGAGCCACTGTCTACTTGTTTTATAAAATAGGTAAGGTGTGCTTATTTCTCATTTAGAACTATTACCTTTGCCATTTTTTTAGAAATCCAGAGCTCTTACATCAGATAAATATTTACATTATTAAGAAAGCCTAAATATCACTCAGGATTGCAATGCAAGACAGTTTAGTTCTATACTTATTTGGGTGGTGGCAACTTGGACAAAATGTGCCTCAACCTAGGTTTATGATAATTCATGAATGCAGGTATGATGCAGGTGGAATGTGGTATGGAACAGGAAAGAAAAGAGAGTTATTATATGCATGTACAAGTTCAATGCTTGATACACAGTAGGCACTCAATTAACAGTAGCTGCTATCACTTTCAGTCAATATGCTTCCAAAGAAATAAAAAATGCATATAACACTACTATTACAAATACATTATCAGAGTAACATGTGGCCATATTAAAACATCTGGAAAATACAGAAAATTATAGATGAGAGAAAAAATGACCCATAATGACATTATCACAGTTTTATTATTAATTTCTTTTCTTCTTAAAATTGAGATTATATTGTATGTAGCAATTTCATTTGCTACTTTGGTCAACCTATAGGTAAGAACTTTCTTAAGTCTTAGGTATGCTCCATGGACATAATTTTAATGGATACTATACCCTGTGACTTACTTAACAATTCAGCTATTGGGAGATATCATTAAATGTTCTTTAGGATGCTTTAAAAAAATCACACTGAGTAAATAGCATTCTCACTGCTATTCTTATTTTTTGATTCCATATTTCTGCTTTCTTTCCCTCCTCTCTTTTGTAGACTTAGTGCTGAATGCTAATGACACTCTTCTCAGTGCAATCCCAGGCAGTCATTTTCAGCTAATTAGCTACACAGCAAAGGTTGCATAAATGGGCCCATTATTATTCACTTCTGTTGGGGCAGGGTGATTCATGAACCACTTTATAAATATGAAAAGCAGTCCATAAATCAGAGTAGGGGATTGAGGGTGGGCAAAAAAAAACTTTAAAGGATTAATAGGGAATAGAACAATAGTAATTAACAGGCTCATGTCAAAGTTCCAGTGTCAGGGTGAGTCATATTTTACCATGAATGTCTGGCTGAGTTCAAGACATACTATTTTTCCTAAATTGTATCATTATACACATATGTCTATGAAGTGTAAGAGTATGCATTTAATTTATACCATATTTAATACTTCCTATTAACCAATAAGCTGAAATATGTATTAGACTGCAGAAATAAAATGAGGTTGCCCTCTCAAATTAAAGCATCTTTATTCTTATCGTCTTGATTATTAGGAATTTCTGTAGTGGACAAATTGCCAGGACTTGAAACGATAGCAATAGTTTCTTGGTCTTTTGGCTAAGAACAAGTGTGGTATCTTTTCTTAACAATTTAAAACAATAGCAAGCCCTAAGCATTCAGAAACGACCTAGATATTGAAATAAACATAGAAGCCAAAGAAAATGTTTACCTGGAATGGAATGCTCTGACTTGGAATCAGTAAGTACAGGATAACTAAACAAGACTCAGACAGAAGGAAGAGCTAGAGCAAATACATGAATCTCCTTCACAGTTACTACCTTTTTGGTTTATTTGCAAACCAATTCTATTGCTTTGCCACATGATTCTCTTTCCTAGAACAAAGAGCAGACACATTTACTGAAAGGTAATCAGTCATCTTGAAGTGGTATTCCTCAAGGAGTAAAGTAAAATTCAAGAGTGATGGAGTATTAAGATACTGTGTTGTTTGAGAACAATAGCTTTATGCTGAGAAAAAACAAACAAAACCAAAACCAAATAGGACAGAAGAATAAATTGTGCAAAATTCCCAGCTCCCTAAGGGGATAAAAGCAGGCCCAAGACATTTACTTTCTATTCAAATAAGCAATAAAGAAAACAAATATCCTGAAATTAGTGGAGAAATGCTACTTCTAGAGCAATGATTAGCATTGTAGTATGTCTTTTCATTTTTCCCCTATGTGGACTTTTTGCATATTTGTAATCATACTTAGGATTCTGTTTCCTTCGCATTGAATCTTAATATCAGATGCCTTTTCCTCATCGGCATCAGGATTGTAATTTTTTCAATGGGAAACAGTATACTTTAAATTGAACATTTAGGTGGCTTTCAATTTTGTCAGTTTAAAACGAAGCTAAAACATTTTCATGAATATATTATTTTTCCACATTTTGTATTATTTCTCTAGCTAGAATCTAATAAATAAGATTATTATATCCAAAGATACAAAAATGTGTATGTCAAAAATGCTTTCTTCAAGGATTGTGCTAAATTATAATGCAAAATATTATTAATTTTCTTCACTGGTTCTCAGTTGGATATTGTAATATTTTTGTTCATTAAATAGATGAAAAATGGTACTTTTGTGATTTAAATTTTTTAATTACTAACAGAATGAAGTGTTTCTCATGTAATTGTTTACAAGCTGAATTTGAAACTATTCGTTCTCTAGATACCAAAATTATTAGTGATATATCAATATATCAACTTATGACTAAAAGAATATATCAATAATAATATTTTATTAAATATCAGGCAGGAATGAAAAGTATCGCAGTATAGATTAACTTTGCTGTTGTCTTATTCAGTTACTTAGATGAATAAATTTGTGTTGTTGAATTTAATATCTTTGTTGACATATATTTTTATGGTTTATTGTTAAACTTTTTTGGAAGGAGGTATAAGTTATAGAAATAAAAAATTAAAATAAGGCCTGTGTTGCTTTTCAGAGTTCACAATGAACACCATCAAAATCAAGTGAATTGAGAGGTGATCACATATTCTAAAAGACAAAAATAGGAAGGGGATTTTGTATATTTTCAAGTTAATAATTGAGCACTCCAGATATCATACTAACAATAAAACATGATTTCTGTCTCTGCTTTTGTGAGCATAAATCCCTAAAAATGACCACATTTAAAAGCTACAAAACAAAATTAGTTTTATTTTCTATTCATTTTTATAGGTCCAGTGTTAAATAGGTAAATTCTGGAGGGGTCAATATATCAACAAAACACTAGTTTTTTAAAAATAAGAAATACTATTTATTTCTATAACAAAGAAATTATAAACTAATATAATAAGAGATCATTTTCTAGCTGTCTGAGATTGGCCAAGATTGTCTGGTGACATTGGATTTTTTTGTCCCTTTGGGAAAATTAGGAGTCATACTTCTGGTGAGAAAATAAATGGATACATCCACCATGGTAAACATTTTGACAACATATTGATTCAGTGATTACCTCTTGACTCAGCCACTATACTTCTAGTTCCCTACTTGCTACACACAAGGAAACGTAAGTAGAGATGTTCCTCAAGCACTCCTTGTAAAAGCAAAATGAGTAAACACCAAAATGGTCCAGCAAAGCTAAATGGATACACACCTCTAGTGCATATACACTGGATTACTTTACAGCATTTAAAATGAATGAAATAGGTCTACATGTATGAACATGGGTATGTCTTACATAGTGTTGTGTGGAAAACAAACAAACAAAAAAAAGAAGAGATGCTTACAAAAACTACATTTATTTAAAATTTTATAAGAATGAAACATTAGCATATATGTCTTAGGGAATCACATATGTGTAGCAAATTTTTAAAAATGTACACATTGAAAGGATACACAGTAATTTTAGAATAGTGGTTATCTCTGGGGAGGGAGAGGTAGGGGAAGGAAAAAAGAGGATGGGATGAAGGTGGTATTGGATTAATCTATAATTCCTCCTCCCATCCTTGGTTCCTTTCTTCCTTTTTCTCTCCCTCCTTTCCTTCCTCTTTTCCTCCCTCCCTTCTCCTCTCCCTTCCTCCTATCTCTACCCTGCACCTCCCATCTCTACTTCGCACCTTCTATCTCTACCCCGCACCTTCTTCTCACTGTTCCCCTCCCTCCCACCTTAAATCCTCCCCTTCCTCCTACCCCACCCCTCCTCTTCCCATCCCTCTTTTCTTTTTCCTCCCCTTCCCTTCTTTTTTTTTTTTTCTTGTCAATTGTGTTATTTATTTTATTTTATTTTACTTTAAGTTCTGGGATACATGTGCAGAATGTGCAGGTTTGTTACATTCCATCTTTTGTCTATCTTTCCATTGTTCTTTCTTTAAAGGAAGCTGAAGCAAATAGGGCAACATGTTGTTATATTTTTAACCTCTCTGTTACTTTCCAGTTTGATATCCTTAGACAAACAGATAAATTCTCAAATGAAGTTCCTTTTGTAGTACATGAGCATGATGATTTAATTTTCACACACATGTGTAAGACATGCCTCTCTCAAACTTTGTTATGAGGTCAGCACATTACCTTTCTGATATTTAAAAAAAGAAAAATATCCCAAAATATCCCAAAATATCTCCACTTACACTCTTATTTTAAATGTTGCTTTGAACTGGGCATAGCCACCTTCCTGTCCCCAGTTTGAGTTACAACAGGAAAGGTAAAGGAACACAAAGATTATCTCTCCATCACATTGACTCTATACCTAATTGGTATTTAATACTGGGTGATAATTATGATCTTTCAAAATGAGTTCCTTCAATGAAGAAATTCATCAACTTACACGGATCTTGGTGTTTGAAACTGACACATATTTCTCCACATTTCTCATTATTGCAATTACACATTCATTTATTTGATTACTTGCTTCTTGTGTGACTTCCACCTGAACAGATGGTAAGTACCCCATAGGAAATGATCTCATAATGAACCATTTACTAGGGCCCAGCTCAGTGTCTGACACAGAATTGATGTGTAAGGTAATGAAATTAATATGGAAACTAAGGAAACACTGAAATCATTACTTTTCTAAAGAAGAAAGAAGACAACCAGTGTGATATCTTCATTAAAAAATTATGCCACTGTTGCTTGAAAAATATATTCATGGTAAAGATCCATTTTCTTTCTCCTGACTAAATTCTCATTAAAAATCATTTTTAGTCCATTGGTTAAATAAACAACTACAGATCATTGTCAGTTGGACAATTTCCAGGGCCATGAAACTACTAAAAGTATGCTCAAATTAAGCTAGATATTTTAGGAACTCTCAATTGTTAAATTTTAGACACCCTGTGGCTTGAGAGAGAGGCGGCTAAAACACTGGTATACACATCGAATAGTCTAAGCATAAACATGGGTTAAGGTCCTACTTCTCTTGCTATTAAGAATACAAACAGATTAGGGCCTCGAAGTACAAAATGTTGGTTTCTTTTCAAGAAACAAAATGACTGTCCTTGCCAAAAGAATAAATGAATGAGGCCTTCAGTGATTAATCTATGTCTGAGTTTCCTCCCATGTTAAGTGAGTGGACCAGTGGCTGGACTTTTCTATGAGAAAAGGAAGTATTCACATGGTACAAGAGGATTTCTGTTTTTAACCATTAAAACATCATTTTGATTAGTGTCATTAGAATGCTAACTTCATGAACAATTAAAAATTAATATTTTCTGGCAGATTTTAGTAGCTCCATACATAAAATCCAGGGGAAGATAAATGAAGTCATATGGTTCTGATTCACTGCTAGTGTTACAACCCATTGTGAATTTGATCACAATCCAATTTGTACTTCAAATATCATCTAAATTTGCTTAATTTCCATTTGTAACATTGTAAACTGGAAAAATTATGTCAAAAGCAATTTGTTTAGAAAACAATCAACAGAGATAATAGACAGCCTATGAAATGAAAGAATTTGCAAACCAAACATCTGACAAGGGGTTAATATCCAAAATATCTAAGAAACTCATACAAATCAATAGCAAGAAAACAAGTAACCCAATTAAAAGATGGGCAAAGGATTTGAATGGATACTTCTCAAAAGCAGACATACAAATAACCAACATGTATATGAAAAAATTGTTCAATATCACTAATCATTAGAGGTGCAAATTAAAATCAAAATATTACCTCATATCCATTAGAATGGTTATTATCAAAAAGATGAAAGATAAATGTTGGTGAGTTGTGGGGAAAAGAGAAGCCTAGCACACTGTTGGTGAGAATGTAAATTAGTACAACCATTATGGAACCAGGATGGAAGTTCCTCAAAACATTAAAAATAGAACTACCATATGATCCTGCAATCCGTCTACTGGGTAAATAGTCAAAGGAAACAAAATCAGTCTGTTGAAGAGATATCTGCATTCCCATGTTCATTGCAAGGATATGGAATCAACTAAGTGTCCATTAACAGTTGAATGGATAAAGAAAGCATGGTGTACAGATACACAGTGAAATACTATTCAGTCTTAAAGAAGGAAGTCTTGTCATTTACAATAGCATGGATAAACCTAGAGGACATCATGTTAAGTGAAATAAGCCCAGCACAGAACGACAAATGCCACATGATTTCACTCATATGTGGAATCTAACAAGTTAAAGTCATAGAAGTAGAGAATAGAATGCTGGTTACCAGGGACTGGGTGGGGAAAGGGTATTAGAGAGATAATCAGTCACTCTAGTTAATAATAATGTATTCTTGAAAATTGCTAAAAGAGTAGATTTTTAAAAAACGATATGTGGGGTAATGCATATGTGAATTAGAACAATTTAGCCATTCTACAATGTATAGATATTTCAAAATAGCATGTTGTACATAATAAATATAAACAATTTTTGTCAGTTAAAAATAAATGATAAAAAGGTAACTTTAAATAAATCTGATCTTATATTTGTACTTTCAAGACAGAGTAAAAAAATGAAGAAAATAAAGCAATGTTTAGAGAAGCATTAAAACTGAAACATACATGGACATATAGAAAGATATTTCAAAAATAGTTTGTCACAAGAAGTAACTTGATATTATTTCCTATGTAAGTTTTATATATTTTTGATTGGCATTATTAGAATGATATATATATATATAGAGAGAGAGAGAGAGAGAGCACACCTTCAACATTCACCTTAAACATTTAAAGTGTAATTTAAACTATCAACATTGTTCTTTATTAAAGATTAATAATGCAAATTTATTCATGTTTATTTCCATTTGTGTAGAAATACATCATTTACACTGCAAGAAGGCTGTGATTTCTAGAAATCAATTTCAAATAAATTACAAAATGCACAGAGGTTCTGTGCTTTCTTTATAGTAGTCAAACTTTTTAAAATAAAGTTTTAGTAACTAGAAATTCAGAGTAAATAAATGTGCATTTCTTCTCATCTTCCCTTTCCTACCACCACCTCTCAAACTAAAAACAACAAAACAAACCCCTAAATACACTGTATTCATAAAGAACATGTGAGCACATAGCACATACATTGTTAAAGTTAAAAAATGTACTTCTTAACAAGGGAAATGATACATAGAACTTTGCCTAGGTTACATTAAACATAGTTAATTTCTGTGACCATTACACTTCAGAATAATAAAAGTCATGATAAACATTTTCAGGTTTATGGTAACCTGAAATTGGAACCTGAATGTTCCAATTAACTCCAGTAATTAATTAATCTGAATGAAAGGCTCTTTTGGTACCTTGCCTATTTAAATGAATAAACAAATTGTGAAGTCCTATTACACAAGAACTGCGTAAATTAGAGCTACATTTTAGTAGAGATCATTATTATACTGAGTACATTCAAGATCTTGTACCCTGAAAATCTTATTTTTAGACCTAATTGTTAATTAAGAAAATATTGTACAATAAACACATAAAGCCTAATTTTGAATATTCCTTATGCATCATAATTTGGGTTTAAAAACATGAGTCACAGCAAAGGATTCTTGAATTTTGTATATTTTAAAATATTTAAATGCAGTTTATTAAGTTAATATTTGTGAATCTTATATAAATTATTAGTAGTCTTACAGTAAATGATATATTCAGAAATATGCCGAACTTATAATATCACTTATGAAAATAGAAGGTTTTTCTAATAAAAATAAGTAAAAATAACATTCCTCTCTTGAGTCATTTCCTAAAATTTTACATTCAAATTTTCTATAAATAAGTTGCTCCATTTTATAGATAAATGCTACATTTAATACAGCAACTAGAAATAGGAAAATGGAAGAAACGGTACTAAGCACTTTACATATATTATCTTTTTAAATCCTCACAGTATCTCCCCTGTACATTGGGAATTGTTGGATCAAAAGAGAAATCTTAGTATATCAGAGGAGGGAAACATATGACCATGAATCTTGTGCTATGTTTAATCTTGATCTGTGGCAAAGTACATATCCGAATTTATAAACACTCTACATTTCTTTATATTTGTAACTTAGAAAGGGCTTTACCTTTCATTCTGTAGGAAAAAAAATTGTGAAAGATTTTGAAATGAACCAAAAAGATGACCAGATGTCTAGTAGTCAAAATTATCTCACCTTCACTGTCTATGAATTATTTTGGAACTCTCTACATTATTTAAAAATGATAGAAAAGCAACAAATTTCTACCTGTAGAATTGCAGTTGTAATTGATTATTGCCCTGTGGATACTGGCCAATTTTGCCAATTTGCATATATTTGTAAGTGCTTTTCAGTATGCTATGTTTTTTCAGTATACTATGTCTTTTCAGCATGCTTAGTCCTTGGATTCTCCTTTGAATGAGCTGTAGCATCTTAATAAATCTCTCATTAATTAATGGGTTAATTGAAATGTTTTTTTTTTTTTGAGACAGAGTCTAGCTCAGTTGCCCAGGCTGGAGTGCAATGGTGTGATCATGACTCACTGTAGCCTCAACTTCCTGGGCTCAAGCGATCCCCTGACCTTAGTCTCCCAAGTAGCTGGGACTACAGGCACGCACCACCATGCCTGGCTAAATTTTTTATTGTAGAGATGGGGATCTCACTATGTTGTCCAGGCTGGTCTTGAACTCCTGGGTTCAAGCAATCTTCCTGCCTTGAACTACCAAAGTGTTGGAATTACAGGTGTGAGCCACCATGTCCAGTCTTATTAAAATCTTTAATCCATTTTGTTTTATACTTTTACATGAATTTATCTTTTTAAACTGATTGCCCATGAACCATTTTGGAGGTAATCTACTATAATATCCAATGGATTTATTTAACAGAGCCAGGTAAAATATGTTGCCAGAGTAGTGTATCTCATTAGGATACTTAAGGTTGGTGTGTCTTTTTGGTTCCTAGAAATGAAACCTAAGAGTCAACATAACCTAAGTTTGCTGACTGAATTTCTCTATTTTCCTTCCCTCTACTGATTTTTGTTTCTTTTTTTGTTTCTGGTTTGCTTATAGCCACTAATTTATTCTACATTGGTGACAGCAATGACTGGGAATTTGGTTTCATGATCTGATCATCTGGTGATTTATACAAATGGCTAACAGGTTATAGAGATAAGATTTCCATACTCTTTGGGTGACAGATAACAGAGAGACTGGTTTGTTTACATATACATATATACATATGTATGTATCTGTATAGCCTCTTTGTCCATTTTGAGCTTAAATCAATTAAGAATCTTGTATTCAGTGGAATGGAAAGCTGTTTGATATTTGGACTATGAGTTTTTGGGTTTCAATGTTTACTATTAACCTGTGGCAAAAGTGTTGATCTGGATTTATAAGCACACTAAGTGTCTTTGTGCCTGTATCAAAATATCTCATGTACCCCATAAATATATACACCTACAATGTACCCACAAATATTAAAAATAAAAAATTTAAAAAGGTCTTTACCTCTCATTGTATGAGAGCATTGACAAATTACATTATAAAGACTCAATATAAAGGGGCTGTGTCTTGATTGATTTAGATAAATAAGTGCTAATATAAATAAAATATGCTAACATTAATACTACATAATATTTAAGATTATGAAAAATATAAATTTGTGTTTAAATAAACTGGATCATTATTCTGACAAACTTTATGTCAATAGTAATTACGTTTTGTGATATGTCAGCTTGAAGATAATTTTTACAATGTCCCTCTTAAAGCCTAGGACTGATATTGAACTTAATTAATGAATAATCACTGGCTATTTAGATAATTTCTTTGTTTTTTTACTATTAACACTTTTTTAATTTTAATTTTAATTTCATTATTATTATACTTTAGGTCTTAGGATACATGTGCACAATGTGCAGGTTAGTTACATATGTATACATGTGCTGTGCTAGTGTGCCGCACCCATTAACTTGTCATTTAGCCTTAGGTATATCTCCTAATGCTATCCCTCCCCCCTCCCCCCACCCCACAACAGTCCCCAGAATGTGATGTTCCCCTTCCTGTGTCCATGTGTTCTCATTGTTCAATTCCCACCTATGAGTGAGAACATGTGGTGTTTGGATTTTTGTCCTTGCGATAGTTTACTGAGAATGATGAGTTCCAGTTTCATCCATGTCCCTACAAAGGACATGAACTCATCATTTTTTATGGCTGCATAGTATTCCGTGGTGTATATGTGCCACATTTTCTTAATCCAGTCTATCATTGTTGGACATTTGGGTTGGTTCCAAGTCTTTGCTATTGTGAATAGTGCTGCAATAAACATACGTGTGCATGTGTCTTTATAACAGCATGATTTATAGTCCTTTGGGTATATACCCAGTAATGGGATGGCTGGGTCAAATGGTATTTCTAGTTCTAGATTCCTGAGGAATCGCCACACTGACTTCCACAATGGTTGAACTAGTTTACAGTCCCACCAACAGTGTAAAAGTGTTCCTATTTCTCCACATCCTCTCCAGCACCTGTTGTTTCCTGACTTTTGAATGATGGTCATTCTAACTGGTGTGAGATGGTATCTCATTGTGGTTTTGATTTGCATTTCTCTGATGGCCAGTGATGATGAGCATTTTTTCATGTGTTTTTTGGCTGCATAAATGTCTTCTTTTGAGAAGTGTCTGTTCATGTCCTTCGCCCACTTTTTGATGGGGTTATTTGTTTTTTTCTTGTAAATTTGTTTGAGTTCATCGTAGATTCTGGAGATTAGCCCTTTGTCAGATGAGTAGGTTGCGAAAATTTTCTCCCATTTTGTAGGTTGCCTGTTCACTCTGATGGTAGTTTCTTTTGCTGTGCAGAAGCTCTTTAGTTTAATGAGATCCCATTTGTCAATTTTGTCTTTTGCTGCCATTGCTTTTGGTGTTTTAGACATGAAGTCCTTGCCCATGTCTATGTCCTGAATGGTAATACCTAGGTTTTCTTCTAGGGTTTTTATGGTTTTAGGTCTAACATTTAAATCTTTAATCCATCTTGAATTAATTTTTGTATAAGGTGTAAGGAAGGGATCCAGTTTCAGCTTTCTACATATGGCTAGCCAGTTTTCCCAGCACCATTTATTAAATAGGGAATCCTTTCCCCATTGCTTGTTTTTCTCAGCTTTGTCAAAGATCAGATAGTTGTAGATATGCGGCGTTATTTCTGAGGGCTCTGTTCTGTTCCATTGGTCTATATCTCTGTTTTGGTACCAGTACCATGCTGTTTTGGTTACTGTAGCCTTGTAGTATAGTTTGAAGTCAGGTAGCGTGATGCCTCCAGCTTTGTTCTTTTGGCTTAGGATTGACTTGGCAATGCAGGTTCTTTTTTGTTTCCATATGAACTTTAAAGTAGTTTTTTCCAATTCTGTGAAGAAAGTCATTGGTAGCTTAATGGGGATGGCATTGAACCTATAAATTACCTTGGGCAGCATGGCCATTTTTACGATATTGATTCTTCCTACCCATGAGCATGGAATGTTCTTCCATTTCTTTGTATCCTCTTTTATTTCATTGAGCAGTGGTTTGTAGTTCTCCTTGAAGAGGTGCTTCACATCCCTTGTAAGTTGGATTCCTAGGTATTTTATTCTCTTTGAAGCAATTGTGAATGGGAGTTCACTTATGATTTGGCTCTCTGTTTGTCTGTTATTGGTGTATAAGAATGCTTGTGATTTTTGCACATTGATTTTGTATCCTGAGACTTTGCTGAAGTTGCTTATCAGCTTAAGGAGATTTTGGGCTGAGATGATGGGGTTTTCTAGATACACAATCATGTCATCTGCAAACAGGGACAATTTGACTTCCTCTTTTCCTAATTGAATACCCTTTATTTCCTTCTGCCTAATTGCCCTGGCCAGAACTTCCAACTCTATGTTGAATAGGAGTGGTGAGAGAGGGCATCCCTGTCTTGTGCCAGTTTTCAAAGGGAATGCTTCCAGTTTTTGCCCATTCAGTATGATATTGGCTGTGGGTTTGTCATAGATAGCTCTTATTATTTTGAGATACGTCCCATCAATACCTAATTTCTTGAGAGTTTTTAGCATGAAGCGTTGTTGAATTTTGTCAAAGGCCTTTTCTGCATCTATTGAGATAATCATGTAGTTTTTGTCTTTGATTCTGTTTATATGCTGCATTACATTAATTGATTTGCGTATATTGAACCAGCCTTGCATCCCAGGGATGAAGCCCACTTGATCATGGTGGATAAGCTTTTTGATGTGCTGCTGGATTTGGTTAATTTTTGCATCAATATTCATCAAGGATATTGGTCTAAAATTCTCTTTTTTGGTTGTGTCTCTGCCCGGCTTTGATATCAGGATGATGCTGGCCTCATAAAATGAGTTAGGGAGGATTCCCTCTTTTTCTATTGATTGGAATAGTTTCAGAAGGAATGGTACCAGTTCCTCCTTGTACCTTTGGCAGAATTTGGCTGTGAATCCATCTGGTCCTGGACTCTTTTTGGTTGGTAAGCTATTGATTATTACCACAATTTCAGAGCCTGTTATTGGTCTATTCAGAGATTCAACCTCTTCCTGGTTTAGTCTTGGGAGGGTGTATGTGTCGAGGAATTTATCTATTTCTTCTAGATTCTCTAGTTTATTTGTGTAGAGGTGTTTGTAGTATTCTCTGATGGTAGTTTGTATTTCTGTGGGATTGGTGGTGATATCCCCTTTATCATTTTTTTTGTGTCTATTTGATTCTTCTCTCTTTTCTTCTTTATTAGTCTTGCTAGCGGTCTATCAATTTTGTTGATCCTTTCAAAAAACCAGCTCCTGGATTCATTAATTTTTTGAAGGGTTTTTGTGTCTCTATTTCCTTCAGTTCTGCTCTGATTTTAGTTATTTCTTGCCTTCTGCTAGCTTTTGAATGTGTTTGCTCTTGCTTTTCTAGTTCTTTTAATTGTGATGTTAGGGTGTCAATTTTGGATCTTTCCTGCTTTCTCTTATGTGCATTTAGTGCTATAAATTTCCCTCTACACACTGCTTTGAATGTGTCCCAGAGATTCTGGTATGTTGTGTCTTTGTTCTTGTTGGTTTCAAAGAACATCTTTATTTCTGCCTTCATTTCATTATGTACCCAGTAGTCATTCAGGAGCAGGTTGTTCAGTTTCCATGTAGCTGAGTGGTTTTGAGTGAGTTTCTTAATTCTGAGTTCTAGTTTGATTGCACTGTGCTCTGAGAGACAGTTTGTTATAATTTCCGTTCTTTTACGTTTGCTGAGGAGAGCTTTACTTCCAACTGTGTGGTCAGTTTTGGAATAGGTGTGGTGTGGTGCTGAAAAAAATGTATATTCTGTTGATTTGGGGTGGAGAATTTTGTAGATGTCTATTAGGTCCACTTAGTGCAGAGCTGAGTTCAATTCCTGGGTATCCTTGTTAACTTTCTGTCTCGTTGATCTGTCTAATGTTGACAGTGGGGTGTTAAAGTCTCCCATTATTATTGTGTGGGAGTCTAAGTCTCTTTGTACATCTCTAAGGACTTGCTTTATGAATCTGGGTGCTCCTGAATTGGGTGCATATATATTTAGGATAGTTAGCTCTTCTTGTTGAATTGATCCCTTTACCATTATGTAATGGCCTTCTTTGTCTCTTTTGATCTTTGTTGGTTTAAAGTCTGTTTTATCAGAGACTAGGATTGCAACCCCTGCCTTTTTTCGTTTTCCATTTGCTTGGTAGATCTTCCTCCATCCTTGTATTTTGAGCCTATGTGTGTCTCTGCATGTGAGATGGGTTTCCTGAATACAGCACACTGATGGGTCTTGACTCTTTATCCAATTTGCCAGTCTGTGTCTTCTAATTGGAGCATTTAGCTCATTTACATTTAAGGTTAATATTGTTATGTGTGAATTTGATCCTGTCATTATGATGTTAGCTGGTTATTTTGCTCATTAGTTTATGCAGTTTCTTCCTAGCCTCGATGGTCTTTACAATTTGGCATGATTTTGCAGTGGCCGGTACTGGTTTTTCCTTTCCATGTTTAGTGCTTCCTTCAGGAGCTCTTTTAGGGCAGGCCTGGTGGTGACAAAATCTCTCAGCATTTGCTTGTCTGTAAAGTATTTTATTTCTCCTTCACTTATGAAGCTTAGTTTGGCTGGATATGAAATTCTGGGTTGAAAATTCTTTTCTTTAAGAATGTTGAATATTGGCCCCCACTCTCTTCTGGCTTGTAGAGTTTCTGCCAAGAGATCCGCTGTTAGTCTGCTGGGCTTCCCATTGTGGTTAACCCGACCTTTCTCTCTGGCTACCCTTAACATTTTTTCCTTCATTTCAACTTTGGTGAATCTGACAATTATGTGTCTTGGAGTTGCTCTTCTCGAGGAGTATCTTTGTGGCATTCTCTGTATGTCCTGAATCTGAATGTTGGCCTGCCTTGCTAGATTGAGGACTTTCTCCTGGATAATATCCTGCAAAGTGTTTTCTAACTTGGTTCCATTCTCCCCGTCACTTTCAGGTACACCAGTCAGACGTAGATTTGGTCTTTTCTCATAGTCCCATATTTCTTGGAGGCTTTGTTCGTTTCTTTTTATTCTTTTTTCTCTAAACTTCCCTTCTCGCTTCATTTCATTCATTTCATCTTCCATCACTGATACCCTTTCTTCCAGTTGATCACATCGGCTCCTGAGGCTTCTGCATTCTTCATGTAGTTCTCGAGCCTTGGCTTTCAGCTCCATCAGCTCCTTTAAGCACTTCTCTGTATTGGTTATTCTAGTTATTCATTCGTCTAAATTTTTTTCAAAGTTTTTAACTTCTTTGCCTTTTGTTTGAATTTCCTCCTGTAGCTCGGAGTAGTTTGATCGTCTGAAGCCTTCTCCTCTCAACTCGTCAAAGTCATTCTCCATCCAGCTTTGTTCCGTTGCTGGTGAGGAACTGCATTCCTTTGGAGGAGGAGAGGCACTCTGCTTTTTAGAGTTTCCAGTTTTTCTGCTCCGTTTTTTCCCCATCTTTGTGGTTTTATCTACTTTTGGTCTTTGACGATGGTGATGTACAGATGGGTTTTTGTTGTGTATGTCCTTTCTGTTTGTTAGTTTTCCTTCTAACAGACAAGACCCTCAGCTGCAGGTCTGTTGGAGTTTGCTAGAGGTCCACTCCAGACCCTGTTTGCCTGGGTATCAGCAGTGGTGGCTGCAGAACAGCGGATTTTCGTGAACCACGAATGCTGCTGTCTGATCATTCCTCTGGAAGTTTTGTCTCAGAGGAGTACCCGGCCGTGTGAGGTGTCAGTCTGCCCCTACTGTGGGGTGCCTCCCAGTTAGGCTGCTCGGGGGTCAGGGGTCAGGGACCCACTTGAGGAGGCAGTCTGCCCGTTCTCAGATCTGCAGCTGCGTGCTGGGAGAACCACTGCTCCCTTCAAAGCTGTCAGACAGGGACATTTAAGTCTGCAGAGGTTACTGCTGTCTTTTTGTTTGTCTGTTTCCTGCCCCCAGAGGTGGAGCCTACAAAGGCAGACAGGCCTCCTTGAGCTGTGGTGGGCTCCACCCAATTCGAGCTTCCCGGCTGCTTTGTTTACCTAAGCAAGCCTGGGCAATGGCGGGCGCCCCTCCCCCAGCCTCGCTGCCACCTTGCAGTTTGATCTCAGACTGCTGTGCTAGCAATGAGCGAGACTGTGGGCGTAGGACCCTCCGAGCCACGTGCGGGTTATAATCTTCTGGTGCGCCGTTTTTTAAGCCTGTCGGCAAAAGCACAGTATTAGGGTGGGAGTGACCCGATTTTCCAGGTGCCATCTGTCACCCCTTTCTTTGACTAGGAAAGGGAACTCCCTGACCCCTTGTGCTTTCCGAGTGAGGCAATGCCTCGCCCTGCTTCAGCTCGGGCACAGTGCACTGCACCCACTGTCCTGCACCCATTGTCTGGCACTCCCTAGTGAGATGAACCCAGTACCTCAGATGGAAATGCAGAAATCATCTGTCTTCTGCGTTGCTCATGCTGGGAGCTGTAGAACGGAGCTGTTCCTATTTGGCCATCTTGGCTGCCCCCCACCTAGATAATTTCTAAGTAAGGTAGAATACTTAAACATTGATTACTAAGCATGCTTTTATATTTATGTACATTTGCTTCCTTTTTATGCTGTGGAGGGGTTGTAGCTTTGGGGCATGTTAATGAATGTGTTTATTTTAGTCACTTTAAAAAGATGTTAAAAGAATATATAAGGTCATATAAATTTGTGTTATATGTTTTCATAAGTTCTGCTAGTCAGCTGAAATGCTTATGTATAATGGACAATTTTCAATATTACACTCCCTAGTTTTCTTTGTGAAATACAAGTTCATTACTTTGCTTACAAGCTATAATTAATAGGACTGAGACTATTTTAGGAGCAATAGAAACAAAGAAATATAACTGTATGTGTGTGTCTTTATTATTCAAGAAATAAAAAAGGTTTATCCTAAAGCCATAGTTCTTAAAATTTTGATCTTGGATTCATTTACACTGTTACATGACTATGAAACTGGCATCCATGACCTTATCTTAATTAAATGTTCAAATCTTTCATAATTTTTTGATTTTTCCATTTCTAAATCAGTTTATATCTATATCTATAGATATCTTTTGCATTTAAAACTATTTTTTATTTTCCCAGAGTGCTCCTGAAAATCCTCAAGTACTTTTGTAAGGATTGCACATGAGAAGTTGTTAAGTAAGAAAATGTGCTTAGGGCCAGGCACGGTGGCTCATGCCTGTAATCCCAGCACTTTGGGAGGCCGAGGTGGGTGGATCACCAGTGGTCAGGAGTTTGAGACCAGCCTGACAACATGGAGAAACCCCATCTCTACAAAAGTACAAAATTAGCCAAGCATTATGGCACATGCCTGTAATCCCAGCTACTTGGGAGGCTGAGGCAGGAGAATCACTTGAACCCGGGAGGCGGAGGTTGTGGTGAGATGAGATTGCACCACTGCACTCCAGCATGGGCGACAAGAGCAAAACTCCATCTCAAAAACAAACAAACCAAGAAAAACAACAACAACAACAACAACAAAACTATGTGCTTACTCTGCCCCCAAATTTGTATAGGTAAAATGTTATTGATATAAATTGTTATTGATATAAATTGTTATTGATAAAATGTTATTGATATAAATATTGCAGAGTGTTTGTGCTATGATTTAAATGTTGAAATTTAATTGCCATTGTAACAATATTAAAAGGTTGGACTATTAAGAGGTGACTTGGCCATGAGTGCTCCACCCTCATGAATTGATGAACAACATTATCATGAGAGTGGGCTCATTATAAAAGAGGGATTTCAGCCCCCTCCCTCCCTCTCTCACTTCCTCTGTCTCTTACCCTTTCTTGTCCTTTCACCTTTACCTGTGGGATGACACAGCAAGAAGGCCCTTGCCAGATGCCAGGCCCTCCTCAATCTTGGATTTCGCAGCCTCCAGTGCCATCAGTCAATAAATTTCTGTTCACAATAAATTACCCAGTCTGCAATAGTCTCTTACCACAGCCCCAAAGCAAACTCAGAGAGTAGGCTTTATGGGAAGTCCCTGGAAATTTCTCAATGCCTTTGCTTTCCATAAATTGTTTTAAGCTCAGGGGATGTACTGTTTAAAACTCTTTTCAAAATAGCTTTTCTAGGTTTTCCATTTATTAGAGCCCTCAAGGGGCTTGCCTAAAGATATTAAGTAACAACAGTAAAGTATTTTCAATTATAATTTGTTATTATTTTTAGAAGTAAATTTTTTAAAGTAAACTTTTTAAAGGGTATACTTGTCCATGTATTATTTCATTTTCACACTGCTGATAAAGACATACCCAAGACTGGGCAATTTACAAAAGAAAGAGGTTTATTGGACTTACAGTTCCACATGCTGGGGATGCCTCACAATCATGGTGGAAGGTGAAAGGCAAGTCTCATATGGTGGCAGACAAGAGAAGATAGCTTGTGCAGGAAAACTCCCTCTTGTAATGACCATCAGATCTCATAAGGCTTACTCACTACCACAAGAACAGCATGGAAAAGACCTGCCCCCATGATTCAATTACCTCCCACTGGGTCCCACCCATAACACTTGGGAATTCAAGATGAGATTTGGCTGGGGACAAAACCAAACCTTATCATTCCACCCCTGGCCTCTCCCAAATCTCATGTCCTCACAATTCAAAACCAATCATGCCTTCCCAACAGTCCCTCAAAGTCTTAACTCATTTCAGCATTAACTCAAAAGTCCACAGTCTAAAGTCTCATCTGAGACAAGGCAAGTCCCTTCCACCTATGAGCCTGTAAAATCAAAAGCAGGTTAGTTATTTCCTAGATACAGTGGGGGGTACAGGCATTGGATAAATACACCCATTCCAAATGGGAGATACTGGCCAAAACAAAGGGGTTACAGGGTCCATGCAAGTCTGAAATCCAGCAAGGCACTCAAGTCTTACAGCTCCAAAAAGATCTCCTTTGACTTCATGTCTCACTCACATCCAGGTCACGCTGATGAAAGAGGTAGCTTCCCATAGTCTTCGGTGGCTCTTCCTCTGTGGCTTTGCTGGGTATAGCCCCCCTCCTAGTTGCTTTCATGGGCTGGCATTGAGTGTCTTCAGCTTTTCCAGGCACATGGTGCAAGCTGTTGGTGAATCTACTTTTCTGGGACCTGGAGGACAGTGGCCCTCTTCTCACAGCTTCACTAGGCAGTGCCCCATATGGACTCTGTGTGGGTCGGGGGGCTCCGACACCACATTTCCCTTCTGCACTGCCCTAGCAGAGGTTCTCCATGAAGGCCTCAACCCTGCAGCAAACTTCTGCCTGGGCATCCAGGCATTTCCATACATCTTCTGAAATCTAGGCAGAGGTTCCCATACCTCAATTCTTGACCTCTGTGCACCCGCCGGCTCAACACCACATGGAAGCTGCCAAGGCCTGGGGCTTCCGTCCTCTGGAGCAACAGCCTGAGCTGTACCTTGCCCCATTTTAGTCATGGCTGGAGTGGCTGGGACACAGGGCACCAAGTCCCTAGACTACACACAGTGGGGGACCCTGGGCCCGTCCCAGGAAACCATTTTCTCCTAGGCCTCCTAGCCCTTGATGGGAGGGGCTGCCATGAAGACCTCTGAAATGCCCTGGAGACATTTTCCCCATTGTCTTGGGAATTAACATTGGGCTCCTCCTTACTTATGCAAATTTCTGCAGCCAGCTTGAATTTCTCCTCAGAAAATGGGTTTTTCTTTTCCATCACATTGTCAGGCTGCAAATTTTCTAAACTTTTATGCTCTGCTTCCCTTATGAAACTGAATGCCTTTACCAGAACCCAAGTCACCTTTTGAATGCTTTGCTGCTTGGAGATTTCTTCCACCAGATACCCTAAATCATTTTGCTGGAGTTCACAGTTCCACCGATCTCTAGGGCAGGGGCAAAATGCCGCCAGTATCTTTGCTAAAACATAACAAGAGTCACCTTTTATCCAGTTCCCAAAAAGTACCTCATCTCCTTCTGACATCACCTCAGTCTGCACCTTATTGTCCATATCGCTATCAGGCTTTTGGTCAAAGCTATTCAACAAGTCTCTAGGAAATTCCAAACTTTCCCACATTTTTCTGTCTTCTTCTGAGCCCTCCAAACTGTCCCAATCCCTGCCTGTTACCCAGTTCCAAAGTCAGTTCCACATTTTCGAGTGTATTTTCTAGGAATGCCCCACTCTACTGGTACCAATTACTGTATTAGTCTGTTTTTATGCTGCTGATAAAGGCATACTAATGTTGGACTTACATTTCCATGTGGTGGAGGAGGCCTCACAATCATGGTGGAAAGTGAAAGTCATGCCTCATGTGGTGGCACACAAGAGAAGAGAGCTTGTGCAGGAAAACTCCCTCTTACAATAACCATCAGATCTCAGGAGACTTACTATCATGAGAACAGCAATGGAAAGACCTGCCCCCATGATTCAATTACCTCCCACTGGGTGCCTTCCACAACACTTGGGAATTCAAGTTGAGATCTGGGTGGAGACATAGCCAAACTGTATCAGTCCACAACTGCATTTCATTAATTTGAATCTAACTAATCTAGACAGTAAGTTTCCATCCTATCCCCACATATGCTATAGAAATCTACTTCTAGGCAAAATTGTGAAGTAGCATTTGTTGTGAATTGTGAAGAGTCAGCATTTCTCACTGCTTTTGCAGATCCTGTACCTCATTTATTAGCTTTTCTTACTCTTGGCACAACTTAGAAGTGTCCTGAATCACATTCTCCAAAAGTTCCCAATATTCTTTGCCATGTTATTTCTACTTATGGGTAATGAAATGCCATAACATAGTTTAATGTAATGGTTATAAAAGTCCAAGGCTAAAAATGGTTAAGACATTAATGAAGTTAGGTTTTCAGGTAGTTTATATCTTGTTATGATTTAATTTATCATCCCAGGCTATACATACAGGGAGGTAAGGCCAATAAAGCATCTTATGTCATGCATGGGTTTCCATCACTCATCCAGTACACCAGTATAATTTTGGCAGTTAAATCAGCTAATTGGAAGACCATGCTCCTTCCAATACTATTTTAGTGTGTGACCAATTTGCCATGGTGAGCAGAAATCAAATCAAATACCAAATAGAAAAAGAAATTCTGTTTGGTGGAGTTAGACTAATTTTCCCAGAATCCAGGCTGAAGGTTGAGGACAAATGGGTGTAGGTTCACATCATTTGGTTTGTTATAATCTATGAAAAATCTTCCCCACCCCTAATAACAATTTCAATTTGTAATTACTACTATTTCAGGTTTGACTACAACTATGATGTAATGAGATTACTGTGTCAGTTGGATCTGATTTCAAAGAGATAATGCACTTTTTCCTTTCTGAGTGAGTTCATTTAAAATAATAGGTTCAAAACGGAAACAAAAACTGGCACAAATAAAGGCTTTTGAAAATGTGGCATTCCTTTAGTTTTCACTCAGACAGCATGGGGAATTGAAAGGGTCTCTGTGGACTGATGGTCTCTGTTTCACATCATCACAGATAATAATGGATCCTCAGGGAAGAGTCAAAAAATTCCTCTGTTGCTGATACGCATGTCTCCCTGGCTCAGAAGCAAAAAACAAACTCAGGCCAAAAAAAAAAGAGGCTTGTGCTGATTTCTTCACTTGTTCACTCATCTATATTGATCATCTTTACAATAAGGTGCCATGCTAGTAAATATATTTTAAAAATATAAGATGTACATAAGATGTATATACTATTAGAAGTATAGGATATGGATGTAATCTTTGTGGTTAAGAATGTGAACTCTGGGTAGACCGCTTGTCTCCATAGCCAGGCTCCATCAGCTGTTGACGTTGGGCAAGTTACCTGACTTCTCTGGACTCAGTTTCCTCTTTTCTCAGTTGTGATAATTTTAGTAATTAAGTAAAATAACACCTATAAAGCATTTGAAAATTGCCTTGAAAGACTAGGATTCAATAAACATTTGCTATGATGATGATGATGATTAAATGACTTACCACAAGGTGCCTCCAAATCACTAAACATCCCAGTCATAGACTTAATTCATTACAGGAGCTGCTAGACCTTAGGAAAACATTATTAAGATAGAAGCCCTGGCTGGGCATGGTGGCTCACACCTGTAATCCCAGCATTTTGGGAGGCTGAGGCGGGCGGATCATGAGGTCAGGAAATCAAGACCATCCTGGCTAATGTGGTGAAACCCAGTCTCTACTAAAAATACAAAAAATTAGCTAGGTGTGGTGGCAGGTACCTGTAGTCCCAGCTACTTGGGAGGCTGAGGCAGGAGAATCACTTGAACCCAGGAGGCAGAGGTTGCAGTGAGCCGAGATCGCGCCACTGCACTCCAGCCTGGGCGACAGAGTGAGACTCCATCTTAATAATAACAATAATAATAATAATAATAATAATAATAGTAATAAGCCCTGTTCTCAAGGTTCAAGGTGCTAACAATCTTGTGGGTGGTGCAGACATACTACACCAGTGTTCTGTGATTAGTGCGACACTAGATGAGTATATGCTGATTTATTGCCTATCTACTGCTGCATAACAAATTACTCCAAAAATTAGTGCTTAAAACAACAAATGCGTTATTTCACAGATTTTGCGAGCCAACAAACTGGGCTTGATGTAGTTTAGTGCCTCTGCCTCAAGCCCTTTCACAAGGTTGCAATCAAGTTGCTGGCTGGGACTGTGGTCATATCTGAAAGCTCCACTGAGTGATGAGTCATACTCAAGCTCATTTACAAGGTTGTTGGTAGGGTTAAGTTCCTCACATGCTGTTGAGCTGAGAATCTCAGTATCTTGCTGGCAGTTGGAGACCTCTCTCAGTTTCTTGTCATATAGGCATGTCCATAGGGAAACTCTCAACTGGCTTCCATCAGAGCAAGTGAAAAATAGCAAGAAAGGGCCAGCTGGCTAGAAGTCAGGCTTTTTAAAACCTGATCGAGACATGACATTGTATCACTTGTGCTATATGCTATCCATATGAAGTAAGTCCAAACAAACTCAAAGGAAGGGAATTACACATTGATGTGAATATCAGAAAGTGAGGATCATTGAAATCCATTTTAGATGCTGTCTAACACAAAGTACAGTGGTGAAACAAACAGCAGAGATAAAGACTTTAAAAGTAGACCAGCATGATCTGGGTTTTAAAGGATAAATAATTATTCACTGGAAAGGTATGGGGGAATGGCATTCTAGGTAGAGAGAAGAAAACATTTGCAGAAATATGTGAAAAAAACCCTGATAGGATCAGGTGTCATAGAAGAAGTTATATTGATGCCTTAATAGCTTCTAGGCGTACTAACATGCAAACTTCCCATAGCACCATAGAACAGAAAGGCTCATGGACAAAATTAAAATACTTGAATCATGTGATATAGTAAATCAAATTAAAACACAGAACCAAAGGGAAAGATACGGGGAAAGCTACATTTATGATAGGGTGCAACCTGGTATAAGAACCTCAGCACCTGAATTCTGGGGTATGCAATGTTCATACATCTCTCTCTCTCTCTCTTTCTCTCACCTCAGACTTTCCCAATGATAGTGTGATTATGAGGACCAGAGTTGAGGTTCAAGAAACATAGCTCACAGAACATACTCTGGGCCAATGCGGTGTAGGGAAAGATGTAGTTTAAACCCAGCTGTGTCTTGGCAACAAATCCCCCAGCCATGAGTTTTACTTGTATTTATTGGGAAGAGCACATGCGGGGTCAGAATTGGTCCTTTAGGGTGTTGCTAATGGGTGGCCATGTTTGGGGGCATCATAGTTATCAATTGATGATTAAGACTTTGATCTTTCTATCTGTAAGTAACATTCTTGTTTGTGCAATCATATTTTTCTATTTAATTTTTTCTTTGGCATGTCACATGTTATTAATTTATTGTCTACATTGAACACATCATATGAATTCTGCCTTTGTTTCACAAGGTACTTGCTTACTCATTATCCATGCTTAATTATCCTATGAATTTTACCTATACCTCATAAGCTACAGGTTTACTTACTATCTAAGCTCAATATTTCTTATAGGTTTTATACAGTTTTTTATTTTTTTCTTGTCTTTTTAGCACAGTTGAATACAACATACACACATTACATTAGGGGACTTGAAGTGTTCTGGCGTAGCAGGAGCACAGGGGGCTTGTCAAGGAAGGGCAGGAAATAAATGTAGAAAGGTAGAGAAGGCTTTATATGGAAACATGGACTCTATCCTGCAGACAATGGAGAGTCACTGAAGGGTGCAAGCAGAAATAGAACTGTATTAGAAATATCACAATATACTTATATAAAATATTAAAATAAAAATCATGTATGATAAACTCCCAATGAATCATTCAAATAAGACAATGCATGCACTTCAACCTACTCAAAGTGATGTCCCTGGTGTCATTTATATAGGCTTCAGGGAAGTTGTAACATGTTTATTAGTCTGTGGAGGAAGGAAATGTCTTTGGCTGAGAGTAGAAACCATTAAAGCAGAAAGACATTAATACATGAATCTCTTACTCAGCTCCTACTGGTATATCCAGTAAGTCAAAGAACAAGATTACCCATTTGCATACCATAGAAAAAGTTTTCATGGATTTAGTAATTTGGATTTTTGTCTCTCTTCCAGTAATGAGAAAAGTTTAATGTTAGTTTTTAATTTGCAATTTAGCTCAGGCACATATTTAAATCATATGTATTGCAAATTAATTAGTGATTAAAACTAGTTAACTTACTTCCTCCCTTTTCCCTAGCAGTTGAACCTCATTGCAAAGTGCTGTTTCATTCATACATAAAAAACAATTTGGGTGGTGCATGGGTGAAAAATGGGTCTTCAAAAAGTCAAACAATTATTAACTATGTACCAGGCCTTTTATGATGTCATTCATCTCATTTAATACTTACAATCAAGCTAAAATGTAGATGCTATTTCAGAGAGGAAGAAACTGAGGATGAAAATGATCTATCAAACTGGCCAATGTCACATAGTTAGGAAATGCTAGAGTAGGGATTTGAATGTATGCCATTTAATACTAGAGCCTGGCTCTTAACCACTCTAGGAACCAACTCCTGCTGTTGGTGCTGGCCCTGGAAGTAAAGAACAAGTGGGGAAGTCTAAAAAAGTAGTGGCTCATAGTTAGGAATGCTTTGGATAAACTAAAAGAGAAAAGTAGAATTTACCGGATACTATAAATAAGTTGTGAAACAATTCATTGTACGTTCTATATAAAAATGTAACAATTGACTTTAAAACCATTTAGTGAATGTCAGGTCAGTAAAAAAGTGCTGTTTAAAAAGAAATAAAACTTTAGTTATAATTACATTGGGAAGCTATGCATAGTAAACATGAGGCTTTCATGAGAGCATGATCTAGAGGAAAACAAGCTTGTTTCCTATCCAAGAACTAACTGGGTACCATATGTCCTTTGTGAAAATCAAGGGTCTCCTACAGTAGTGAGCACAACACACCAGTCAGCTACAACTCTTGTGCTGTACACATTTTCAATTTGTGCTCTACGTCATTCATTTCTGCAATTTCAATTTTTTATCACTAGGCTTCCTTTATTTCAGAATCTAGGCTGAAATCTTCTCTGCAAATACTCTCATTGTATTGCAAACTATAAGAAGACATTCTTAGAAGAGCATACCTACTCAAACACGATGACGTTAGAAATCCTTATTTCATGGGGTACGATCCTCCAAACTCTGTTGTTCACTCTAATGTGTTACTATCTGAGACGTCTTATGAAATGCTATTGTTTTTTATTTTTTAGTTATGCATTTTTAAAACTATCTCTTTTCTTCATTATAGGATTTAAGTTTTATTTTGCTTCTGAGAGCTGTCTGGTTTGAGAATACCTTTGTTTAATTATGAAACTGTTTGTTTTGTGCTTGCACAGTCCACTCTTTAGGGCTTTTATATTCAAAGAACTAATAAGAATCAAGAGAACATACCAATCATGGTTGCCCTTTAGCTTTGGTTGTAGGATCCTGTCAAGAGAACACAGCTAAAAAGCCACTTTAGGATTACTTACGAAAAGCGATATAACACTACTTGAAAAATTAACATAAATAACTCAGAATTATATGTTGTGAACCCTCTTGAGAGAAAAGAAAAAGTTTTCCTCTTGGAAGTAGGGAAATAAAATGGACATATTCTTGTCTACATAGTAGAGTGTTGAGAATAAGTATGAATTTCGGGGTTGAGTATTGTTGGAAATGACTAAGTGTGCAGACGAAAACATCACTAAATTGAAGTTTATAAAGAGATGCATTGAGAATAGCAGAGCTTTTCTTGGTTTATTCCTGCTTGGTGGAACTCAATGTTTCTCTCATGATGGGCAATAGGGCCATCTTTACATGCTTGTCTTACTTGTAATAGAAGTGTGGCTGGCAGAGCATTGCTGGTGAGGGTTCATGAGCTGTAAGTCTAACATGCAGACCTCAGCCAAAAGCCTGTCAATCTCGAGGGACAGAAAAAAGACAACCCCAGTCTCCTTGCTCTGAGCTGCCCTGATGGAAAATGGAAAATGGGACTTCCTTTTTTTTTTTTTTTTTTTTTTTGAGACTGAGTCTCGCTCTGTCGCTCAGGCTGGAGTGCAGTGGCGCTGACCCGGCTCACTGCAAGCTCCGCCTCCCGGGTTCACGCCATTCTCCTGCCTCAGCCTCCAGAGTAGCTGGGACTACAGACACCTGCCACCGCGTCCGGCCCCCGGGACTTGCCTTTGATTGGCTCAGTACTGTGAGAAGCTTGACAATCCGTCTTTTGCATTTTGATCAAATACTGAAGGACAGTATGGTACAACAGTCTAAGAGAGTTTCACCACAAATTCATGGTCATCGACCTTATTCAGGTTCTGAACCCAATTCTACATTTGTTTCAATTATCTTTGGTGAATTCTTTCTCCATCTGAACTCAAGCAGCTATTCCAAATCTTTATTTTTCTTAAGTCCCCTAAAAAGTAGCCCCCAGAGGCCGGGTGCGGTGGCTCAAGCCTGTAATCCCAGCACTTTGGGAGGCCTAGGCAGGTGGATCACGAGGTCAGGAGATGGAGACCATCCTGGCTAACACAGTGAAACCCCGTCTCTACCAAAAATACAAAAATTTAGCCGGGCGTGGTGGCGGCAGGCTCCTGTAGTCCCAGCTACTCGGGAGGCTGAGGCAGGAGAATGGGGTGAACCTGGGAGGCGGAGCTTGCAGTGAGCCGAGATCGTGTGGCTGCATTCCAGCTTCGGTGACAGACTGAGACTCTGTCTCAAAAAAAAAAAAAAAAAAAAAAAAAAAAAAAAAAAAAAAAAAAAAAAGGGGCCACCAGGTATGGAACATTGCCTAGAAGGTAACCTCAAGAAGAACGAATCCTCTTTCCCTCATCTACAAATGCTTTTATACCCAAACTTAGTGTCTTGTTTGAAACAGAATCCTCAATTGTTTTAATAATCCTATCCAGCTCACCAATGCCAAGACCTTATCAACCAATTATCTATGCCATCTCTCACATCTACCTGTCCTTTTCTCATAGTTTCTCCACTTTTGCCTCTAAACATGTTCAGGGTGTTACAATACAGACAGACATGTAAACAAATGAAAAACTCAAACCAAACAGTGATTACAAAACTCTTTCCTTAACCATACCTCCTGTTCTAGCTACTGCCTTCCCTCTCTCTCTTCCCTTCTTGAAAGAGTGATATGGTCCTCCCACAGCACATAGTTCAGCCCAATTACTGCACACAGCCTTCTATAATCAGAGGTCTCCACTGAGTGTCATATTGTCAAGTACCATGGCCACCTTTCTATTCTTATCTTACTGAACATCTCTGAACCTTCCTTTGTTCTGTTTGCAACACCTTACTAGTTCCAACATTAATTAATGAATTAAGTAAAATCTTTCTTATGTGCTTATTTTATACTGGCATAAGAGTTATGATTTTAATTTTAGAAATTTGATTCAATACACTGAAAAGATTTTTCTTTCTTTTGTAATCAGAAGTATGGTTAAGATTTGTAAAGAAAATAATTTCCTCACCATGTAATTTAATACCAGCATTAATAAGTATCTCACCATTTGACAATACTGAACTAGATTACTGTTTTTTTTTTATGCTTAGTTGCTATTCCCAGTTACTTGTGGAAGTTAAGAGCTGGGGCTACTACAACTAGTTATGTGCTACTACAACTAGTTATGTATGGTTGTGATCTTCAAGAGCAGATATCTGAAAAAAATGAAAAACAGGAAAACATCAGTTAAAAAGTATATATGTGCTAGCATGCATGTGGGGCTTATAAGCCCACCCAGGTTGGTAGGGGTGGGAGAGGATTCTCAGAGAAGACTACAGGTATAACAGAGAGAGCTGTGTTTCAGGCATTGGTAGATGGGCTGTGAGAGAATTTATAAATGTGTTGTGCAAGGCTCTAAGAGCCACAAAAGAACATGTGTTTTAGAGAACTGGAATAGTGAAGTATGATTAAATATAGTTTTTAAAAATTTTTAACTGACAAATAATTGTGTATATTTGTAGGGTACAAGGCGATGTTTTGATTTATGCTTCTATTATAGAAAGAGTCAATCAATTAATTAGCATATCAATCATTTTAACAATTCATCTTTTTTTAATGATGAGAACATTAAATATTCTAGCAATAGCACATATTAAGTACTAATACATAATACATCATACTAACCGTGATCACTATGCATTACAATCACTGAAACTTATTCTCCCAGTTTAACTGAAACTTTGTATCCTTTGATCAACATTTTGTCTTTCTCCATCCCTTTGTCTTTCTCCCCACTCAGCCACCTTTTTACTCTCTTTCTCTATGAGATTGATTTTTTAAAATCCACATATAAATGACATCACATAGTATTTGTCTTTCTGTGTTTGGATTATTTCACTTAACATAGACTTCTAGTTCCATCCATTTGTTACAAATAACAGAATTTTTTAAAAGCTAAATAATATTCCATTGTGTATATATACCACCTTTTGTTTATCCATTCATACATTGATAAACACTTAGATTGCTTCCATATCTTGGCTATTGTGAATAATGTTAAAATAAACATAGAAGTGCAGATATCTCTTCAACATACTGATTTAAAGTCCTTTGGATATATATCCAGAAATGAGGTTACTAGATTATATGATAATTTTATTTATAATTTTTTAAGGAGCCCCCATACATTTTCCAAAATGATTGTACTAATTTACATTCATACCAACAGTGTACAAAGGTTTCCTTTTCTCCACATCCTTGCCAAAACATATTATCATTTGTCTTTTTTATAACAGCCATTCTAATAAGCATGAGGTCATATCTCATCGAAGTTTTAATTTGTATTTCCCTTATGACTAGGAATGTTGAGCATTTTTTAACATTTCTCTTGGCCAGTTGAATCTCTTCTTTTGAGAAATGTCTGTTCCCATCTTTTGTTCATTTTTTAATCAGATTATTTGTTTCCTCGCTACTGTGCTATTTGAGTTCTTTATATATTTTGGACATTAGCCCTTTGTCAGATAAATGGTTTGTAAATATTGTTTTCCCAGTCAATAGGTTGTCTCTTCACTCTGTTAATTGTTTACTTTGCTGTGCAGAAGCTGTTCAGCCCAGAAAGAAATGGAATGAAAATTCAAAAAGCTGAAAGAAAAAAGAATACCTGTCAACCAAAATACAATAACCAGTAATTCTGTTCTTCAAAAATAAAGGGAAGGCTGGGCACAGTGGCTCATGCCTGTAATCCAGCACTTCGGGAGGCTAAGGCAGAAGAATTTCTTGATCCCAGAAGTGTGAGACCAGCCTGGCAATTTAGCAAGACTCATTTCTAAAAAAAAAAAAAAAAAAAAAAAATTAGCCAGACATGGTGGCACACACCTGTAGTTTTAGCTTCTTTGGAGGCAGAGGTGGGAGGATCTCTTAAGCCCAAATGTTAGAGGTAACAGTGAACTGTGATTTTGGCACTGCACTCTAGCCTCAGTGACAGGGCAAGGCCCCGTCTCAAAAAATTAAAATAAAAAAAAATAAAATAGTGTTGGGGGATGGTGAGATAAAAACTTTCTCAGACAAAAATAGCTGAAATAATGTGTCAAAATTGCACCTACCTTATAAGAAATGCAGAAAGGAACCCTTGAAGGTGAAAGAAAAGATTGCTAAGTAACAACATGAATATATATATATAAATATATATATAAAATCACTGGTAATAGTAAGTATATAGAGCATTCTTATAATGTAATAGTGGTGTGAAAATCAATTATATCTCTAGTATAAAGGGCAAAAGACAAAAATATTACAAATAACTATAGCTGCAGTAATGTGTTTAAGGGACACAAATTATAAAAATTATGAAATGTGTCAATAAAACAAAAGTGGGGGGGAAGAGAGTAAAAGTGTAGAGTTTGTGCAAGTGACCAAAGTTAAGCTGTTATCAGCTTAAAATAGCCTGCTATTAGTATAAGATGTTTTATGTAATTTTTATAATAACCACAAAAGAAAAATCCTCTGTAGCTACACAAAAGATAAAGATTTCAAAGCATACCTCTACAGAAGGTCATACACCACAAAGGAAGACATCAAGAAAGAAAGAAAAAAAAGCAACAATAAAGAATCTACAAATTAACCAGAAACAATTAACAAAATGCCAATAGTAAGTCCTAAAATGTTAATTGTTACTTTCAATGTAAATAGATGGAATTCTCCAACCCAAAGACATCAAGTGACTGAATGGCTAAAAAAAAAACCAAGACCCAAATATACGCTGCCTACAGAAACTCATTTCACCTCTAAGGAGTGACTGAATGAATTTAAAAAAAAAAAAAGACCAAACTATATTCAGCATTCAGGAAACTCACTTCATCTCTAAGGACACACAGAAATTGAAAATTAAGGGATAGAAAAAGATATTCAAAGCCAATGAGAACCAAAATTGGGGGAGGAGGGAAACTATAATTATATAAGCAAAATAGATTTATTTAAGACAAAAAACTGTAAAAAAAATACAAAGAAGGCCATTATATAATCAGGGGTTACTTCATCAAGAAGATATAGCAATTATAAATATATATGCACCCCCATTACAGCACCTAAATATATAAAGCAAACATTAATAGATGTAAGAAATGGGGATGGAAGGTGGATCAAAGGGCCTTCCCTATTAATGGTTTTCAAACTTTTCCTTACTTTCCAACAAGAAATGCATTTACCTTGTAACTCAGTACAACACACTAAAAATTTAAGCAAAATTTTCATGAAGCAATATTTATCCTGAATACTTACAATGCACTTTGCTCTATTCAGTCTTATTTTATTCTATTCGCTTGTAAAAATGCTTGTCACCACCTGCTAAATTGATTTCACTCACTAATGAATGGCTGCAGTTTGAAAATCATTCAGATTTTGTTTGTTTGTTTATTTGCTAAACTATGGAACTTGGACCATATCCCAAAAAGTGAAAGGTTTAAGAGAAGTGACTTGATGTTGAAATATTCCATCTATGTTTGTTGACTGACTGGATGAATTCATCCATCCATCTATCCATCCATCCATCCATCCATCCATCCATCCATCCATCCATCCATCCATTCCTAAGAAAGAGTGGGAAACAAGGGCTTATCTATGCTTAGATCACACTTCTATTTAGTTCCCCAAGTGCCTCACAAGGGAAGATGCAAATAAGAGTAACAAAAATGAGCAATATAGCACCTAGCACTCTGGCTACAAGAAAACAAGTACAGCTTGTGCACTGACCCTCAGAAGCCATCTTTAATGAGCAGTGAGACAGTTCATCTAAGTCACGAATTGTCACCCTAGCTTCTGTTTCCATAGAAACAGGGCAACTGGTGAAGCACTTGGCTCTAAAAACTATGATGAAATATCCAGTAGCCAGATGGTCTGGCAACTGAAATTGTCATGCTTTTGTGAGCATTTATCATGAATTGGCATCACATGAGAAAAGAAATATTTTCCAGTGAGAATGGAGCAGAAATGGAAACGTATGATCAGCAGGTGTCTGTTGGTAATTGACATTGAGGGCCAGGCAAAAGGCAAAAACCTAGGGCTTGGAGCTCCACCCAGTTCAACAATTCCCAGTTTACTTCTGCTGTCATTGTTCCTATTGGCTTTGCATGCACTATGAAATAAATATTGCTTCCATCCTCACAGTGTCTAGGAACAAGTGGAGTTCTGAACATTTTCAAATCCCTCTTGAAGAAGATGAATTTCTTATACACCTCCTGCAAATTAAAAATGCCAACCAGCACTAGGCAGGAGAGAGACTAATGTAAGCATTTTATGTTCTTTGGCATGCATTTCAAAGATTTCTGTGTTTGGTCAATACCATTGTAACGTAATTGGCAAAATAGTTACTTGACAATTATATATAAACAATAAGACATTAAAGGAGTAATAAAAATAACTTGTAGTAATTATGTGCTCACTACGTGCCAGTCATTGTGCTAAACACTTAACATTATGAGAGCTAGTAAAAGATATGTGCTACTATTATTCTCATTTTATAGACAAAGAACAGCTAGTAATTTGATTACAGGTGCAATACAGTGTGCACTCTTAGCCCATAAAAAAGTTTGTCTCTCCAAATATAAAACTTGTCTCTCCAAATATAAGGTGGTAAAAGCAGGGGCTTCAGGGCAGGGCTATGAAAACTTTCTGTGTCATAGATCCCTTTTGCAGTCAAGTAAAACCTATGGACACCCTCTTAGAAAATGTGTTGGTACAAAAAAATCAAAGAAAGGATTACAAAGGAAAACAATTGTATTAAAATATAGTTAACAAAATTTTAAACATATAATGTAGTTATATATACTTTTAAAGTAATGTATCAAATAAGATTAGACAGTAGGCCTAATATCTATCATAATTTTGAAGTAGGAAATACAAAATAAAATTTTGAAATACCTGCAATAAATTGTAATTAGATGTGAAGTTTGGTTTATTCATGTTTTTTCTTCTCCTTTTTGTCAACTTTTTATATTTAAAATTTTTATTAAAAAATTTTTTTTGTGGGCACATAGTAGGCATATACATTTATGGGATACATGAGATGTTTTGATATAGGCATGCAATGTGAAATAAACACATCATGGAGACTGGGGTATTCAACCCCTCAACCATTTATCCTTTGAATTACAAATTCAATTACACCTTTTATTTTAAAAGGTACAATTAAGTTATTATTGACTATAGTCACCCTATTGTGCTATCAAATAGTAGGTCTTATTCATTCTTTCTATTTTGTTGGTACCCATTAAGCATACCCGCCTCCCCCAGCCCCTCACTATCCTTCCGAGCCTCTGCTAACCATCCTTTCACTCTCTATGTCCATGAGTTCAAATGTTTTGATTTATGATTCCACAAATAAGTGAGAACATGTGATGTTTGTCTTCCTTATGCCTGGCTTATTTAACTTAACATAATAATCTCCAGTTCCATCCACATTGTTGCAAATGGTTGGATCTCACTCTTTTTTATGGCTGAATAGTACTCCATTGATGTTTTATTGGTTACAAGTCTCAAGTGTAATTCGTGGTAATAATACCACTAAGTCCTGTTGCCTACATTAATTATGGAAAGAAATGTTAAATTTCTATTAAATATTAGTGTAAAGATGTAAAATTTTCCCATCTAAGTTCAAGGACCCCTAGAATCCTACCTATGTTTTATTTTGGGGATCCTAGATACCAGGTTAGGAGCCCTGGCTTTAGAGGCATGGTTCTCAGTCTGGGGCCATTTTATTTCCCTTACCTCCACCCCACTCCACAGGACCCTTGGTAATATCTGTAGACACTTTTGATTGTCATGACTAGGGTGGTACGCTACTGGCTTCGAGTGGGTAGAGGTTAAGGAGGCTGTTACACATCCTATGATGTACAGGTAGTCGTATAGAACAAATAATTATCTGGCTGAAAATATCAATAGTGCCAAAGTTAAGAAATTCTGCATTAGCGTAATAAGATTTAGGTTTGAGTCCAAAAGCTGGTACTTAAAAATGGAGTACTTGGAAAATATTTCCATTCTGAATTTTGGTTTTTTGATCTGTAAAATGAGGGCAAGATCTATATCATTAGGCTTTTGTGAGGATAAAATAAAGTGAAAGTGTATAAAAAGGAATAATGCATTATACAAATTATTTTCTTTTGAGTCCTTGGAGTATACAGGGTCATTTCAGGAACTATTTCTCGGGACAGATGGAGAGGCTTCAAGGTTAGAATATTCAGGTATCTAAGCCACTCTTTAACCAGGTATTTTCTGCTTTTTATCTATTTTATATATTGAGCTTCCCTGAAAGATTATTGAAAAACATAAAATTCTTTGCAGCTCAATATAATGCTAGACATAATTATTGTAAATATATTATGACAACCAAATATAAGCAAAAATTCTGAGCTCTTTATTCCTTAACATTTAATGACTTGCATGTTCATATTATTGCAGAGGTTACGTTAGCTAGCATTACTTTGGGACAAAGTTTGAACACAGCAACTTGAGAAGAAAAACATACATTTAATATGCTTCCATGTGATACATTTTGATGAATATTTTCTCTGTACGAGTATTGAAAACTCATCAAATAAAGGGACTGAGATAACTCATATTTCAAAACCACCTTTTCTTCTACTGCTGAAACAGAATGGAACTTTCTGTTTTTCAGTTTCATGCATATGGTAATCAGTTTGCTTTGCTTTGAACTACATAATTGTAAGAATCACAGGATATCCAAAGCCTGTCCATGTATATTTATGTTCACTAACACAGTTACATGAGGGATCAGCAGAAATACTACTGGTTCTGTTGGTTTAAATTAAATTCCTTAATCAATCCCTTGAGAAGTGTTATCCAGGAGGTAACTGCCAAATGTGCATGAATCTTTTATGCGCTTCATTCTATAGCAGATTCTGGGAGGCTGGCAAATGTGAATTTTGCACAACAAAAATGAATGGCTGACATCAGACAAGGCGTCTGGTGGTTTCCTGATCTTGGAAACCTAATAACACAGGCTTGGCAAAGCAGAACACAAATATGATAAAGTTTTCTTGTCTTAGACCTCCCCCCATCCACCTCCCTTAAAATAGCAGAAGATAAGATATACTCTTTGATTCCTTATGCTGAGACTTTATCATTATTTAGTCCCTCAAAAGACTATGTAAACACAGAACCATCCTTATCATCCACTTTATCAATCGAGAAAGCCATGGCTCAGAGAGGTTGTGTAATTTGCCCAAAGTCACTCAGCTTGTAAGTAGCTGAATGAGGACAGGAACGCAGGGCTTTTTATTTCAAGAGCACATGGTCTTAGCCTCTACTAGAGACTGCCTCTCCTAATTTAACCCTTCCTCTCCTCCCTGCCCCCAGAATGAAGTGATTATTTAAGCCCCACATTTGCCCTAGCGGTAGGATGAGTTACAAAGTGATAAGCCACTCTGGACTTGCTTCTTTGTCATTTTCTTATCAAGGCTAACTTGAAGTAAACATACAGAGTAAATACATTTTGGTTGTGGCCTTTGTGGTTTTCCTCTTTCCATGCTTCACTGAATTGTACCCTGTTCCAGGAAGCTGACTGGGAACTACCCATTGGCTTAATTGGAAGTTGCCAAAATCCAGAGAAAAAAGCTGTCAAAGTTTTGGCTCTTGAACTTTGCAAAGGCTTTATTTCAAGGAAAACACGAATACAATTTGAAAACAGATTTAATCTACTTGTTGACCTCCTTTCCTAGACTGAAAAAATAATTTCTTCTAGCTGAATAGGAATGGCCATTTGGACAGGAGCTAAGTCCACAAGGAAAGACCCCTAAGCTCCACACAGCAAGTACAGTTGGCCAGCAGCACTGGGGCTGAGACACCAGGGCCCTTGAGAGTTAGCCTGAATGAAGCTCATCCTTCCAGTTCTATGGGTCAGAACTCCCCATCAAAAGTAACCAGTGGAGTGCAGCTTTTGAGATGTCCTTCAGAAGTGACACTTGCCTGTATGCCTGACATTGTTCAGTCTTCCATTTGGCTTACTTTTGGGGGTAACAACCTTCTCTAAATATTGAAATTGAGTACTGGGGTCATGTGACACTTATGGGTTGGTGTGCAAGTGGGGAGAGAAGAGACCCCTATCTAGGCAACATGGAATATCTGGAACAGTCTTCTATGTCCAATAGCTCATAGATAGTCATAGAAAAGAACCCTTTCTACATATAGATAATTTTATCTTTCCTATGTGCTCAGTAAAAGGTCTAAAATAATTGTGAGATTCCAGAGGGAGGATAATAATAACGGGCCTCAAGTCTATGGATAATTCTTATATTGACTGAAGTAATTTAATTACTAATTGTAAATGCAGCTAACATTCATTGTCTTTTTAAATGTGTGCCAGGCACTATGTCAAACATTTTATGTACATTATTGCTTATAATCTGCATAAAATCCCTATTAGATGATATTGTTTTTATTATTACAGATATAGAAACTGAGTCTTAATAAGGTTAAGTGTATGTAGCAAGAAGTAAAATTTGGATTTGAGCCAGGAATTTGGGTTTTTCTTGCTTTAAGAGTTGAGAAAAAATGAAGAAGAGGGCCAAATAGTAAAAGAGGATGGAAGCATTATCCAATCATTTTGCCTGGAAGAAAAATACGTATTCATGTATGTATATAAATACTTGCATGAGTGTAAATGTATACATGTATGTGTATGCATGCATAATCTTTCAATGTATGTGTGTGTACATATACACACATAGGAAGAGAGAAAAAAATCTACCTTCAATGTGTGTGTGTGTGTGTGTGTGTGTGTGTGTGTGTGTATGTATATATGGTTTACTTTCAAACAGATTGTGTCTTCTATAGAACAAAACCTCAATCTCAATAATAAAATAATAACTGACAGATATCCTGAGTCTGGGTGGGATGCCCTCATCTGTGTTCTCCTGTGTAATAATTTTTTCAATTGTGTGACTCTCTTTTCTTTCTCTGTCAACTAAGTTTCCAGCAGGGCAGGGACTACAACTTGTTTATTGTTATTATTATTTAATCCCACAGCCTAGTACAGCCCATGACCAGCCTAAGTTTGCCTAGCTAGCAAGTGGGATTCGAACTCAGGTAGTCTGGCACTAGAGCCAAACTTTTAGCCACCAATTTGTCCTACTGTGCCCAGAACAATCCTCTCCCAGAAGCACCGCCTTGTGACTTTGGGGCATGGCTTCTTCCTTGGTGTGGGGGTAAATCAGATTTTCCTTGTATTTACTTTCCTTATGTGTTGCACACAAGATTGGCAGGAAATAAACTACCCAGAGAAATGTCTGACTCCAAGCTTAAGAACAAATCTGAGTATCCATAGTCCCTTCCATCATATCACCAATTTCTTATTTAGCATGTGCATTGAAATGTGAATAAATATAGCATATTAGGATGCTCCAGATGACTGGTAGCTGCCTGGGAGGATTTTATTCTGCAAAGCTCCTGTATAACATGATAGATGGAAATGTTCAAGAATACAGCACAGAAATTATAGAGGCATATATTAAACAGGGAGGTTCTTAAGGCTTTTTAAAGCCAACGCACCATAAGGATTTTTTGTCTTTTGGCTTTTTTCCTTAGGATGCTGTAGGTAGGTAATCTAAATTATGGATACTTGGTTTATGGATAATTAACTACTGAATAAACGAGAGTTCACTACAGTGAACTCATCATTACAGTAACGGTTCACATCATCTAGTCTGTGAATAATTGATTATGGTACTCCTGCCCTGCTTCTTGGCCCTGTTTATTGCTTATAAGCAGTCCCATAAAGTTAAACTCAGGTTTCGTCAGAAAGCAGGAATAAAATGTATACAGAGATATTCATTATAGCACTATTTATAACAGCAAAATCTGGAAACAACCTACTTGTTCAATAATAGATTAGTAGTTAAATAAATTTTGGCTTCTCTGGGTAAAGGAATATTTTGGATGTAGTGGGATAGTGTTTGTAAGGAAAACTTCATTATAATTACATGCTTAAAACATAAGAGACAGAGGAATACCTAAAGTATTTGACATCTAGGGTGAATTATTTTTAATTTTTTCCCTCCTTTCTATAGATCAAAATTATTTTCACTGATTAATTTCTGTAATTACCAGTTATAATTTTTAAAATTTATTTAGTTAATATAGAACCATAAAGTATAACAAATAATAATGTTAAAAAAGAAGCATGAATTATAGAATTCTTATCTTGAACTTTTTCATATGTAATCATGCCAGTAAAGAAAACGGAATAAAATAAAATGTAAAAATGAATAACACAGTACTAAGAATGAAAATAAACAAATTAGTATTTTTAGACTACATTTTTTTAAAGAAGGGGAGGGGAAGCCACAATACTTCCAAACATTGGATTCCCAGTGTTTCAGAGAATGATCTGCACATACAAAGACATAGTTGAAGTAACTCAACTTCTGTTTATCTTTACAACCATTATGTTGCCACTTTTTATTAAAATCTACTAGTTAAGTGCAGGAATATACAGCACAGGAGTTGAATACATGAACTGCATCCAAAGTGAGCTTGAATGATTCTAAATCCTATAGAACTAACTTTCCAAAAGAGAGGAACACGGGTAGTTAATTATGTGTGTCATGGACCATACATGGAGTCGTTTGGATTAATTCTCATGTACATAACAAAGTTATTAATGTGTAACTAATGAAAATGTGCTCATTTGAAGCTTAAATATATACTAGTAAAACTCACCCATGTCTTCATTAATTGTTTAGAACCTAGATCAACAAAAAGGATTTGAAGAAAAAGAATATTTTCTCCCTGATATTTAGGATCACTGGAACATTGTGAGACTATGAGGCAGGCTGAATTTTACTTGATTTTATTTATTAATCGTTGCTTTTAATTTCTCTATATGTTCCTTCCCCCTTATTGCTTGCATCTGAGGTGAACCACTTCCACTGTCCCACTCCTGAAACGTTACTGATGATATATCTCTGAAAGAAAGAAAATAATATAAAATTGTGTATAGGGTAAACTGGAAAGGAGCCTCTGAAGCTGCCTTCTGCACAAAGAAGGCTGAAATGGCCCAGTGAGATTTCTGGGGTTTATAGCATTTGTGATACCTGAAATAAGTGTGCCACCTGGGCCAGGACTGATTAAGCCAGGGAAAGAGATGCCCCATATTGGATGGTGGCCAACAGACAAATCAGTGCCTCTTTCTGGAGAAGTAGGAATGCCAAATGCGCAGATGAGGTAGGTTAATTACATTTGAGTATTCATTAAACTGTTGTTTTGGTTCTCATGATGTCAGTCTTGGAAACACTGCCACCCACATGATTATCTACTATATTTTGAGGTTTTATTTTAGGCAATAAACCTTTTATTATCCAAGCTTATCTCTGTGGCCAAACTTAAATAATGGTTTAGTTTATAAATATGAACAAATAAAATAGGGCTATACTATAAATACTAGCAGGGAATATATAAACATGTTAATAATGGGTAGGCTCTCAGGGCTGTGAGATAATAAATGCACTTTTCCCCTAACATTTTCCTGCATTTTCTATATTATTTATCATGAACGTGTGTTGATGACATGTCAGAAAAATATTATCAGAGATAACTTTATTTTATATTTTCAACTTGATTGCCTTTAAAAGGAGAGAAGAAACAACCTTTATAAATTCTTTGCATAGAAGTAAGTTCTTTGCTTTGGTAAAACTAGTACATTTTATACTAATAGCACAAACTAAAAGTGCTATAACCTGCTGAGACTAAATACAGTTTAACCTGGGCTGGTTATCTTAATTTGTGTTCGTATGCTATAGGATAAACAAACCATTTGAAGTTCTTCCAGGGAAGTAAGAGACCAAGATAATGGTCAGGTAGTTACCTTGGACAGCAAAGGTGAAGTTGGGTTAGTGCTTTTGACAATCTCTTGCCTATACTGAAAGGTTATTTTTGAAGACAAGAGTACCGAATGTTCCAAGCTCCCACTGTTGTCATGGAAACATTTCAGCTAGCTGAATAGGTTAGGAGGATTTTATGTTCCCCACTCTGACAAATACAAGAAGGCATGATCCTAGCTTTGCATTTCTAATCAGAAAACTTCAGTTTTCAATTCTTCTAGCACTTGATTAGTCAAATTTTCTTAATGTTTCCCTCCCCACTCCACAACAGAAAGCAACAGGCAATTCTCTTTTAAAAATTATTCCCACTTTAGAAGCAGAGCCAAAATTGTGACTGGGCTGACCTTGCTGTGCTTGGGAGTAATATTGCTTGCAGCTCTGAAAGGCTCCTGCAGGTTAATTTAGGCTCCTGCAGAAACTCTTCTGATTTGTACTCACTTTCAGTGGTTTCCTGGAGGTAAACTCACTTACTAATAGGCAGGAATTATTCCTCATTTTAGCAGCAACAGACTGCCAACAGTAGCTTATAATGCACAGGTAAGCTTTTGGAAAATGGCATCCTAAGGCTAAAACCAAAACAGCCATGTCATGTGCATACATTCAGAGCCAGCCAATCAGACTTTTTCCTATTATTTATCTGTAACAGCCCTCAACACTGTTTTGGAAGATAGAAATAGTCTAAGAATCCAAAGGCGAACTGGACAACTAACAACTGCATTGCAGGCAAAAGACTGACCAATTAGGTTGAGCTAGTTGAAGCTGGAATTTGTTGGACTTCTTTAAGAGTCATCAGACTCAGCCTGTGTGTGTGTGTGTGTGTGTGTGTGTGTGTGTGTGTGTGTAGGGAGAGTTGACAAGGACACCTTAGAGCATCAGGTTTGTTAAGTAGTGAATAATGTAAAAATTAAGTTTGATGTAACAATTAAGAATGTGGGCTCTTCTAGCTATGTGAATTTGAGGAGTTCCTCTTGCATCTCAGCTTCTTTATCAGTATAACGGAAATGCTTGTGGTGAGAATTAAAGAGTTAATACATGTACATAGTGTATCATCCCCGACACATAATACATGTTAAGTAGCTATATTTGGCATGACAAAGACACGGGGAAGAAAGAAAACAAAAGAGCATAAAAACATAGAATAGAGAAAAAGAATATAAGAGAAAAGGACCAGGAAAGAATGAGGTGCATCTGGCTATAAGGTAATCTCTTTTCTAGTTGCCTCAATTGTTGGATGTTGACAAAAACCTACCCCCTCCCCCACACCTCACACTAAACCCCACTGGAGCCATCTATCACTGGATGCAACTAAGTGAAATGATTTTACAGAATTAATTTGACTAATATAATGGTTCTCATTATTTAATTAGCTCCAATGAAATTCTGTTTTCTGTTTTGTTAAACGTCCCAATGTCTGTTCTGCACTAATGCAATGATGCTTGCCTAAGAAACCTTAAGTTAATAAAGAAGTGCATAATGAAAAGTGCTGTTTCAATGGGGCAGAAAGGGTTTGTGATTAGAGGGTTTCAGCCTTGCCATAGCAGAATTATATTTCTTCTGAGAATTAAATAGTGTATTTAAAATACATCTGTATATTCTTCTTGCAAGCTAAAAGTAACAAATTGACTGATGCAAATGAATAAAAAAGAAATCAACCTGAACATCATTAAGTAAATCTCAAACAGTGCTTAAATTCAGACCAAAATAAATGATTTTGGAGACCATCAAAATAAGTTGTAGCACATGTTTCAACTCCAACATTAAACTAAAACATGGTTGCCAAATGAGAAACCAAAAATGAAAATAAAACAGCTTGGGTTTTCATTTTGCATGAAACACAGTTTTCCTATACTCACAAAATGGATTTTTGTATAAATGCTTTGTTTTTGAAGAGTTTTGTATAATAATAAATGATAACATGTACAGTGCAAAGTGTATCCTCCCTTTAGTCAATCACATTATGTCCAATATGTTATAAAATTTGCCCAGTAGAAAAAAGTTCTACTTCAGCTAGCTGATAGTAATAAGCATTTTAATGCTATCAGTACATATTGCTTTGTATTTATTCTCTTGCTTTTTCCATGTGGCTTTTCTCATTGAAATTACACATTTCAAAAATCTTTTTATTCAAACTAAGCACTTTTAGTGGATACTTACAAATGAATGGATGCATTAATGACTAAGTAATGGGGATTATGATTTGGGGAGCTTAGCGAATAGTAAAATTAAATGATACTCTTACCTTCTACAAATGAATTATTATTTAAATCAAATTTCATTTTAATGATGTAATACATGCACATAGGAAAAAAACTAAAAGATTTTAAGGAAATAAAGCATCCCCTACCCTTCTCTTTTCCACTCCTTAGGCTTTCTGAAGGAAATCATTTGAACCATTTTAGCTTTTTCTTCTGACGTTTTATATTTTGAAACATTCTTCTTTTGCAATGTATCCTAACAGCCAATTTTCTGACATCAACAGGGTGTCTAACAATTCAATTAAATCCAGAGTGAGTTTACTATTTCATTTTGTTGTAGCACATTTTACAGCAACTTTGTAAGAAAGTATATAAATGGAGGTAAATTTTTTTTAGTTTTGAAGTATCAGGTCATATTTTTACTCTTATATTAATAGATGATTTATTACACATGGAATTTTTGGGTTGAGTCATTTTATCTCAGGATTTTGAAAGTGCTTCTTCACTTTCTGTAGATTCCAGTTCTGCTGATGACAAGTCAAGTGCCATTCTTTTCCCTCCTCTTTGAATATGATTTAAGTTTTCTTCCTGGAACCTCTCTGAAATTTTTTTATCTTCAGGAGGTGCTAATTTCATAGTGATGGGCCTTCAAGTGCATCTTTTTAATTTATTGATCTGGGAATTTTGGCGAGTCTTTCAACATGACAACTTACTTTTTTTTTCCAATCTATTAAAGTCATCTCCATTTATTTAACAATTTTCCTTTCTCTCTCTTTTTATTTTTTTTGAGATGGAATTTCACTCTTGTCACCCAGGCTGGAGTGCAATGGTGCAATCTCAGCTCACTGCAACCTCCGCCTCCCGGGTTCAAGCAATTCTCCTGCCTCAGCCTTCTGAGTAGCTGAGATTACAGCCGCCTGCCACCATGCCTGGCTAATTTTTATATTTTCAGTAGAGATGGGGTTTTGCATTGTTGGCCAGGCTTGTCTCGAACTCCTGACCGCAGGTGATCCGCCTGCCTCGGCCTCACAAGGTGCTGAGATTACAGGCGTGAGCCACCGCAACTGGCCTTCATTTTTTTTTTTCTTATTCTCTATGAAACTGTCATTTCGATGACTGAATCTTTAGTTGATATTTAAATTTTTTAGTTTTTTATCTTTCATTATTCATCTCTTTTCTTTTTTTCTACTTTCTATGAGGCTTGCTTGGTTTTTATTCCTACTCTTTCACTGATATTTTTTCCTTAAGAGCTATAATATTTTTAATTTCCAAGAACTCTTTTTTGTTGTTCTTTTAAAAACAACATACCATTTGTGTTTTATGTATAAAGTCTCATCTCTCTTTCTATGAAGGCACTTTTTAAAAATGCCTTTATTCTTGAAATAATTTTGTCTTGTTTGCTGTCTCTGTTTCTTTTAAATTCTATTTACCCCCTCTGTCTCTTAAGGAGAAAGATTTTTTTTCAAATTGCTAACACTCACTGTTTGCTGTTTGTTCATTTTAATAGTAAGGCATTTAAAAAGCAGGACAGGTATATTTAGAATTGTCGTATCTTCTTGTTGAATTGATCACTTTACCATTATATATTAATCTTCTTTGTTCTTTTTTACTGTTATCCACCAGAGCAACTAGATTCATAAAATAAACACTACTAGACCTGTGAAAAGAGATATACAGCAATACAGTAAGAGTGGGGGACTTCAACACTCCACAGAAAGCATTAAGCAGATCATCAAGACAGAAAATCAGCAAAGAAACACTGAACATAAACTGGACCCTCAACCAAATGGACCCAACAGACATTCACAGAATATTCTGTCCAGCAGTTGAAGAATATATATATTCTTCTTCTCTGTGCATGGAACATTCTCTAAATTAGATCATATATTAAGCCACAAAACAAGTTTCAATAAATTTCAACAAATTGAAATCATATTGAATATCTTTTCAGACCACAGTGAAATAAAGTAGAAATTAATTCCACGAGGAACTCTCAAAACTATACCAATATATGAAATTAAACAACCTGCTCCTGACCGATCTTTGGGTCAATGATGAAATTAAGACAGAAACTAAATTGTAATTAATTAATTGCAATTCCTTTCAAAATACCGATGCCATTTCTCACAGAATTAGAAAAAACAATCCTAAAATGTATATGGAACCAAAAAAAGAGCCCAAATGGCCAAAACAATCCTAAGCAAAAAGAACAAAGCTGGAGGCATCACATTACTTGACTTCAAAATATATTACTAGGCAACAGTAACCAAAACAACATGGTACTGCTATAAAATTATAGAACAGAATAGAGAACCCAGAAGTAATGCTACAGAGCTACAACCAACCAGTCTTTGATAAAGTGGACAAAAACAAACTGGGGAAAGGATACCCTATTTAATAAATGGTGCTAGGAAATTAGATAGTCATATGCAGAGAAATGAAACTGCTCTCATATCTCTCAGTATATACAAAAATAATTCAAGATAAATTCAAGGTTAAATGTAAGACCTGAAACTATAAAAATTGTAGAAGAAAATCTTGGAAATACACTTCTGGACATTGGCCTAAGTAAAGAATTCATAACTAAGACCTCAAAAGCAAATGCAACAAAAACAAAGTAGACAAATGTGACTTAAACTAAAAAGCTTCTGCACAGCAAAAGAAACAATCAACAGAGTGAACAGACAACATGTAAATTAGAGAGAATGTTTTGCAAACTATACATCTGGCAAAGAACTAATATCTAGAACTAGAAGAAATTCAAACAAGTCAACAACAACAACAAAAAACAAATGACCCCCGTAGGCAGTGAGCAAAGGACATGAGCAGACATTTCTCAAAAGAAGGCATATAAATGGCCAACAAGCATATGAAAAAATGCTCAACATCACTAATCCTCAGAGAAATGCAAATTAATTCCACAATGAGATACCATCTTACACCAGTCAGAACACCTATTATTAAAAAGTCAAAAATCATAGATGTTGGCAAGAATGTGGAGAAATGAGAGCACTTATATACTGTTGGTGGGCATATAAACTAGTACAACCTCTATGGAAAACAGCATGGAGATTTCTCAAAGAAATAAAAATAGAACTACTATTTGATCCAGCAATCCCACACCCAAAGGAAAATAAATTATTATGTCAAAAGATATCTGCGCTCATATGTTTATTGCAGCACTATTCACAATGGCAAATATATTGAATCAACCTAAGTGTACATCAATGAATGACTGGATGAATAAAATGTGGTATGTATATATATATATCATGGAATACTTTTCAGCCATAAAAAACAATGAAATATGTCTTTCAGCAATATGGCTGGAACTGGAGGCTATAATCTTTAGGGAAATAACTCAGACACAGAAAGTCAAATATTGCACATTCTCACCTATAAGTGGGAGCTAAATAATGTGTACACATGTACACAGAGTGGAATAATAGATATTGGTTACTCAGAAAATTGAGAGGGGAGTGATGGTTACACTAAAAGGCCAGACTTTACCACTATGAAATATATCCATGTAACAAAACTGTGCTAAATCTATTAAAAAAAGATGACCTGACTAAGTAGGACTTATTTTAGGCATTTTAGAATTAGCAAAATTTATCAGCATCATTCTTTACGTTATTGTGTCTAAGGAGAAACAATCACAGAAAGCACATAGTGCATGATTCCCTGTATATAAAATTCTAGAAAATGCAAACTCATTTATAGTGACAAAAAGCAGATCAGTGGTTGCTTGAAGGTCCTGGGCAAAGAGAAAGATTGATTGCAGAAGCGTAAAAGGAAACTTTGGGGGTGATGGAAAAGTTCTGTATCTTGATTGTGTTGGTAATTCCCCCAGGTGTATACAGTGTATTTGTGAAAATTCATGTAATTCTACACTTTAAATGTATCACTTATTAAATGGAAATTATACCTCAATAACAAATTATTTTTCTAAAAGAGAAAAAAGCAAGGCAGAGGTTTTCATCTCATGGTTTGCATTTGAGACTTGACCTTTGAGTTATATGCTATTAACTGTGAAGCGTTTCAGTTTCTTTAAAGACAAATCCCCAAAGAGTAGGCATACCCTGGGGTGCCCCTGGGATGCCAGTGGTCTGTGAACAGAGGGATGTTAATGGATACTGGATGTTCCAGTATGAGACTATGTAGGCTTACATTTAATTCCTTGCTTTCTCTTTGGTGCTTCACCATTGCCCCATAACATAGGGCCATGAGTCCAAATTCTCTGGTTTATTTTTTCAGCATATAAAACTCTTCTAGCCTTTGAATGCTTGGCGGGGTGGGGGAAGGATAGTTGCTGGGTTGCAAACATTGTAGGAAAAAATACGGGTTTAAGTCTTTCCTATGAAGTCTTTCTATCTACTCTGTTTTCAGCTCCAAGCTCTACCTTGATTTGCTTGTTTTTTTGTTTGTTTCTTTTGTTTTTGAGATAGAGTCTTGCACTTTTGCCCAGGCTGGAGCGAAGTGGGGTGAACTCGGCTCACTACAGCCTCCCTCTTCTGGGCTCAAGTGATCCTCCCAGCTCTGCCTCCTGAGTAGCTGGGACTACAGGTGTGTATCACTACACCTGGCTGATTTTTTTTTTTTTATTTTTTTTGTAGAAGTGAACTTTCGTCATGTTTTGAATTCCTGGGCTCAAATAATCCACTGGCCTTGGCCTCCCAAAGTGCTGGGATTACAAGTGTGAACACTGATGTTTAATAGAACATTTTGTTTCCATTCTCAAGCTTATCTTCAGTTCTAAGGAATGTTATCATTTGCTTTACCACTATCTATTTGTATAGATACATAAGAATTTAGCTTTTCCTTCTCAGCAAACTCAGTGTCCTTTCATTTATAGACTTCTAACCTACAAAGTATTTATTGATATTCCCTCCCTGCTGTTGTTTCCCTCTAGTTCTTTTTGTTTGTTTTGTCATTGAGGGTTTACTTTGTTTTTATTTCTCCTCTATCATTTTGGTGTTTAAAGAGTGGGCAGAGATTGACTCATGTATTCACTCCTCTGTGTTTAACCAGCATTCTCTAAAAATCCCAGTATTTTAGAAATGATTTAGTGGTTTGATATTTAGGAAGCCTTCACAGTGAAGTCCTGGAGTCAAACATGCATCACTTGGTCTCTGCACTTTCCATGAGACTGTTGTTTTTCTCTTCTTCCCGGTGACTTCTTACTTCTCCCCTAGTCATATTTACTGCTTGTGTGTTACAGAAAAGGTGGCTATCCGATGGGTTATTTTAAGAGTTCAAGGTAATCCTCCTTGCATCCACTAAATCTATCTATATTTCATGCAATATTTAATTTTGCCTTAAAATTTTAATTCTTGTTAATGTTAAGCTCTTTTCCATTATTTATTTATTTATTTATTTATTTATTATTATTATACTTTAAGTTTTAGGGTACATGTGCACAATGTGCAGGTTAGTTACATATGTATACATGTGCCCTGCTAGTGTGCTGCACCCATTAACTCATCATTTAGCATTAGGTATTTCTCCTAAAGCTATCCCTCCCCCCTCCCCCCACCCCACAACAGTCCCCAGTGTGTGATGTTCCCCTTCCTGTGTCTATGTGTTCTCACTGTTCAATTCCCACCTATGAGTGAGAACATGCGGTGTTTGGTTTTTTGTCCTTGCAATAGTTTGCTGAGAATGATGGTTTCCAGCTTCATCCATGTCCCTACAAAGGACATGAACTCATCATTTTTTATGGCTGCATAGTATTCCATGGTGCATATGTGCCACATTTTCTTAATCCAGTCTATCATTGTTGGAATTTGGGTTGGTTCCAAGTCTTTGCTATTGTGAATAGTGCTGCAATAAACATATGTGTGCATGTGTCTTTATAGCAGCATGATTTATAGTCCCTTGGGTATATACCCAGTAATGGGAAGGCTGTGTCAAATGGTATTTTTAGTTCCAGATCCCTGAAGAATCGCCACACTGACTTCCACAAGGGTTGAACTAGTTTACACTCCCACCAACAGTGTAAAAGTGTTCCTATTTCTCCACATCCTCTCCAGCACCTGTTGTTTCCTGACTTTTTAATGATCGCCATTCTAACTGGTGTGAGATGGTGTCTCATTGTGGTTTTGATTTGCATTTCTCTGATGGCCAGTGATGATGAGCATTTTTTCATGTGTCTGTTGGCTGCATAAATGTCTTCTTTTGAGAAGTGTCTGTTCATATCCTTTGCCCACTTTTTGATGGGGTTGTTTGTTTTTTTCTTGTAAATTTGTTTGAGTTCATCGTAGATTCTGGATATTAGCCCTTTGCCAGATGTGTAGTTTGCGAAAATTTTCTCCCATTTTATAGGTTGCCTGTTCACTCTGAAGGTAGTTTCTTTTGCTGTGCGGAAGCTCTTTAGTTTAATGAGATCCCATTTGTCAATTTTGGCTTTTGTTGCCATTGCTTTTGGTGTTTTAGACATGAAGTCCTTGCCCATGCCTATGTCCTGAATGGTAATGCCTAGGTTTTCTTCTAGGGTTTTTATGGTTTTAGGTCTAACATTTAAGTCTTTAATCCATCTTGAATTGATTTTTGTATAAGGTGTAAGGAAGGGATCCAGTTTCAGCTTTCTACATATGGCTAGCCAGTTTTCCCAGCACCATTTATTAAATAGGGAATCCTTTCCCCATTGCTTGTTTTTCTCAGCTTTGTCAAAGATCAGATAGTTGTAGATATGCGGCGTTATTTCTGAGGGCTCTGTTCTCTTCCATTGATCTATATCTCTGTTTTGGTAAAAGTACCATGCTGTTTTGGTTACTGTAGGCTTGTAGTATAGTTTGAAGTCAGGTAGCGTGATGCCTCCAGCTTTGTTCTTTTGTCTTAGGATTGACTTGGTGATGCGGGCTCTTTTTTGGTTCCATATGAACTTTAAAGTAGTTTTTTCCAATTCTGTGAAGAAAGTCATTGGTAGCTTGATGGGGATGGCATTGAATCTATAAATTACCTTGGGCAGTATGGCCATTTTCACGATATTGATTCTTCCTACCCATGAGCATGGAATGTTCTTCCATTTCTTTGTATCCTCTTTTATTTCATTGAGCAGTGGTTTGTAGTTCTCCTTGAAGAGGTCCTTCCTGTCCCTTGTAAGTTGGATTCCTAGGTATTTTATTCTCTTTGAAGCAATTGTGAATGGGAGTTCACTCATGATTTGGCTCTCTGTTTGTCTGTTATTGGTGTATAAGAATGCTTGTGATTTTTGTACATTGATATCCTGAGACTTTGCTGGAGTTGCTTATCAGGTTAAGGAGATTTTGGGCTGAGACAGTGGGGTTTTCTAGATATACAATCATGTCATCTGCAAACAGGGACAATTTGACTTCCTCTTTTCCTAATTGAATACCCTTTATTTCCTTCTGCCTAATTGCCCTGGCCAGAACTTCCAACTCTATGTGGAATAGGAGTGGTGAGAGAGGGCATCCCTGTCTTGTGCCAGTTTTCAAAGGGAATGCGTCCAGTTTTTGCCCATTCAGTATGATATTGGCTGTGGGTTCGTCATAGATAGGTCTTATTATTTTGAGATTTGTCCCATCAATACCTAATTTCTTGAGAGTTTTTAGCATGAAGTGTTGTTGAATTTTGTCAAAGGCCTGTTCTGCCTCTATTGAGATAATCATGTGGTTTTTGTCTTTGGTTCTGTTTATATGCTGGATTACATTTATTGATTTGCATATATTGAACCAGTCTTGCATCCCAGGGATGAAGCCCACTTGATCATGGTGGATAAGCTTTTTGATGTGCTGCTGGATTCGGTTTGCCAGTATTTCATTGAGGATTTTTGCATCAATGTTCATCAAGGATATTGGTCTAAAATTCTCTTTTTTGGTTGTGTCTCTGCCCGGCTTTGGTATCGAAGCCCATCAGACTAACAGCGGATCTCTTGGCAGAAACTCTACAAGCCAGAAGAGAGTGGGGGCCAATATTCAACATTTTTAAAGAAAAGAATTTTCAACCCAGAATTTCATATCCAGCCAAACTAAGCTTCACAAGTGAAGGAGAAATAAAATACTTTACAGACAATCAAATGCTGAGAGATTTTGTCACCACCAGGCCTGCCCTAAAAGAGCTCCTGAAGGAAGCACTAAACATGGAAAGGAACAACTGGTACCAGCCACTGCAAAATCATGCCAAAATGTAAAGACCATCGAGGCTAGGAAGAAACTGCATAAACTAATGAGCAAAATAACCAGCTAACATCATAATGACAGGATCAAATTCACACACAACAATATTAACTTTAAATGTAAATGGACTAAATGCTCCAATTAAAAGACACAGACTGGCAAATTGGATAAAGAGTCAAGACCCATCAGTGTGCTGTATTCAGGAAACCCATCTCACATGCAGAGACACACATAGGCTCAAAATAAAAGGATGGAGGAAGATCTACCAAGGAAATGGAAAACAAAAAAAAGGTAGGGGTTGCAATCCTAGCCTCTGATAAAACAGACTTTAAACCAACAAAGATCAAAAGAGACAAAGAAGGCCATTGCATAATGGTAAAGGGATCAATTCAACAAGAAGAGCTAACTATCCTAAATATGTATGCACCCAATACAGGAGCATCAGATTCATAAAGCAAGTCCTTAGTGACCTACAAAGAGACTTAGACTCCCATATAATAATAATGGGAGACTTTAACACCCCACTGTCAACATCAGACAGATCAACGAGACAGAAAGCTCTTTTCCATTATTTATAATTTGGAATACATTTTAGCTTCTTCATGAGGTTTGGTAAAAGCTAGGGTTGAGAATACTAGAGAAATGAGCCACAAAATGTGATGTATATATCACCACCAAAGAAAGTACTCATGTCCTTGGCTCAGATATGAAGTTTATAGTATTAAAACCCAAGGTTATTCTGGAACCTATAAAATCTGGGTCTGATTCCTGCCTCAGCCGCTTGTCATATAACCTTGAGCTAATGATTTAATCTTCCTCATTAACCTTACTCATTCCTCATTACAAATTGTTGTTAATAATGCCTATTTTGTATGATGTTGAGCAGACTGAATGAGATAATTAACAAAAAAACTAAGGTGATTGAGAGACGTGAATGAGATAATAAATGAAGAAATTTAGAACACTGAACACTGTCTTGCCTGCAAAAGTATACTATAAACATTATTGACTTTTAACATACAAACAGAGCTTATAGATACTACAGAAAACACTTACTTGATTTAGAGACAAGGTTTGGTTTTGCTCAGTATTTTTATTATTTTTTATTTTCTTTTCTCCCTCATTTGCCAAGTTTATGATTACAAACATGGTGGATCACCCAAATCATTAAACTTAGAATTTTGGGGTAGCTGTGCGTTATTCTCACTAGTGTGGGAAAACCTTCTGCACAATGTGAAGGCTGGATTTGTTTGTGGCTGAAAGTGAATTCATAGAGGCATGCTGGGATTGTTAAATGGGGCTCTCTCAAAGATGGATGTCAGTTGCTGCATGATCAATTTGGCTGTGGGGACTAGAATTGATCACATCAATGGTGGCAATGAAAGTTCCATTCAAGGCTGCAGTTTACTTAAGACAACTGCATATGGATGGACATGACCTGGAATAGATTCACTTGATTAAAGCTCCAAGGCAGCAAGCAGAAATTTGGGTAGGGATATGAGAACTAGGAAATTTTATCAATAGTTTCTGTGTAATTTGTTAGAATAGAAATTTACTAGAGTGAAAATAACCCTAGGCTTAAAGATAAGAGTTCTAAATTTTACACTATGCTATTGCATCATTCATTTCCAACTTAATGAGACACTTTTTAGGAAAATAAATTTAACAGCTTTTGGCCATGTATATATTGATTGCAATTATCACAGTGATTTCATAGAAAATTTTGTTATTTTGTGCCCATAAACAAAATATACTGAATATTGTAATTCGGTAGGAAATTGAGTCTTGACTAATACATTGTCATTCTTTTGAATTCTGAATTTGAATATTTCCCTTTTCTTTTGCATATATTTGTGGTCACTTTACAATTTTCCTACAAAAACTGTTTTCTACATCTATTAACTTATGTTTGTTCTCATATCCTCAAGTCTTTATTATTAGGAATTGATGGTGGCCACATTGCCAGATTTATTTTTAATGTCTGATAATTTATAGCAACAACTCCATAGAATTTGATGGGAACTAATATATTTAAATGTTAAATGGTAGGAACATAATCTAAACTTATCTCTGATAAGCTCAGGGATTTGTGGTTTGTTATATTGTTGGGAAAACTCCTAAGAGTATATGTAACCATTATCTTGGCTATGATAGTACCCTTTTCTGAACTCTGATTAAAAATTCTAATCAGTTCTGGAAAGTTGAACATCCATCTGTTTTCTGATGATTTTATGTACTTTAACTTTAGTTACATATAACTGTATATGTCACTATATATGACACTCTATAATAAAAATATGATACACTGCAAGAAAATGAGTTATTTTAACTGAAGAGGAGGTGAACATGACAGAATTAATAGATACACTCTAGAATGCTGCTTCTCAACCTGAACTCTATTTTTACACATTAAAAATATTACTCTACATCATGTACAAGTTTGTTAGTTTAAACAGCCTCAAGAATCTCACAGAAACTTTGCTCCATTTGGTCTCATTTTTTCCCCATACTCTTTTAATTGGTTGTCTTGCTGATGAAAGGGGGAGGCAGTGGAGTGAAGTGTAAGACTGAGAAAATCAAGGGTTGCCATCTAGTATCTTTATAATGGTAGGACTGTAGACTGTTTTTATACAGACTCTCAGTGTCATATATGGTCACTTAGAACAAAGTAAAGTCTTTTTTTCTTTCCTAATTAGGGTGAACTGGTAAAGAGGCCAAAGAATGGATTTTTCACTAGTTTTTTTTTTTTCCTGACTCTTAGCTTTCCTTGATTTGTAAAAATTTATTTAGCTAGATAGTCACTTTGCCCTTCTCTAAACTCAGTTCCAAAATAAAGTAGAGAAGACACTTCTCACCAATCAACTTCTCACCAATCCACCCTCCCTCCCTACACCCACCCCACACACAGCAGGCTCTAGGAGCTTGTGCCTTGTGTCAAACTGTGAGATTTCAAGATCCTGCCTCCCCTAACTTTTAGCTGTAATCTTTGAGTAATTATATCAGTTAGGATTCCAGTGGAAAAGAGATGGTACACTCAAAGCTCAAAGTAGAATAATCTGATGAGAGTTTCACAAAGCAACTAATTTTCAAGTGTAAGCAATTTTGTAAGGAGCCTATGAGGGAGAGTGCAGCACTCCAGTTCTAGGAACAGAAGGGCTGTTACTATCACTAAACCTGAAGGGAAAAGGAAAAATATGGTCCCTGGAACCAGGAAGGAAAACGTTGTATAGATAGGTCCTATTCTACTTTGTTGAGTGACATAAACAGTGTAAGACAACAAACAGGGAGGGGGCTGAGGGAATAAAACATGGCCTCACTCTCTTTCCTATGTCTGATCTTCTACCAGGTTCTTCCATTGACTAAACCCAGATGGAAGCCTTCCACACAGCTCAGCTTGCTTGGGTAGAAAGCAGGTGGAAAAAAATGGAGAGTGGATATGAAGTGGCAAGTGGAAGATAACTGAAACAGTAAATGATATAACCTGTGAGCCATAGTTTCCTCATCTGTAAAGTAGGGCCAACATAGTACCTACTTTATAGAATGTGGTGAGAATTAAGTAAAATACCTGATATGGTTTGGATTTGTGTCCACGTCCAAATCTAATGTTGAATTGTAATCCTCAGTGTTGGAGGAGGGGTCTGGTGGGAGGTGATAAGATCATGGGTATGGACTTCCCTCTTGCTGTTCTTCTGACAGTGAGTGAGTTGTCACAAGATCTCATTGTTTATAGTGTGTAGCACCTCACTCTTCTCCCTCTCTCTCCTGCTCCACCATGTGAAAATATGCCTGCTTCTCCTTTGCCTTCTACCATGATTGAAAGTTTCCTGAGGCCTCCCTAGCCATGCTACCTGTACAGCCTACAGAACCAGGAACCAATTAAACCTTTTTTCTTTATAGATTATCCAGTCTCAGGTAGTTCTTCATAGCAATGCGAGAACAGACTAATACAATATTAGATGCAGAGCGTGTAGTGCAGTTCCTTGTACAAAACAGGGATTAAATGCAAAATAGCAAACATTAATTATTCTTACACACATGGGGGATTTTTTATCAAATGGAAAAAGAGTACCAAAATGGTCAGTAGCTGGGTGAAACCCATTAAATTCTTTCAAACCTTTTCTATTTTAGCATGTATGTAAACATATGAAATAATTCAAAACTATTTTTAACACAAAATTAGAACCATTCTAGTTCATATAGTTTATTACAGACCATGAGTCCTTAAAGAACATCTTCAAACTGGGCTTTTTCTATCCCTTCACTAAATACATCAGCAAGTCCTGTGTATTTGTCTTCATCCCCACACTTACTTAGCTCAAGCCCCTATCATCTCTGCTCTGAATTATTATACCAGCCTCTCAGATGGTCAACCAGGCTTCAGATTTCCCACTCCCTAATTCATTAGTGTGGCACTGATCCTTCTAAACTGGGCCTCGGACTAAATTTGTACTCTTCTTGAAGAAGACTTTTATCAGTAGATATCCAGGTTATTCCATGATCTGTGTCCTTTCTTCCTTTTCTGGCCCATCTCTGGCCATTTCCTTATTGCCTGCTTCATCAGTAACAAGCCACAGTCCCTGTAGTCCCCCAGTGCATCACCCCTATTCCAATGGTTCTCAAAGTGTGGTCCCAGGCCAGAAGCACCCAAATCAACTATGAAATGTTTGTTGGAAAGGTAAATCCTCAGGCTTTATATGAAACATTGTTAATCAGAATCTCCCTGAAAGAGGCCCAGCAATCTGTGTTTTAACAAGCCTTCCAGGCAAGTCTGGTGCACACTCAAGTTTAGAAGCCCTTGGCATGCCTCTTTGTCTTAGGTCACGATCATCACCCTTCTGGCATGTCAATTCTACTTATTTAATCTTCAAGACTCATTTCAGGCATCAAAGACTCCAGTATTGACTTCCTTACTTATTCTTCTTCTAGGAAGAGGACAATAAATGCTTGTAGATTTATTGATAACAAATTAACTTTAGTTTCCCTGAATCTCATTATTTGTTCAGATAACTCACTTATTTGAAAAGAATCAACCTAACTCTTGTGATAACTTTATGGGGGAAATTGTATTGTACAAGTATTTATTCAGAAAGGCTAATGTATTTGTTTGGAGAAAAGAGGGAGCTTTTATGTAATCAGATTTCTCGTGAAAATTTGCCAGACAATGATGAATAACTACATCTACTAGTAATAACAGTTAATGATGTGAACTCTATTTAAATGGGCTCACTTTATAGGTGAAGAAGAGGGATTATGTAACTCATTCAGGATTACGAATCTAGCAAATAGCAGAGTCAGGACTGGAACTCAGGTCTGGCTCACCTCAAAGATCAGGTACTCAAACATGATATTATCTTTGAAATACAGAGAAAGCAATTACCTGAATTCTTTTTCTCAAGGATTCTTCTTTCAATTCAATCAAAGGAAAGAGAGAAAAGAACTTTTATAGGCAATGTAGTATGGTTCTAGTTGGTTACTGAGCAAATAGGCAGAATTGTATGAGATGGTCTAGCCTCAGTTCTCTCCTGCAGTGTCATGACCAACTAGTTCATTAAAACTGACTACATGTGAAGTTTGCTACAAATAATTTTTAAAGTAACATATTTTATTTATAATTTATTTTTGCATGCATGATAAAGATTCAAGGTTAACTATATAATAATGTCTCTCCCAAATACTTGTATTGCCAGAAAAGAGGCTGACAATATAGCTATTGGTAAAGTAATTGCACAAAGAATACAGCCTATTTTATGGGAGTTGAAACATCATCCACCTTGGCTGGGCATGGTGGCTCACCCTGGTAATCCCAGCACTTTGAGAGGCCAAGGCAAACGGATCACAAAGTCAGGAGATCGAGACCATCCTGGCTAACACGGTGAAACCCCGTCTCTACTAAAAACACACACACACACAAATCAGCCGGGCATGGTGGCGGGCACCTGTAGTCCCAGCTACTCCGGAGGCTGAGGCAGGAGAACTGCGTGAACTCGGGAGGCGGAGCTTGCAGTGAGCGCCACTGCACTCGAGCCTGGGCAACAGAGTGAGACTCTGCCTCAAAAAAAAAAAAAAAAAAAAAAAAAAAAAAACAAAGAAAAGAAACATCATCCACCATGTATATTCCAGGAAGAGAAAAATACCATGTTCTAAGACTTTATAGAACCGTTGAGTATTTAATGGGGTGGGGACAGGGGTATCAGGGTTACTGGAAAACCTCTTTCAACTTATTTTCTCAATAAATTTAGGGAGATTTTCTGATAGCATATTCTTTGGTGCAGAAACGGTAGGACTCAACCTTCTTGATTGTGTGTAGTGGGCATAATTAGACAAGAAAGTGAACTATCACATTTCCAAAACAACACTTTAAAGTTTCAATATTTCTTTTGTTTTAAAATAAGATGCCCCTATTGTCAGTACAATGCCCATATTGTCAGTACAATCTTTTTATTTTTAAGCATTGTTAGCTCATTTTCTACTCCAATCTCAATAAAGAGATGTTATCCATTTTATGGAATCACGTTAATGATAAGTACCAGCACATTCAATAAAGTATACAATTACCATTCCATTAACTATTTTACTAAAGCAATTTCATTATGAAACATTTCTTTGGAAAACATGACTATTATGGCCTTTTCTTTATGTTCTGGAAAATTGTGCCCTAAAAAGTGAGCTTCAAAAGTCCCTTTATTAGTTTTTCTGCATGTACTTCACATAGGTAACTTTAATGAATCATTTGTATATGTTTTATTTAATTATCTTAATTTCATTCGTGGACAAAAAGCAAGAGTAATGGAGCCAATCAAATGAAATTGTTACTGTAATAAAAGAAAGTGGGTGGTGTTTGGGGTATAATTCAAAAAATTTGAATATATTAGACCATTGGAAAGGAACAATTTGTAAATAAAACTAAGGAGATGGAATCAGAGGAAGAGAGAAATTGCATTACAAAGAAGACATCATGGCAAACATAAAGATGGAAAGTTTAATTACCATAGTTACTCTGCAGTGATATTTTTAATAAAAAAGGACTATGTTTTCCAAGTTGCCGTCCTAGTTTGTCATTTCAGGGTTTCTTCAACTGACAAAGTCTTCCTTACATAAAACTATATTTCTTTCTGTTTTAATTAGAGCTCACGGACTCACACAAATGGGATTCCCCTTTGACATAAACAACTAACAACCTCTCTTCCTTTTTAAATTCTTCAAATGCCTAACGGTAAAAAATCACATTATCTTTCAGTCTTCTTGCATTATCTCAATTCCTTTATAGTATATCTGTTCAAGAGCCAAAAGGCCAGGCACACTGCCTTGCTTCAAATCATGGGTTTCTACTTCCCAGAGGTGTGACATTGGGCAGGCTATTTAGCCTCTTTGTACCTCACTTTGCTCTTTGTAAAATGGGGTTAATGATCATTTCTTCTTCCTAAGGTTGTTATGAGGATTCAATAGTCAATGTATATAAAGTGCTTAGAACAGTGTCTTGTATGTGGTAAGTACTATAAAAAGTTTTCTATTATTGTTATCACATAGATTTTGTGTTTTGGTAAGTAATTTTTCAAAAAGTCTCATTTTTATCTTAATAGAATATTTAGGTATGATAAGGGATTTTAACAATAAAGAAATGTGTACAGGCTGGACATGGTGGCTCATGCCTGTAATCCCAGCACTTTAGGAGGCTGAGATCCTCCACTTTGGGTGGATCACTTGAGATCTGGAGTTTGAGACCAGCCTGGCCAATATGGTGAAAGCCCGTCTCTACTAAAAATACAAAAATTAGCCAGGCATGGTGGTGGGTGCCTGTAACCCCAGCTACTTGGGAGGCTGAGGCAGAAGAATCACTTGAACCAGGCAAGCAGAGGTTGCAGTGAGCCAAGATCACATCACTACACTCCAGCCTGGGTGACAGAGTGAGACTCCATCTCAAAAAAAAAAAAAAAAAAGGCAATTGCTATTAATGGTTTCTTAGATAGTCAATTGTGAACTTTAGCTCCAGATTGACTGCAAGAACAATCCAGCAATCCTGAGGACCCACAGACCCTCTGAAGGAAGCAGACTGGTTCTGCAGGACCCTGGAGACACCCCAAATACTGTGAGTGCCCCAACTGTGGAAGTGGGTAAGGGAAAGCCTCCTCTCCTGAACAAACACCCCCCACTGGAGAAACTGAAAGTCTGTTTGTGGGAGAAGTTTCTGACCTTACTTGGAGTTGAGTCAATTTAGAGACCCAAGAGAAATACAGGGGTAGAGGAAGCAGCAGAAAGGCCTTGGGAGCTCACTGGGTCTCCAGGCAGGCCATTCCTGCCTGGCACCACAGGGATCCATCTGGAGGGCATCCAGAGGAGTAGGAGGGGGGGCAGCGGGGTGGGGGGCGGTGGCGGGAACACCACAGCCAGAAGGATATCTCCAGCTGAACTTTGTAACAATTTGAAAGGGGCAAGAAGCCTCCCAGCCAGAACTCAAGGGAGGGCGTGAATCCAGCATGCAGACTCCACAGGCAGGGGAAGAAACAAGCCCTTTTTCCCTCTGCAGTTGGGAGGCGGATAGCCTGGGGCAAGTTCTCAAGTCTGGCTCGCCCACTGCCTGAAAATAGACTCAGGGCTGTTAGGTGGGGCACAGCAGGAGTGAGACATGCCCTTCAGTTTGCATGGGAGCTGGATGTCTGTGATTGCCAGCTTTCCCCCACTTCCCCGACAACCTGCAAGACTCAGCAGAGGCAGCCATAATCCTCGTAGGTACACAACTCCATTGACCTGGCCTTTCTGTTGCTTCCTGTACCCCTGTATTTCTCTTGGCTCTCTAAATTGACACCCACATCCTCCGCAGCAGCCACAGCAAGACCCACCCAAGGAGAGCCTGAGCTCAGACATGCCTAGCTCTGACCACACCTGATGGTCCTTCCCTACCCACCCTGTTAGGTGAAGACAAAGGGCATATAATCTTGGCAGTTCTAGGGCCCCACCCACCTCCAGTTCCTCTCCATAATACCCCAGCTGATGCTTTTGGGAAAGCACCACCTCCTGGCAGGAGGCCAACCAGCACAAAAATAGAGCATTAAACCACCAAAGCTAAGAACCCTCACAGAATCCAATGCATCCCCCTGCCACCTCCACTGGAACAGTTGCTGGTATCTATGACTGAAAGACCCATAGACGGTTCACATCATAAGACTCTGTGCAGATAACTCCAGTACCAGCCCGGAGCCTGGTAGACTTGCTGTGTGGCTAGACCCAGAAGAGCACAATAATCACTGCAGTTGAGCCCACAAGAAACCACATCCATAGGAAAAGGGGGAGAGTGCTGCATCAAGGGAACACCCTATGGGACAAAGGAATCTGAATAACGGCCTTCAGCCCTAGACCTTCCCTCTCACACAGCCTACCCAAATGAGAAGGAACCAGAAAACCAGCTCTGGTAATATGACAAAACAAAACTCTTTAACACCCCCCCAAGAAATAATACTAGTTCACCAGCAATGGATCCAAACCAAGAAATACCTGATTTACCTGAAAAAGAATGAGGAGGTTAGTTACTAAGCTAATTAGGGAGGCACCAGAGAAATGTGAAGCGCAATGCAAGGGGAAATACACAAAATGATACAAGAAGTGAAGGGAGAACCATTCAAGGAAATAGATAGCTTAAAAAAGATTCAAAAATTCAGGAAACATTGGACACACAGAAATGCAAAATGCTCTGGAAATTCTCAGCAATAGATTTAAACAAGTAGAATGAAGAAATTCAGAGCTCTAAGACGAGGTTTTAAAGTTAATCCAATCCAACAAAGATAAAGAGAAAAGAATAAGAAAATATGAACAAAGCCTCCAAGAAGTCTGGGATTATGTTAAATGACCAAACCTAACACTAACCAGTGTTCCAGAGGAAGAAGAGAATTCTAAAATCTTGGAAAATATTTTTGGGAGAATAATTGAGGAAAACTTCCCTGGCCTTGCTAGAGACCTAGACATTTAAATACAAGAAGCACAAAGAACACCTGGGAAATTCATCACAAAAAGATCTTTGCCTAGGCACATTGTCATCAGGTTATCCAAAGTTAAGATGAAGGAAAGACTCTTAAGAGCTGTGAGACAGAAGCTCCAGGTAACCTATAAAGGAAAATCTATCAGATTAACAGCAGATTTCTCAGCAGAAACCCTACAAGCTAAAAGGGATTGGGGGTCTATCTTCAGCCTCCTCAAACAAAACAATTATCAGCCAAAAATTTTGTATCCAGCAAAACTAAGCATCATATATGAAGGAAAGATACAATCTTTTTCAGACAAACAAATGCTGAGAGAATTCACCACAAACAAGCCACCACTATAAGAACTGTTAAAAGGAGCTCTAAATCTTGAAACAAATCCTGGAAACACATCAAAACAGAACCTCTTTAAAGCATAAATCACACAAGACCTATAAAACAAAAATACAAGTTAAAAATCAAAAACAAAAAACAAAAATACCAAAGTACACAGGCAAGAAATAACACGATGAATGCAACCGTACCTCACATCTCAATACTAACATTGAATGTAAATGGCCTAAATGCTCCACATAAAAAATACAGAACCACAGAATGGATAAGAACTCACCAATCTACTATCTGCTGCCTTCAGGAGACTCACCTAACACATAAGGGATCACATAAACTTAAAGTAAAAGGGTGGAAAAAGGCATTTCATGCAAATGGACACCGAAAGCAAGCAGGGGTAGCTATTCTTGTATCAGACAAAACAAACTTTTAAGCAACAGTAGTTAGAAGAGACAAAGAGGGACATTTTATAATGGTAAAATTCCTTGTCCAACAGGAAAATATCACAATCCTAAACATATATGCACCTAACACTGGAGCTCCCAAACTTATAAAACAATTACTAATAGACCTAAGAAATGAGATAGACAGCAACACAATAATAGTGATTTAAACAAATGTAATTAACAGGCATATACAGAACATTTCACCCAACAACTGCAGAATACACATTCTGTTCAACAGTGCATGGAACTTTTTCCAAGATAGACCACATGATAGGTCATAAAATGAGCCTCGATAAATTTAAGAAAATTGAAATTATATCAAGCACTCTCTCAGGTCACAGTGGAATAAAACTGGAAATCAACTCCAAAAGGAACCTTCAAAACCATGCAAATACATGGAAATTAAATAACCTGCTTCTGAATGATCACTGGATCAAAAATGAAATCAAGATGGAAATTTAAAAATTCTTTGAATTGAACGACAATAATGACACAATCTATCAAACCTCTAGAATACAGCAAAGGTGGTACTAAGAGGAAAGTTCATATCCCTAAATGCCTACATCAAAAAGACTGAAAGAGTACAAATGGACATTCTAAATTCACACCTCAAGGAATGAGAGAGACAAGAGCAAACCAAACCCAAACCCAGCAGAAGAAAGGAAATAACCAAGAATAAAGCAGAATTAAATGAAATTGAAACAAACAAACAAAATACAAAAGATGAATGAAACGAAAAGCTGGTTCTTTCAAAATAGAAATAAAATTGATAGACCATTAGCAATATTAACCAAGAAAGGAAGAGAGAAAATCCAAATAACCTCATTAAGAAAAGTAACAGGAGATATTACAACTGACACCACTGCAATACGAAAGACCAATCAAGGCTACTATGAACACCTTTGTGTACATAAACTAGAAAACTTAGAAGAGATGGATAACTTCCTGGAAAAATAGAACCATCCTAGCTCAAATCAGGGAAAATTAGACACCCTGAACAGACCAATAACAAGCAGTGAGATTCAAATAGTAATTTAAAAATAGCCAACAAAAAAAAAGTCTAGGACCAGATGGATTCACAGCAGAATTCTACTAGACATTCAAAGAAGAATTGGTACCAATCCTTTTGACACTATTCCACAAGATAGAGAAAGAAAGAACCCTCTCTAATTCATTCTATGAAGCCAGCATCACCCTAATACCAAAACCAGGAAAGGACATAACCAAAAATAATATCCTTGATGAACATAGATGCTAAAATCCTTAACAAAATACTATCTAACTGAATCCAATAACATATCAAAAAGATAATCCACCATGATCAAGTGAGTTTCATACCAGGGATCCAGGAATGGTTTAACAAATGCAAGTCAATAAATGTGATACACCACATTGACAGAATTAAAAACAAAAATCACATGATCATCTCAATAGATGCAGCAGAAAAAGCATTCTACAAAATCCAGCATCCCTTTATGATTAAAACTATCAGCAAAATTGGCATACAAGGGACATATCTCAATACAATAAAAGCCATCCCTGACAAACCCACAGACCCACAACATAATACTGATTGGGGAAAAATTGAAAGTATTCCCTCTAAGAACTGGAATAAGACAAGGATGTTCACTCTCACCACTCCTCTTTAACACAGCACTGGAAGTCCTAGCCAGAGCAATCAGAGAAGAGAAAGAAACAAAGGGCATCCAAATCAGTAAAGAGGAATTTAAACTGTCACTGTTTGATGCTGATATGATTGCTTACCTTGAAAACCCTAAAGACTCCTCCAGAAAGCTCCAAGAACTGATAAAAGAATTCAGCAAAGATAAAAGATTAATGTACACAAATCAGTAGCTCTTCTATACACCAACAACGACCAAGCAGAGAATCAAATCAAGATCTCAACTCCTTTTCCAACAGCTGCAAAAAAATATATAATACTTAGGAATATACCTAACCAAGGAGTCAAAAGTCGTCTACAAGGAAAACTACAAAACACTGCTGAAGGAAATCATAGATGACACGAACGGAAACACATCCCATGCTCATGGTTGGGTAGAATCAATATTGTGAAAATGACCATACTGCCAAAAAAAAATCTACAAATTCAATGCAATCCCCATCAAAATACCACCATCATTCTTCATAGAATTAGAAAAAACAATTCTAAAACTCATATGGAACCAAAAAAGAGCTTGCATAGCCAAAGCAAGACTAAGCAAAAATAACAAATCTGGAGGCATCACACTACCTGATTTCAAACTATACTGTAAGGCTATAGTCACCAAAACAGCATGGTACTGGTATAAAAATAGGCACACAGACCAATGGAACAGAATAGAGAACCCAGAAATAAACCCAAATACTTACAGCCAACTGATCTTTGACAAAGCAAACCAAAACATAAAGTGGGGAAAAAGACACCCTTTTCAACAAATGGTGCTGGGATGATTGGCTAGTCACATGTAGGAGAATGTAACTGGATCCTCGTCTCTCAAGTTAAAAACCAACTCAAGATGGATTAAGGACTTAAATCTAAGATCTGAAACTATAAAAATTCTAGAAGATAACATGGAAAAACCATTCCAGATGCTGGCTCAGGCAAGGATTTCATGACCAAGAACCCAAAAGTAAATGCAATAAAAACTAAGATAAATGGTTGGGACTTAATTAAACTAAAGAGCTTTTGCTCAGCAAATAGAATAGTCAGCAGAGTAAACAGACAGCCTACAGAGTGGGAGAAAATCTTCACAATCTGTACATCTGATAAAGGACTAATATCCAGAATCTACAACAAACTCAAACAAATCAGCAAGAAAAAAAAATCCCATCAAAAAGTGGGCTAAGGACATGAATAGACAATTCCCAAAGATGATATACTAATGGCCAACAAACATATGAAAAAATGCTCAATGTCACTAATGATCAGAGAAATGCAAATCAAAACCACAACGTGATACCACCTTACTCCTTTGAGAATGATCATAATCAAACAATCAAAAAACAGTACATGTTGGTGTGGATGCAGTGATCAGGGAACACTTCTACATTGCTGGTGGGAATGTAAACTAGTACAACCACTGTGGAAAACAGTGTGAAGATTCCTCAAAGAACTAAAAGTAGAACTACCATTTGACCCAGTAGTTCTACTACTGGGTATTTACCCAGAGACAAAGAAGTCAATATATGAAAAAGATACTTGTATATGCATGTTTATAGTAGCACAATTCACAATTGCAAAATAGTGGAACCAACCCAAATTCCCATCAATCAACAAGTGGATAAAGAAACTGTGGTATTTTATATATATATATATATATATATATATATATATATATATATATATATATATATATATATGTACATATGTGTGTGTGTGTGTGTGTGTGTGTGTGTGTATATATATATATATATATATATGATGGAATACTACTCAGCCCTGAGAAGGAATGAATTAAAGCCATTCACAGCAACCTGGATGAGATTGGAGAGTATTATTCTAACTGAAGTAACTCAGGAATGGAAAACTAAACATTGTGTGTTCTCACTGATATGTAGGAGCTAAGTTATGAGGATGCAAAGGCATAAGAATGATACAATGGACTGTGGGGACTTGGGGGGGGAGAATGAGAGAGGGTAAGGGATAAAAGACTACAAATATGGTGCAGTGTATACTGCTTGGATGATGGGTGCACCGAAATCTCACAAATCACCACTAAAGAACTTACTTATGTAATCAGATACCACCTGTTCCCCAATAAGTTATGGAAAACAAGAAAAAAGAAAAAAAGACAGAAAAGGGAAAAAATAGTTTCCCAGGTAGACCTCTACAATGTTTCTATGCAGCTTTTTATTAAAAAAAAAAAAAAAGAAAGAAAGAAAAGAAAAACGAAAAGACCACAGTATGCACAATGCTCCTCATTCTCTCAAATGTAAAAATATGGTGGTTTAAACTGAACACAGTACTCTGGTAAGATGGTCTAACTCTTTAGGAATAATGGAATAATGTATCATCAATTTTAGACTTTACAGACCCTATGGTTTACTTTTCTTCAAGCACACTGTAGCTTCCTATTGGGTTTCATGGAGCAGTGCCATATTGTTGACTACTGTGTTTGTGGATTGTCCCCTGGAGAAGCAGGCACTCACCTTCTCCACTTTTGTGGAGATGCACACATCTGGCTCCCTTCTTCTCCCCAATCCCTTACTAACATCAAGAGTCCCTAAAATCTTTTCCAGGGAGCAAGGAAAACTCAGTTCCTTGTGTGACTATTTTACGTGATGAATAATTGAACATTGGTATCCCCTACTCTTTCTCTGAGGGAATAACTGAGAACTTAGAATTTACAAAGCAAAACTGTTAGGCTATCTGAACAAAATTAATATTGGTCACTTGATATTTTTTATTGCAAGTTATATTAGGAAATAGTGTGTTTTACATTTTAGCTTATTGGATGCAGGAAAAAAACCTTAAGTGAATCTGTTTATAGTATTCTCTGATGGTAGTTTGTATTTCTGTGGAATCAGTGGTGATATCCCCTTTATCATTTTTTATTGCATCTGTTTGATTCTTCTCTCTTTTCTTCTTTATTAGTCTTGCTAGCGGTCTATCAATTTTGTTGATCTTTTCAAAAAACCAGCTCCTGGATTCACGGATTTTTTGAATGGTTTTTTTGTATCTCTACCTCCTTCAGTTCTGCTCTGATCTTAGTTATTTCTTGCCTTCTGCTAGCTTTTGAATGCGTTTGCTCTTGCTTCTCTAGTTGTTTTAATTGTAATGTTAGGGTGTCAATTTTAGATCTTTCGTGCTTTCTCTTGTGGGCATTTAGTGCTATATATTTCCCTGTACACACTGCTTTAAATGTGTCCCAGAGATTCTGGTATGTTGTGTCCTTGTTCTCATTGGTTTCAAAGAACATCTTTATTTCTGCCTTCATTTCGTCATTTACCCAGTAGTCATTCAGGAGCAAGTTGTTCAGTTTCCATGTAGTTGAGTGGTTTTGAGTGAGTTTCTTAATTCTGAGTCCTAGTTTGATTGCACTGTGGTCTAGAAGAAATGGATAAATTTCTGGACACATACACCCTCCCAAGACTAAACCAGGAAGAAGTTGAATCCCTGAATACACCAATAGCAGGCTCTGAAATTGAGGCAATAATTAATAGCCTACCAACCAAAAAAAGTCCAGGACCAGATGGATTCACAGCTGAATTCTACCAGAGGTACAAAGAGGAGCTGGTACCATTCTGTCTGAAACTCTTCCTATCAATAGAAAAAGAGGGAATCCTCTCTAACTCATTGTATGAGGCCAGCATCATCCTGATACCAAAGCCTGGCAGAGGCACGACAAAAAAAGAGAATTTTAGACCAATATCCCTGATGAACATCGATGCAAAAATCCTCAGTAAAATACTGGCAAACCGAATACAGCAGCACGTCAAAAAGCTTATGCACCACGATCAAGTTGGCTTCATCCTGGGATGCAAGGCTGGTTCAACATATGCAAATCAATAAAAGTAATCCATCATATAAACAGAACCAAAGACAAAAACCACATAATTATCTCAATAGATGCAGAAAAGGCCTTCGACAAAATTCAACAGCCCTTCATGCTAAAAACTCTCAATAAACTAGGTATTGATGGGACATATCTCAAAATAATAAGAGCTATTTATGACAAACCCACAGCCAATATCATAGTGAATGGGCAAAAACTGGAAGCATTCCCTTTGAAAACTGGCACAAGACAGGGATGCCCTCTCTCACTAATCCTATTCAACATAGAGTTGGAAGTTCTGGCCAGGGCAATCAGGCAGGAGAAGGAAATAAAGGGCATTCAATTAGGAAAAGAGGAAGTCAAATTGTCCCTGTTTGCAGATGACATGATTATAGATTTAGAAAACCCCATTGTCTCAGCCCAAAATCTCCTTAAGCTGATAAGCAACTTCAGCAAAGTCTCAGGATACAAAATCAATGTGCAAAAATCACAAGCATTCATCTACACCAATAACAGATAGAGAGCCAAATCATGAGTGAACTCCCATTCACAACTGCTTCAAAGAGAATAAAATACCTAGGAATCCAACTTACAAGGGATGTGAAGGACCTCTCCAAGGAGAACTACCAACCATGGCTCAACGAAATAAAAGAGGACACAAACAAATGGAAGAACATTCCATGCTCATGGGTAGGAAGAATCAATATTGTGAAAATGGCCATACTGCCCAAGGTAATTTATAGATTCAATGCCATTCCCATCAAGCTACCAATGACTTTCTTCACAGAATTGGAAAAAACTACTTTAAAGTTCATATGGAACCAAAAAAGAGCCCGCATCACCAAGTCAATCCTAAGACAAAAGAACAAAGCTGGAGGCATCACGCTACCTGACTTCAAACTATACTACAAGCCTACAGTAACCAAAACAGCATGGTACTTTTTACCAAAACAGAGATATAGACCAATGGAACAGAGCAGAGCCCTCAGAAATAATACCACACATCTACAACCATCTGATCTTTGACAAACCTGGCAAAAACAAGCAATGGGGAAAGGATTCCCTATTTAATAAATGGTGCTGGGAAAACTGGCTAGCCATATGTAGAAAGCTGAAACTGGATCCCTTCCTTACACCTGATACAAAAATTAATTCAAGATGGATTAAAGACTTAAATGTCAGACCTAAAACCATAAAAACCCTACAAGAAAACTAGGCAATACCATTCAGGACATAGGCAAGGGCAAAGACTTCATGTCTAAAACACGAAAAGCAATGGCAACGAAAGCCGAAATTGACAAATGGGATCTAATTAAACTAAAGAGCTTCTGCACAGCAAAAGAAACTACCTTCAGAGTGAACAGACAACCTACAGAATGGGAGAAAAGTTTTACAATCTACCCATCTGACAATGGGCTAATATCCAGAATCTACAAAGAACTTAAACAAATTTACAAGAAAAAATCAAACAACCCCATCAAAAAGTGGGCAAAGGATATGAACAGACACTTCTCAAAAGAAGACATTATTCAGCCAACAGACATATGAGAAAATGCTCATCATCACTGGCCATCAGAGAAATGTAAATCAAAACCACAATGAGATACCATCTCATACCAGTTAGAATAGCGATTATTAAAAAGTCAGGAAACAACAGGTGCTGGAGAGGATGCGGAGAAATAGGAACACTTTTACACTGTTGCTGGGACTGTAAGCTAGTTCAACCATTGTGGAAGACAGTGTGGTGATTCCTCAAGGATCTGGAACTAGAAATACCATTTGACCCAGCCATCCCATTACTGGGTATATACTCAAAGGATTATAAATCATGCTGCTATAAAGACACATGCACACGTATGTTTATTGCGGCACTATACACAATAGCAAAGACTTGGAACCAACCCAAATGTCCAACAATGATAGACTGGATTAAGAAAATGTGGCACATATACACCATGGAATACTATGCAGCCATAAGAAAGGATGAGTTCATGTCCTTTGTAGGGACATGGATGAAGCTGGAAACCATCATTCTCAGCAAACTATTGCAAGGACAGATAACCAAACACCGCATGTTCTCACTCATAGGTGGGAACGGAACAATGAGAACACATGGACACAGGGTGGGGAACATCACACACCGGGGCCTGTCGTGGGGTGGGTGGAGGGGGAAGGGATAGCATCAGGAGATATACCTAATGTAAATGACCAGTTAACGGGTACAGCACACCAACATGGCACATGTATACATATGTAACAAACCTGCATATTGTGCACATGTATCCTAGAACTTAAAGTATAATAAAAAATAAAAATAAAAAATAAAAAGAAATGATAAAAAAAACCTTTAATGAATTTGCCTATGAAATTTCTCAAGTAGAATATTAGATTTAAAATTCTTAAGGAACCAGACCTATAATTTATGTCCCCTGCATAATCAAAGAAAACAAGACCTTTGTTAAACATTAACAAATGTCTTCATGATTCACATTCCATAGGCTGAAAAGGTGAGAGTTGGAGGTAAGGTTCAGGAATCCCTGAGCATTACCTCTGCTTTCCCTATGGGGATGGTTATATGCCCTTTATGAAGGAGAAGTTTGTTCCAGCATGTATCAGAAGATAAGCCAACCCTTGTCAGCATTTTAGTAAGGAGACAAAGATTGTTGGTGAAATTCTTCTGAAAAAAAAATGATGTCGCCTGAAGCATACAGAGGATCAAGGTGAGAACATGTCTATGGTGTGCCAGGCTGCTAATCTCACAGTGGGAAAAGCACATTTGTGGTCTTCCTCAGTCATATGACAAGGGCCTCTTGTTAGTCAGTGCTAACACACAATAATGACTTAAATTGGGTAACATACTGTAAGGGGGTAGGGGGAAAAGAAGGAATGAAATTACCAGTCTCATCCTACAACATTTTAGCACCTTTCCTCCAAGCCCAAATTACTTTCGGAAAAAAAAGAAAATTGTAATTTTCAGCATGAAAGCTCTATTGTTGCCACCTACCACAAGAAATCATTGTAGACAGATTTTCAGGTTTTATTTTTTTTACTGGAAAAATAACCTGTAAAACTATAAATGATGCTGTAGAATTAAAACACAGAAAGAAAAGTACCAGATTTCTGAATTGGAAACTTCTGAAACTGATCTGGAAAGGAAATGAGGAATGCTGATTCATTATTTTTTTAAAAAAGATTCTATATTTTGGATTTTCTGTGGCTTTTTCTGGTCACATAGGCCATTTTAATGAGTATGTACAATTTTCATTTCCATTATATAGGGATTGGAGGCTGAAAGAGGAAAAATGGGGAAGAAGGTGAAGGAGAAAGAGAATGGGATGAGAAAAATAACAGTTAAAATAATAAAGGCAGGTAATATTGAATGCCTCTAACTACCGGGTGCTGTGCTATGTCCTTGAAGGGCCAGATCCTATCAATCCTCACCAAAGTTCTGTTAGGTTGATAGCATTTTTATTCACACTTTACATATCAGAGTACTGAGGTACTGAAAATTTAAATTACTTGCCTAGACTTTCCGTATATTCTTATGCCATGAAAGGAAAGGCAATTAGTTCTTTGTGGTTCTGGATTCAGCTCCTTTCACTGCTGAGCTATAGAAATATCTTCGTGTATTAAAAGGAAGAGGGTAATTATGTACCATCACCTTTTCCTTTCTGTCTAGCTCTCACTTGGTATAGACCTCCAGAGAAACTGCCCCTTTTCTGGCATTGGATCAATGCAATTTTCACATTCTCCACTCTTGAAAAATGGAATTTCCCATTTATTCATTATGCATGCACAGTGTATAGATACAGCCTATTTGGAAACACAGCTCTTGTTTCTCAGAGAAGTATGCTGATAATAACTTTGGCAAAAATAGGGACTTTGATCGGCATTTTGTGATCAGCCAAGATTTTGACGTATTAGCTCACTTTTACAAAGTTGTACCTTTTATTCCCTTGCTCCTTCTTCCTCTCAAAAAACTAGCTCAGAAAAATTTAGCATCTGAAAATGGTCTACAAGTAGCTGTCTGCAAAAATGGGAAAAGTCATCCCAAATAATAAATAATCATAAGCATGCTATTCAGACTGAGCTGCAGGGTCAGATGGTAACTCCTAACAAGGCCAGCAACTGAGTAAATTGCCTCTTGATCTCCCCACTGAGAATAAATTCATGTAAATCCAAGGAAACTGAGCTGCTGCTGCTAATCCACCATGTGTGGTGACTAATTTTACTAAGTGAAACACAAGAAAAAGAAGGGTCCTTGGAGTAGAAATGTACATGAAGTTGATTGCCTTGGTCCAGCACTGAGCCCCGTGGCAGCAGTGAGAAAGGCCGGATAGGGTGATTGTCAGCCATGCCAGAACACAGCCAGCCAGGACTGGAACCAAGCTGCCAGCCCACGACTGCATCCATCCACTCTGCAGATCGCTAGGAAAGTGAAAAACAGCTACAGTATTGCTCTTGACTTTGAGGTAACCTTGCTTCTGAGGAGAGGGTTGACTGTACTTGGAAAAGTTTACTTTTGTTTAATCTAAATACTTAAAAGCCATTAACACTGAAAATTTGAAGTTACAATTTCAGATGAATCAGTTTACTAAGTTCTGTTTCTCGTAGCAGTTGCAAACTTGCCATTTCTAGACCAAGCCAGTTAAATGAGGCTATATAGAAATGATGGGGCCCGTTGCCAACTGGACAAGCCCATTGCTAATACATTTTTTTCTCTAAAAACAACATGCCAGTATCCACTAAAGCTAAATATACACCTACCAGAAGACATTCACAAGCAAATTTATTTATAATTACCAAAACCTGGAAATAACCCAAAGAAGTTCACTAATAGGAAAATAGATAATTAAAATGTGATATATTCACACAATGGATAGAATATTACACAGAAATTATAAATGAACAACTGATTCAGTCAACAATATGAATGACTCTCACAGATGTTGGGGTAAAGCATTGTCTGGGAAGAGTTTACAAGGAATCTTCTGCTTACTAAAAATATTCAGTATCTTGATTGAGATAGTTACATGGGTGTACACATTTGTAAAACTGCATCAAGCTGAACATTTAATATCAGTTTTACTGTATATAAGCATTTCATTGTAAGTATAACTCAATTAAAAAGTTAAAAAAATACATCATAAAAGAACAAAACAAAAAACACAAAATAAAATAAAGCCTGTACCAGGCAAATGAAAATTTTGTGAGCCATAAATTTAGTCATTGACCATGAATGTCTGTCCTCAACTAACATTTTCAAAGCTCCTCCTACAATAGCTGAAGCATTAATGTTTCATCCTTTAGCTCATGTTTCTAGCTTTGGGAAAAGAATTATGACAGCAAGACTTAGTATTTATTTAATATGTATATTCAGCCTTTTGTACTTCATATAAATGTTGCATAAGAATTTCTAGCATGGTCATAATTCACATAGTTGTTTTATACTTTGGAATTCTATTAATTTTTTTTACTTAAGTATTCCAAAACTTTTCGACACTTAGGATATTTCAAATTTTTCATACAGAATAAATATGTCCTTTTGGTTTTCCACTTGAAGTTAGCTTATTTCTTGAAGTATGCTCCCTGCAGTGGAGCTATTCACATGAAGAGCAGAACTGGATTTTCCGAGCATGTTTGAATGCCAATTACTTGTAGAAAGCTGGCATTATTTGTGGTGTCATACACAATTTGTAAGATTACCTATTTGTTGCATAGTTTCCAACACAAGTTACTTAAAAAGCATCTTTAAAAATACCAAAGTATAATGATTCTCTGAAGTGATTTAAAAGAGCTTTACTTTTGACTAGATTGAAGGTTGATTTTCTAAAAAATAGTTAATTTTGTGTTCCTCCATTTGTGTACTATTTTTGATAATTTAAAAAAAGGATATTAAGCAGAATCGGTATAATGATCATACATGTTAATCACAGTTTTCTCTGTATTTTGAATACTGACAGCTTATTAATTATGTTTATATGTTATGTTTTCCTCATTCTTTTATTTTTATTTTACTGCAATGTGCCTTACAAAAAGTTTCTTTACATGTTCAGGCATATCCATTTGCCTGTAATATCCTTCATTTCTTGAATGGTCTTGATTTCCTTCTCTTCTGCATCATTTAAATATGCTATTGTATATTCTTCTATATTAAAAACATAAATTACATGTTTTTTGATTGAGTTATTTATTGCAATGCAAAATATGAAATATAAATTCAAATTAATTACTGTTTATATAAATATTTAATTACAACAAAAATTATGAAATTTTACCCACTGTATGCTATTTTTGCTGAAATGCTCATAAAAAGAATCAATGTATTTTTAAAATCTCAATTATTACTTCATTAATCTTCTTCTCCTGTTTTTTTGAGGTCAAACACCAAGTAGAGTTCTATTATGATAGTAAAGCATTTTGTAAAATTAATAAGCAAGTCCTTCATCAATCATTTATGTGTGGCTGTGCCTATCTCTATCATCTATCTATCTTCTTTGTTCTTCATACCTGCTCATGCATTCATATACTAATATATTGGAGGTAAAGGTAAAGGTGTTTAGATTTTAAATTTCTTAGAACATTCAGTGGAATCTGGAATTGGTATTTTTTTGCAATTATTAACTAATTTAAAGTACAGCAGCTTAATTATATTAAATCTTCACAATTAGAATGTGCTCATCTTTCCATTTTCCTCAGTCAGAATGAATTATTCCTTTTCTCTGTTTTCAAAGACCTTATCCATAGTTCTGTCATGGCATTTATTTCATTTTTCATTGTGGTAGTCAATACTTTGCATGTTTCTCTCCTTCAGTGAAGGGTTATTTCCTAGAGAATATGAAACATAGTTTATTTCTCTGGTTTTTCTCAATCTCTTGTATAGTCCCTGGTGCAAAGTATGTGAACAATAAATGTTAAGTCATATTTACTGAAATTAATGATTTCTTCCATTATCCCTTCCACCAAGGTTTTATTTGTTTCAAAAACTAGATCTGATGTACTCCAAGTTAAACTCATAGCAAATATATAATATACATTTTTGATGTTTAAAAATTATAACCTTTTTCATTTTATTTTCTTGTTATGGCTATGTATTGCTATTATATAAAAATTCAAATATTTTTATGCTATTTATTATTGTTGAAATTATAATTTTGAGAAATTTTTGGTTGATTTCTTAAATTTTTAGTATGCTATTACCCAATTTGCCAAATACGTTCATTTCAATACTTGTACCTTTTATATGTTTTGTTTTCTGAAATTTCTTACGTCCGCTTTTATAGTGATGCATTAAAATCCAGTGTTTACAAAGAACAACTTTACCTTTTTCTTTTTCAGTTACTGAAATAAGTTATTTCAGTGTAGCTTTGGATATCGTGGTAGAGAAACAATATAAAATTAAATGGAGAGCTTAAGAACATTCAAGAAAGCAAACAGTGATCACTTGGAGCCAGCATGGGCTCACCAGGATTGAACATTGCCCAAATAAACTTACTCCCTTTCTGCCTTTGTTTTACCTGGTTGGCTTGTAAGAACAAATACAGAGACAAAATCTCTCACAATAAACGTATAGATAAATGGATCAAAAAGAACTATGTTCAAATTCTGGCTTAGTACTCTAAAAATTTGGGCAAATTTACTAAAATTCTTTAAGTGCCAGCTTTTGCATTAGTAAAGCAGGGATAATACTTTCTTCACCAGTATTATCTGAGCACTAGTAGTTACTAAATAAATGTTAACTTTGTTTCCTTTATTAATACACTGAGATACATAAGAAGCATGTTGGCTCTACTTTTCAATATAGAATTAATTAAATGAGTTAATTACATAAATTATAGATGTATGTAATTCATTGCTAAAATGACTTTTTTTTTTACAAGACTGTAAACTTTTTGTTGGCAGGGCAAGTGTCCACTCTGTTTACTGCTGTGTCTTTAATGTATAGCAAAGTGTCTTAGAATAAATGATGTTAAAGCTTGAATTAACAAAGCTTTCGGATTTCAAAAGGATAAACTGAAATGAATAATATAAAATTTAATTGAATAAAATTTATGTTTTAATACAGTATGGTGTTCAGAAGAAGGAAGCTAAAAGATATACTGTCATCTGTGCTTGTCAGACTACATCTGAAACATATTGTCCAATTTCTGGCACCATATTTTAAGAAGGCCATGAAGTTTAAAAAAAGCATTATAAGAAAAAAAACCTAGGATGGTTCACTTCAATCCATTTTAAATGAGAAATTTTGGAGGAATGGGGACGTTTGTGCTATAAAGATAAGACATTGTGAAACAGCTCAAGGGAACTCTCATTATATCTGGAGATTTGTGAGTCATGAGATGAATTTAATAAATTGCAATTGTGTTGAGACTATTGTAAACCAATTTAACATCTTAATCGTTTAAAAATTTTTAAATAAAATTAAAGAAAATTTAAAAAGCTAGACTAGAATATTCAAATATTTTAGGGTGATATGTGGTATACTAAGGAGTTTGAATTTTATTTGGGGGAACTAAAAAAATTATAAAAGGAGAAAGTTCTCTTATCTTCAGGTTTCTGATATATAAATTTAGGGAGTTAGTCTTCTATCTTCCCAAAGAGTTTTTCTAGATATAAAATGCTATGAACCTAGTTTTTTTTTTTTGGTTTTTTTTTTAGATGCAGTCTCACTCTGTCACCAGGCTGGAGTGCAATGGCAGGATCTCGGCTCACTGCAACGTCTGACTCCCTGGTTCAAGCGATTCTTCTGCCTCACCCTCCTGAGTAGCTGGAATTACAGGCATGTGCCACCACGCCCAGCTAATTTTTGTATTTTTAGTAGAGACGGGTTTCACCGTGTTAGCCCGGATGGTCTTCAACTTCTGACCTCGTGATCTGCCCGCCTTAGTCTCCCAAAGTGCTGGGATTATAGGCGTGATCCACCGCGCCTGGGAACCTAGATTTTTATAGTCACTAAGGCACAATGGAGGGTTTTGCACATGGAAATTTTAACTGCTAAATTTCTTCCTTATGAAGATTAATGACTCTGAAGGGTGGATGAGATGGAAATGAACCAGAAACAAAGGACTGGTTAGTATGTTATGGAAAAAGCTGGATATGATCTAGATAAAGTTGTGGTAGGAGAAATAAGGAAGGGTATAAGTGGGGAGCATTTTAAAGGCCGAAATATTGAGTATTCCACTGATTGAATACAAAGGATACAAGATAGAACAATGTAAAAGATGATCTCAAACCTCGTTAGGAACCTGTAAGTCCCTGAAGGATAAAGGCTATGTCTTGTCTCCATCTTATTTTTGGCAGCAAATAGAACAGTGTGAGGCACATTTGCAGGTGCTCAATGATTGTTTTCTGCTAAAGGGTGAATTGAGAAGAAGAGATGTGGCAATGTCCAAATGGATGGCCAGATCTAGGAATGTTCATAAAGAAAAAGGAGAATTTACATTTTGCATATCAAAACATACACTCAGATCTAAGTCATTGATAGAGTGAAGGGAGAATTTTTTCTTCCTTTTCAAACGCCCTAAATTAGGGTAACTTAAATTTAAGATGGCAGTTTTACCATCAATAAAATCTTACAAAGCAGGAAAAGTGATGGAAAATTTTCTAAACGAAGTAGAAAATGGGGTATTTTTTAAAAATGAAGCGATGGTAAAGGAATACAGCATTTATTTTAACTTGGGGAAGCTGAGGGAAGTGTAGCAATTTTTTTTTTTTTGAGACGGAGTTTTGCTCTTGTTGCCCAGGCTGGAGAGCAATGGTGCAATCTCCACTCACTGCAACATCAGCCTCCCGGGTTCAAGCGATTCTCCTGCCTCAGCCTCCTGAGTAGCTGGGATTACAGGCATGCACCACCATGCCCGGCTAATTTTGTATTTTTAGTAGAGATGGTGTTTCTTCATGTTAGTCAGACTGGTCTCGAACTCCTGACCTCAGGTGATCCACCCGCCTTGGCCTTCCAAAGTGCTGGGATTACAGGTGTGAGCCACTGCACCCAGCCTGCAATCTTTAAATGATGGGGTTGCTGTCATATTTTAGAGTGAGGAAACATTACCTTATGCTTTGGAAACTAAGTCTTATTAAGTTCTTATAAACAACTTCATGGTTTTCATTTAAAATAATTCATCACCCTCAAGGAAATATTCTGGTAAAAACAGTGAAGAAGAAATTCTGTGGTTAAATTTTTCTTATGATTCTGTCACACATCAAGCAATATTTCATGGCAATCATTAGGTTTCATGAAGTGACTGTTTCAGGGAAAAACAAGATAGAAGAGTTTATTTTTCATAAGTAGGTTAATGATGTTTATTGTAATTTCCTTGATTTGCTAGCAAATACTTTTATCTAAAGTCTATATGCTATCAATATGTAATAAAATACACTATTTGTGTAATTTAAAATCATAGCTTTTAATCACCACAAAATATAACTAATATGTAATTTCTAAAATGTACTACATTTCAAATTGAATTTTTTAGATTTTGCAACAATTTTGTATGTAGAAATTGATAAATTATACAGTCTAGTGATATGAACTGACATAAATGGAGAAATTGCAGTACAGTTTGGTCAGTTGACACTTACATATATAAGGACAAAAAGCTCCAAAAGCTTGAATTAGGAGCAACTAACCATTCTTCAAATAATAACAAAATACTTTATTGAGAATCATATATGTAATGAGAAAAAACTTTGTTAAAAATGTAGAATCCCAAAAAGGCTTGGATATGAGAGAAGTTATAAAAGTTCAATATTAATAATATTAAATGCGTGGCAAGCAGTGGCAAAGGATAAACCTAGAAAGAGCTTGGACCCTCATTAACCTCTTTATATGTTAAATGCAGAAGTTAGAATTTTATTCCAAAATTAATGAAAGTGTATGAGGTTCAGGGAGGTTTTTGAGTAAGCGAGTGATGCAATTAGCTTCATTTTATAGAAAAGTAACTCTTTTAGCAGTGTAGAGAATTGTCTAGATAAGAGAAAGACAATAAGAAGACCAAGGTTATGAAAACATAGACAAAAGATTATCAGGTGGGATGTGGTGGATCACGCCTGTAATCCCAGCACTTTGGAAGGCCAAGGCAGGCGGACTGCCTGAGCTCAGGAGTTTAAGACCAGCCTGGGCAACATGGTGAAATCCTGTCTCTACCAAAATACAAAAAAATTAGCTGGGCATGGCAGTGTGCACCTGTAGTCCCAGCTACTCCGGAGGCTGAGGCAGAAGAATTGCTTGAACCCAGGAGGCGGAGGTTGCAGTGAGCTGAGATCAAACCACTGCACTCCAGCCTGGGTGACAGAGTGAGACTACGCCTCAAAAAAAAAAAAAAAATGATGATCATAATCTGGGTGTGGCAGAGGGAGTAGGAATGGAGACAAAAAAAAATAAGAAATTTGAGAATCATTTTTGAAGTAGACTCTGAAGAATTTGATGACCTTTTGGATAAACTATGTGAGGCAGAATAAGGATTTGAGTTTGCCTGATGAAGAGATCTGAAAGGCAGAATTGATGTGGATACTAACAGCATGCACAGAAATGGATAAGCAGGCAAGGAGAAGGAGATGATGTTTCATATTAGAACTTAGAATGTGTGTTATATGCTGAGTCTGAAATGCATGCAGGACATCCAGATGGAGATACTGTAATCAAGTTTGAGATTCAGATGATAGATTAGAGTTCTCATCAAAAGATACTTTTAAAAGTCACAAAAGTGCGTGATCATGGATGAACCAAATAAGAAGAAGGTTGTATGGAAAACAGGAAAAGATTAACATTTGAAGGATTGTCAGAGGATGAGGAACAGGCAAATAAAATTAAAAGAAGAAATAGGAATGTTCTACCTCAAAAGCCAAAAAATGGTAAAAAATACATAAATATGTAAGTATCTTAAATATGTTTAGTAGGGTAAGAATTAAAATTAGTTTTCTGGATTTGGCAATTAGGAATCACTGATGATCTCAGTGAAAGAAAGATCAGAAGGCAGTTTTATTACCCTTGAGGATCAACCAGAAGGATAGGGAAAAGCGGCTCTGGTTTTGGGGATTTTAGAATTGGAAACTTATTAAAAGCACCAGGCAAGTGCTTGACCCTGATGCTATTTTGACAGGTGGGAGAGGAGTTAACTTTAATATATTGGATACATCACAAATTTGAAGTCATATTTACAGCTTGCTCCCTTCATTTGTAGACTACAAAAATAATACCTACTACTTCATGGGCAATTTTGGAAAGAATAAGATGCTCTACAAAAGGGCTTAACGCTACTTGGATACAATATTTTAAAAATACAACAAGCTAATGATAATGATCAGCATCACCAATTTGTTGCCATGGACAATTTTTATTGGAACTCCAACAGAGTTGAACATGGATAAAATACCAAAATATTTTAAGTAATTGTAATTTTCCTCACCACGCCTGTGTCGGGAAATAAATTCTAACAATAGGCTTTCACAGTGGGCATGAGTACCCACTATAGTGTTCCAGGCATGGTGTAAGCACAGTTCATGTACTCAAAGAGCTTGCAATGATTTTTTGGTCAATATGAAAAGGTAATCTAGTTCCCCAAATCATTGTCTGTCTCCAGGGTTTACATTATCCAGAAAAAATGTTATGTTACTTTTTATTGTCCAATAATAAAAAGCACCATATAATAATTCCTACTGTGATCCAGTAAATTTTTATTTCCTTCTAAGTACATTTACAGCCACAAGGAAGTGATTTATCTCTATAGAACCAGAACATTTCCAGCTTTTAGTGATTGAGCCATGGATTTCAGGATCATTGGAAACTATAACATGGTTGATAATTATTTTTTCACCCTCCTCATTTTACAGATGAAAGAATAAAGGCTCAAAGAAATCAATTGACTAACACAGAATATTACTGTGATTTGAGTTAAGCACAACATTTCTATTTGCTGACAACCATGATTCTCTTGAAATAGCTAATTTATTTTAAACTTCTTTTATGGAAAAATCAATTTTACTAAACATCATACATTGTCTTAATATGAAAGTGCTTGATTATTAGTAAGTTGATATGAATCTTCCAATAGCTTCTGAAGCCTCAGCTGTGCCAATGTGGCTTTAGGAGGGACAAAGGTTGGGACTCAGGAATTTTTGCTTCAGAATCAGCATTTTGACTCTTATCCCTAGCCCCAGGATTTCTGTTTTCTTACTGAACTAGTAGGTGTAGAAGACCTTAAAACCTTTTTACCTTATAAATCCAGCCCATATTGAGTACTGAACTGCAAGACCCTCAAATGAGGGCCTGTTACATGGAATTAGGCAGTCATTTGACTACCTTTCTCTGGGTGTGCAGAAGGTGTTTCTAAGCCAATGAAGGCCAAATTCCACAAAATGGACACCTATTTGAGGGTCTTATCAAATCCTCATAACCCAAATCCTCAAGATGGGTTCCATGGGAAGTTTATTCTTTTAACAAGCAATTGGTGATAACTGAAAGTGTTTGAGCCACTGTTTTTAGACACTAGTACTCCCAATCAGTTGAACAGAACACTATTCTCACATGGTTATGGGAAGATAGAGATCCATAAGAGAAAATACTTAGCAAGCTCAATGTTAGGCATTGGTATTCATATCTTAATTGACTTGTCCCACAGCACTGCACAGCTTTTTCCAAATGAGATACTCTGCTTAGATCAGAACTGAAACTGTGTTATCAAAGTTACTGAATTTTTAGCCCTTCCAAGGGGGCCACTGGGTGTCCTCTCTCTTCCTGCTGCTCTAGCTCCCCAAATCTCTCTCTGACTGACATGCTTGGAGGTTTTTCTTACTACTGTGCATGAATTTGGATGGTCTTTTTCAAATCACTTTCCAGAAATACGTGGGACCTTGTAATCTCAGCTCTGGTTTATGGGAAGAATCAGTGAGCATCCCTCCTAGATGCCTTTGGCTCCTTACTGAGTGCTTCTTATGTCAAGACTCAGCTTTCTTCCTTCCTGTCATGCAACATTCTCCCACACCACATGCTCATATAATTCCTTAGCAATACTCTTCCTTTTACCTAGCCTCAAAGCTTTGGGAAAATGGAAAATATTTTTTCTTCACCAAAATGTTAAAGTTTATTTTTATAGCAATCAGAAGTATATTTTCTATAGAATTCAGTCTTTATTATATTGACTATTTTGTAAAGTGTTATCTTTAATAGCTAGCACAACCCAATAAAGTACCCCTTATTAAGATATTTTGCAAATTTCCTATTTGCTATTGCAACAAATTACCACAAATCTGGTGGCTTAAAACAACATTTTCTTATCATTTGGGAGGCTAGAATCCTGAAATCAAGATTTTGAAAAGCATGCAGTCCCTCAGTAGAGCTAGGGCTCTAGTGAAAAAATCCATTTCTTGTCTCTTATAGCTCTGGTAGCCCCCAAAGTTAAACATCCCTTAACTTGTGCCTTCATCACCCTAAAATGTGCCCCTTTCTTTATATTGCCATCTTCTCTGTGTGTCTCTTTCTCCAGCCCCTTCTTGTAAAGATACATATGGTTGCATTTTGGACCCATCTTGAAAATCCAGGATAAACTCGAAGAATCATTAATTTAGTCACAGTATCTGCAATACATGGTAATATTCACCCTTTTGGTGTATAAAGTAATATAATAAGTTAATATTCACAGATTCTGGAGATTAAGAAGTGACTATATCTTAAAGGGAACATTATATTCAGGTGACCATAGACGCCATGGTTACCAAATTCAATTTTTGTTTGGATACACTCGTTTTCTTACTAGGAATAATTACAGAATTATCCTACACTTGAGTGTCACACAAACCATTCAATAAACTGTGTGTGGTAATGCATGTGTGCCAAATAAATATCACTTATCTCTATATTATCTTTCGTTGTCATACATTTGGCCCCTCTTATTTTTAAATAAACCATAAAAATACTGAACTGAAGTTTAACAATACTGAATGGAAGTTCAACATTCATTCAGTTTCTTTCAGCAAACATGTATTGAACATCATAAGTATGCAAGGTTTCAATCAGTCACTTCAAATAATTTAGCTCACTTAAGTCTCCAAAAAGCCATTTGAATTAGAGCTCAGCATAGTGATTAGGATCCTGGGTTTTGAAGTCAGGCAGACCATTTACTAGCCATGGGAAAATTATTTCACATAAGTGTTAGTTTCCATGTCTATAGAATGGACATACAGAATACCCAATGCCCCAGCACAGTGCCTGGCAATAGTAGACACTCTCTACATGGTGGCTGTTTGTATTATACCCATGAAGGAATTAATATATGCTGTAGTAGTTACTGTGGTATATTGCACAAATCATCCTTTAGGACCAAAATACTCATCTGCAAAGTCCCTTTCCATTAATTGCTCTTCAGTTAAGTGAAGCCAGGCCCAAGGTTTTGCTCCATCACAAGGGAATCTAATTATGGCTCCACACCACGGGAGGATACAAACAACTCTGAGAGCTCGAGATCATCCTGCAGAATTAGCTGAGGCCCCTGTTGCCACTGTCTCACAGTTCAACTTCTCCCTGTGCCCAGTCCTACTTTCGGTGTCATGTTAATTAGTAACAAGTAGCAACTATGTTGGAGACTTTGGTAAGACACATATCCTCCAGAAGATGAGTGATAGACATACAAAGATCCAGAGTGCTACCATATCAACCATATGTTAAGTATCTATTAATCTAGAATGCAAAGACATAATGTCCAAAATTAAAGAGATTATTACATCTTGCATTTCTCACCAACGAGAAACAGAAGAAAGTACCTGGTAAGCATTTTTTTTTCTTTCAATTCTGGAGGTAGCATATTTGACACACTTGGGACCCAAGACCTCTTTCTTCTTTCTGATTTCTCCATTTGGAATAAGAATGTCTATCTTATGCCTGACCCACCCTGATGTTATTTTAGAATGTCATAATTCATCTGGTTTCACAGATTCATAGCTGGAGAAGAATTTTGCCTCAGGATAAATCATATCATTTCTCACTCATACTATGATATTGAGATGAGATTCTGGACTTAGAATTGATGCTGGAATGGGTTGATTCCAACGGCTGCTGAGATGGAGGTTGATGTAATTTGCACATTAGAAGGACATGAATTTTGAGAGTTCACAGGGTAGAGTGTTATGGACTAAACTGTGTTCCTTCCAAATTCACGTGTTGTACACCTAACCCTCAGTACTTCAGTATGTGACTGTATTTGAAGCTAGGGCCTTTAAAGAGATAATTACGTTAAAATGAGGCTATTAGATGGGTGCTAATCCAATCAGGTATCCTTAGAAGAGAAGGAGATTAGGACATAGGGAAAGATTCCAGGGATGCATGTGAACAGAAGGATGACTACGTGAAGAAACAACAAGAAGGCAGCCATCTGCAAGGCAAAGAGAGTGTCCTCAGGAGAAACCAAACCTGCTGACACCTTAATGTTGAGATTCTAGCCTCCAGAACTGTGTGAAGCTACACTGTGGTTATTTAAGACACCTAGTCTATCGCTTTGTTATGGCAGCCCTACCAAACTAAGACAGCCCCTCATGTAACTATTGGTCTCCATGGGTGTACCATTGGTCTACATGGGTGTACAAAAGTCCTACTCTGTTGGTTTGACTTAAGATGAATCTAAACTCAGGGCCATCTCAGCTCTAGTGCTCTATGTAGGATCAGCTAATTCCTTGGTTATAACTTCACCGCAGTTCAGATTCTCTATCTAATTCTTCCTCCTTCACTCTGTCACAGGTGTTTCTGATAGCACCTCAATAAACTTCCTGCATGCAAATCTCCATCTTAGAGTCTGTTTCTTGAAGCCCACACTTAAGAGACATGTAAACTGTATAGAACATGGTTAACTATATGAAACAGAATAAACATTTAATAAATGTAAGCAATTGCTTTCAATGTTATTGGTATCCTTACCAGCTTAGGATTTTACACATATGAGTTATTTATTATCTATTTGTTTGGGGAAGCAATACAATTTTGCACGAAAAAATGAATGAATATTGCAGCAACTTTGCCTTCCCTAAATGACACATAATGAGTGAAGCTGCAGAGCCAGATTTAACTGGATCGAGAAATTACAGAGAGGAGCAGAGAAGGGAAAAGGCACCTGCGGCATTCCTCTCAGGCACTTGATGTTGAATAATAAACACTGCAATGCTGCATTCACTTGCATAGTCTCTCCTTTCTCTCATATTTATTTCAATTTCAAAATAAAGTGAACTGAAATAAATATGGGAGCAATGCCTCAATATTTTTATGACAACAGTGGTTATTATTCACTCCATATCACTTTATTGTTTCCATTGTCTCTGCTCCTTTCCCTCCTAGTTACATGTTTTAGCTATTAGTATTGAACAGAACCACTGAAATAATATTAAGGACATTTGAAGAGGTATAAACATTGCTTACAGCTACAATTTTCACCAAATTTTATTTAGCTCACATCTATGTAGTACAACTGCTGGCACTCAGAAAAAAATGTGGTGAGCTTATTTATTGAGATATTTATAGGTTTTCTTTTGCCCTATCTCTGTTCTAAGAAGAAAGGTAGTCCTCAAGGGATACTTGGATGAAGATTTCTTGGTGATAATCCCTCTTTCTGTGTTTTATATAAAAAAAGGATTTTATTGAAGAGATTTGGCTAGGTATAAACTAGGTGGAAAGAAAAGGGAGCAGGACTCTGAAGTAAGAATAAAACAGGGATGATTTCTTGAGAGGAGAGGATGCTCTTTTCACAATCCTTTTAGTAGTAGGGAGCTGTGTTCTGCTTCTTGGCGATGTTCCTAGTGCCCACCCCAGAACTTTGCATTTGCTCCTCCTTTACCTGTAATATTCTTTCGTCTGGTATTGTCATGGGTAGCTAAAACTAGGTTTTCAAATGTTTCATTCATAGGCATTCCTTGATACCTTATTTTAAATTATAGCCCTCACCATCTTGCACTTCATATTTACTAATCCAGCACTTCATATTTACTAATTAATTTGTCTCCACAGTGTTCATTTCAATTTGACAGTATCACATCTATTTCACTTATTGTTGATGACCTATTTCCCCACTCAGAAATATAAGTTCTTGAGAACAGAGATTTTTCTGGCTTTGCTACTCACTGTATTCACAATACCTAGAACTATGTTTAATAGCAAGGGTTTAATAAATAGTTGATGAATGAATGGATATAATCCTTGCATTGTTGTACATCCCTGGATAGTGGGAGTAGATCTGGTCATGATAAAGTGGAATTCACAGCCAGTACACTGGTGGGGGGTTGAAGTTAGATTTAACCCTATTTAAAGAAAATAAAATGCTTGATATTTTTGGATGATCAATATTCATGGTTGCATATTCCTCATCCACTACGCATGCATTTACTGGAAGAAATTTCTGTGGAAGGGTAAAACAAAGTTGGCATGAACTATTAATTTGTGCTGAAATATTTCATGGTGATTAACAGATCTAATCAGAATTTAAAAAGGCAATGATAGCCATATAAATGGAGTTATATTCTATTTTCTACCATCTCAAAGAGAGGCACTTTTGCCTTCACTTCACTTATACTGTGTTTTATTGAGATTATTCAACCTCCTAGAATAAGCATAGAATGATCAGTTCTGTGATTGAGATAGCTAGCTGGAATTTCCACAATTTACTTACCTTCCTAGCCATTCTGCAATCTCGTCTCAATAAAAAAAGAGATATCTGTGAATTTGAACCTTGCCAAGAAAAATAGGAGAAAACAGCTCTTCCATTCTTAGTTAATAAATCACACAAAATTAATTCCACCCCACCCTCAAAACATGAAAAACATCTAACAGTGCTTCTTAAATTTTTATAGGTGCACAAATTTATGGGAAAATCTGATGAATGTTATAAATGAAATCTTTACACTCCCTGCCCCCTCCACCAAATGCATATCCTCACAAAGTTCTGTCTATAATTCCGCGGCATGGACTCCTGAAACCTCTCTATGGTTCCATCTGAGCACCTCTGCTCCAGGACAACACTAATACCTCAACACTCCAACATTATGCAGTGGCTCATGCCTGTAATCCCAGCACTTTGGGAGGCCAAAGTGTGCGGATCACCTGAGGTCAGGAATTCGAGACCAGCCTGACCAACATGGAGAAATCCCATCTCTACTAAAAATTCCAAAATTAGCCCGGTATGGTGGTGCATGCCTGTAATCCCAGCTACTCGGGAGGCTGAGGCAGGAGAATTGCTTGAATCCGAGAGGTGGAGGTTGCTGTGAGCTGAGATTGCACCATTGCACTCCAGCCTGAGCAACAAGAATGAAACTCTGTCTCAAAAACAAAAAACAAAAACAACAGCAACAGCAACAAAAGACAAAATGCATGAGAAAGCCAAGAAGATTATTTTAGTTAGGTCATTACAAGAGGAAGAACATTTATTAAAGAGAAATGTCTCAAAGAAAAGGAAGGGGACATGGGGGCTTATATATTGGCAAAGACTCTCTTTTTAACCAAACTTTAGTTAGCCTCCTCTGAGCTGTCTTTTAAATGGCTTTGGCTTTGGCCTTCCATGTCTGTCCTGGCAGATTCCACTTTAACAAGAACCCCACTAAGTCAGTTTAGCAAGAGTACCCTCCACCCTTGCTATCTGATCAAATTCTTCATCCTTACCTTTGATGTATAAGTTCTTGACCTGTTTTAAAGGGAGAATCATGTTAGGCCAGTTTAGCAAGAATCCTTCTACCTGTGATTTCTCCTTTTAAATATTTTACATTCATTAACCTCCTCACTCTGCTCTTTGGTTGCAAATCCTCACTTTTTCTTGTATTTGGGCTTGAGCCTCATCTCTCTCCTCTATTGCAGTGAAGTTAACCCCTACTGCAATAGTCGTGAATAAAGTCTTCTTTACTGTTTTAAAAAATGCCAGATTTTATATATATATATATTTTAATAAGCAGGTAAACATAGGAGTCACCTGTAGCCTTTTGAGAGTCATGAGGAAGAATGGACATTTGAGTCTTATTTGAGTCAAATGTGGAAGGGTTCTTTGCAGTTGGAACACACAGCTTGAGAGGGAGCTTGAGAAACAAAATAGTGGTGAGAGGGCTTTTCATTCTTTTCTATTTTCTGGGAGCACAGAGCTCAGGTAAAGTTCAATGTTTTCAGTTCATAAAGTCTTTAAACTCTTGCCACAATAATTCAGCTGTCAGTAGTACTGAGTTTCAGAGATTTATACAATAATAACTTATTTGTGGAGCAATTGTATGGAAAATAAAAAATAAGTCATATTTTCCACTCAAAAGTAGAGGGTAGTGATTGGAAAGGAGAGATTTATGAGAAACTTCTCATGGTTGAGATGTTACTTCTAGCTTTAGTGGAAGAGAGAGTCTTCAACTGAAGACAGATTTCTCAATTTTTTCTTGTCTAGAATTTTTATCTTCTTCATTTCTCTGCAAGGACTTATTTTCTAATGTCATAGTCTAAACATATGGAACATATATTTTTAAACAGGAAAATCATCATCTTGTGGGTCTAGAACCCCAGCATCTCAGACCATGGGAATATTCTCATAAACAGCCCTGATTTCCAAAGCCTACATGCCTCTTCTTGAATGTTCCAAAAGCCATATCCTTAACATTTTCTTAATTATCTTAATAACACTTTCTTTATACAAAATAAGCACAAAAGTACAACAATCTTGTAATGATTTATAATTGTCAGGCTTACTATAAAAGAATTTAAAAAGCCCAAATAAAGAAAAATTTACTAAATATTGCATTAAGACCTTAAAATGTCAGTTCATTTCTATAGCTGCATTACATTTATGTATATATTTTATTTTACTATATCTCTTACCTACCTAGGTTCTATTTTCCATTTCTGAGAAAGAAATATTAGGTCTTTTACTGCCACATCTTTCATCGCACATACACACTCCCATAACAAATGAAAAATACTAGCGTAGATGCCACTGGATATCTTTTAGTAAAATAATATACTTTCGATTCTAATGACTCACATCTAAGTAGATTGGTAAAAAATACATTAAAAAACTTTTTTACAAGTCAGAGAGGTTTGGGGCACTGTTTCTCATGAAAAAAGAAGAAAAAACATTCAAGATAATAGAAAAAATGTGTTATCTTTGCTACAGAAATGTTCCCGGTAGGTGGTATTATTGCCTTAGGGATATTGCTCCTCCTTTGCTGGACTATGAAGAACCTGGGGTACTACAATGCTTAAAAGGAGCTTAGATGGCAAGGTGTCATTTAATATTTTTCTTAAGTACTCATGCTACTAAAAATCTAGAAGAAACAATTATAATACAAAACCTAAGAGAGAAATGAATTTTTTAGATAAGAAGAATGTTTGCTTGCAAAGAAACTGCAGAGTTCTTTGAAGTACAGATTTTTTTTAAAGAGATAAAATTATAGATGAGGAATATGGAGGTTGTATATAAAGTATTTATTACTTTGTAACAAATTACTCCAATGTGTAGTGGCTTAAGACAACTGTTTTGTTTGTTCACAATCTGTGGCTCAGCAATTTGGGATGCTCTGAGCTCAGTAGTTTTCTAGTTGAGTGGCTTAGAATCACTTATGTGGATGCAGTCAACTTGTGCCTTGGCTATGGCTAGGTGGTCTAAGATGGCTTCACTCACATGTCTTGTGAATGCTAGCTGTCTGCTGGACTGTGCCTCTTTAACCCTATATTCCTGGCTTCTTCACATGGTGGCAGCATTCCAAGACTTCAAGGCCTAATGCAGAGATGCATTTCAAACCCCTGATTGCTTCATATTTACTAAAGGCTTATTGACCAAAGCAAGTCACATGGCCAAAGTCAGTATCTATGTGGGAGGGGATTACACAAGGATAGGAATACAGGCAAGCAGGACATTTTGGGGAACCATTACTGTAGCAACGTGCCACAGAGGCACATACAGTTGATACTCATTATTTGTTGATTCCATATTTACTAATTTGCCTACTTGCTAAAGTCTATTTGTAACCCCAAAATAAAAATTCACAGTGCTTTTGTGGTCAGTCACTGACATGTGCAGAGCAGAGAGAAATGTGAGTAGCCTGGCACACACATTTCCAGCTGAAGTTGATGGAGATGATGCTTTGCTTTCTTGTTTCAGCTCATACCGTAAACAGATGTACATTTGCAGTAATGTATATTTAGTGCTATGTTTTTCACATTTTTGCATTATCATTCGTAATTTTGATTTTTAAAATGTCTCCCTAGCATAGTGCTAAAGTGGTTTCTGGTGTTCTTAAGCACCAGAAAGCTGTGGTGTGCCTCATGGAGAAAATATGTGTTCTAGATAAGCTTCCTTCAGGCATGAGTTATAGTGCTGTTGGCCAGGAGTTCTATGTTAATGAATCAACAATAGATATTAAGTCAGGCATCTTTAAGTAGAACCACATATAAAACAAGAAAATGTATTGGTCTGTTGATGAAAATGTTGTGACCAGATACTCACAGGAAGAGAGATACTCACAAGAAGAGAGATGGAGATATTCACCCTGCAGATTCTCACAAGAGGAGAGAGGCAGATACTCACCCTGCATTTTTTCTAAGAGCAATAGTTCAGTATTTGCTAATTCAGTGGTTGTGGCACCTTTATACGGCATAACTACCATGAATAATGAGAATTAGTTATATATCAATTCCCATCTAGTATAGTTTTAGAGCAGTATGCCTATATTATTTCAATGAGAAGTTAGAGAAAATCATAAGCCACTTCTGATAAATGAAGCAATAAAGGAAAGGATCATGTGGCAAGCCCCAGGTGAACTGAATTAGTTCAGTAACAATTCCATTTGATAAATATTGATTAAGTTTCTATATAATTGGGCAAAGCAATGTCACTTGTAGGTGCTTAGAATGGGGATAAAAATTTGAACACTTAACTTGGTTGTATCCTAAAAGTGCTCAGAATCTAGTCAAGGAAACAAAGCAATGGAAGATGTGATTTGTGCTAGAGGAGAGATGTTCCTAAAGTATTAAGGAAGCCCAGCAGTAAGAAATACATTTGGCTGGTGAAATCAGTGCAGTCTTCATGGAAAAGATGACTTTGAAATGTAGATGGTATTTATTTACATTTAGAAATGTAAATAGCTATGAGGTAAAATAAAATTTCTTTTGTAAGAATCATGAGCAAAAGTTGGGTTGGAGAAAGGATGGAGGAAGTTTGGGACATTTAGGAGGGGAATTTATTGTGAACGCCTAGTGCAATTGTTACATCAAAGGTGGTAACGTCTGGCATTTACAGAGCACTTAATACTATTTTTTAAAGTGTGATACGTAGACAACTGATGATTTGAGATCTAAGCTAATTAGAGCGATGCTTTGATCAAAAGTTCTCTTTGACAACAGTCTGTTAGATTCAATTGGAGAGAAGCCACAAGAGGGGCTGGGAGAGGAGTTAACACATTATGAGAGCAAGATAATAGATGAAAGGGGGGGCACTGAAACCCAAAAGGAGGGTGATGATCACACAGATACTGGAGAGTTCTAATTCACAGAACTGTGGAGTGAGAGATAGAAGTGTGCAGAAATCAAAGATCAGCATGAGGTTCTGAGCTTTTCTGGATAGCAGGCTGGTGATGCCACTAACTGAAAATAGAAAGAAGGTTTTCGGAGGGATTCAGGATCTGAGTTTATGTATGCTCATTTTCATTACCGGTAAAGCCCCTAGAAAAGATAGGCATTAGAAATTGGGAAATTCAAGAGAGGCTAAGCCAGGGATATATATTTGGGAACCATTTGTAGAGAGACAGTTATGAAGCTATGATTATAGATGAGATTAACAAACCGGAGTGATTGCAGAAGAGGATAAGGAATATAGGTACAAAAACTGCCTTCATGGAACAGGGAGAAGGAAGCAGGAGAATGCAGAATAGAGACATCAAAGTAGAAGAGAGCAAAGAATTATTCAGAAAGTGCCAACTTATGATAATATACAAAGGAAAGGCAGTTTGGGTGATAAGAAGGTCCTTAAACACCTTAAAGGAGCTGGTTTAAGAATGTTGAAATAAGAAGTCAGTCTGGAAGCGGTTGGGAAATATTTATTATCTAAAGAAAAAAGATGGGATGATGCAGCTGAAGAAGGTAACCAGTTGAAGTTTCTTTAGAATAGGGACTCTTTTAAAGCATGGTTTAAATATATATTGTGGTTTGAGGATAGAGGTGGTTAAATAACATAATGGGTTTAATCAGTGTTGGGTAGTGTAAAGTTGAAATGGCAGAAATTTAAGAATATAAAACATTCTAAACTTCTGATGAGTTCAATACTAAAATGGCTGAATGTGAGATCTAGGTTTAGGAAGGAAGACAAGTAATTCTTGGGTAGATGTGGTAATCTGAAAGAACTGAAAAAAATCCAGTCTCATTGTTGATGAGAAGTAGATTCAGTAGGATCAGGAAGTAAAGAAATAAACAACGTAGTCTGTGAGTTGAATCAGAGAGGAGGAGATTTAGATAGCTTTTGAATTTGGAAATAAGGTAATTCCACATATGTTGGTGTGTGTTTAGAATAAAATGGAGATGACACACGGGATTGAAGAGTTTGAGGAATAGGATTGTGGGAAGTTTACAACATGAATGTTGACATTTTTAAAAGGACTATTACCAAAGAACAGTGACTGAAAAGGGATTGAAGGGAATAACACAAGCCAAATGTGAACAACACTGAGTCCAAAAGATTCTACAATGGCCCAAATGTAATAAATAAGTTTAGCTGTGGTTGCTTAAGAGAATTACAAGACAACAAATAGAAGCAGGTTAGAAGAATACAAAATAATAACACAATTATTTTATTTTAGTGCTTTATATTTAACATACACTTGTGGAGTACCTAGATCAGGCTAGTTACTTTAGTATCTAATTTCTGCAAGCAGTGTCAGACTCTCACATCTGATGTAGCAAAACTCTGAAAGGCTTATGCGACTATCTCATATTAACTCAGCCAATTCCTTATAGAATTACGTTTAGTAATTGAACTTTAATATATCATCAGATTTGAACATGATCATTACAGTTACATAATATGACATACAACATTTTAATGTACATTTTATTAACATTTCCATATTTGATTTCACTTGATTCTCATAAGAATCCCACAAATACTACTCTTCTTTTCAAAATGAAGAAGTGAGGAATAGGAGGGAGGTTGTTAAAAGCTTTCCAGAGACCATACATCTCATTAATAATAACATCAAGTTTTAAAACAAGGTCAGTTGACCATAGACCACACTTTCTACATTAAATTTTAGAATGAAGAGAATGCACACTACTAGAGGTTTCTCTATGAACAAATATTTTGGGTCTATTTGCCTATGTATTCTTAGATGTAGAAACCACATATTATTTCAGGAATACTTGGCTCTAGACTAGTAGGCTTTTGGCATCTGCATTAGATGGTGGAGCACTGTTTCATTGTTTATCACTCATGAACTTTGAAATAAAAAGCACACTTAACACAATAAGCCTTGGAATGCGGAGAAAAGAGAGATTCAAAAATGAATAAGGAATAGCCACTCCTTCCTTTCAAAGCACTGGAAGCAGACATGAAAACAAGTGAGCCATCTGAATAGACATTTCTCAAATAATACATACGAATGGCCAACAGGTATATTAAAAAATGCTCAGCATTAATAATCATCAGAGAAATGTAAATTAAATCCACAATGAGATATCATCTCACCCCAGTGAGAATGGCTATAATCAAAAAGACAAAAAAGTAACAAATGTTGGCAAGGGGGCAGGGAAAAGGGAACTCATGTACCAGGTGAAAATGTAAGTTAGTGTAGCCATTATGCAAAAAACTATGGAGGTTTCTCAAAAAACTAAAAATAGAACAACTATACAATGCAGCAATCCCATTATTGGGTGTTTTTTCAAAGGAAATAAAATCAATATATCAAAGGGATAGCTGCACCCTCATGTTCATTGCAGTTCTGTTCACAATAACCAAGTTATGGAATCAACTTAAATGTTCAGTGATAGATGAATGGATAAAGAACACATGGTATATATACACAATGGAGTACTATTTGGTTATAAAAATAAATGAAATCCTGTCATTTGCAGCAACATGGATGGAACTGGAGATCATTACATTAAGTGAAATAAACCAGGCACAGAAAGACAAATACCATATGTTCTCACTCATATGTGAGAGCTAAAAAAGTTGCTGTCATGGAAGTAGAGAGTAGAATGATGGTTACCAGGGGCTGGGAAGGGATGAGCGGGGAGGGAGGATGAAGAAAGATTGGTTAATGGGTAGAAACATACAGTTAGATAGAAGGAATAAGTTCTAGTGTTCAATAGCACAGTGGAGTGACTACAGTTAAGAATAATTTGTTGTGCATTTCAAAATAGCTAGAAGAGAAGATTGTGTTTCCAGCAAAAAGAAATGATAAATGTTTGAAGTGTTGGATATCCTTAATACTAAAATGTGATCATTTCACATTGTGTGCTTGTATCTAAATGTCACATGGAACCCCATAAATATGTACAATTATGTATTAATAAAAAAGAGAGAAAGAAAAAATAAAAAACATTTAAAAAATCTAAAAAGGAAATAAATAAGCTGGGGAGGGAAATAAAGAGAGTATGAGAGAATCTATTTCTATAATCCTATGATTTGATGACAGGAGCAATGCTGAACTTCAGGGAATTTGTGGTGTTCATGAGTTGCTCTAAATTGTGTTTCTGGGTGTATACTAGAGACAAGCATGAACAGGTAGATACGTTCATGGGTGAATCTTTTTCTTTCCTCTTGAGAGTTTTTAATCTCTCAGGTGATGTCATCACTTAAAAGCTCAGGTATAAATAGAGTACAGGGTTCTGTTGTGAATACTATTTATTGCTATGTTGGGATATGAAAAATAATATGGATTATTATTGTTACATGTATCAGACATGAAAAAGTACAGAGAATAATATAACAAGCATGTAGTCATTTTCTACTTAGGTATTTAATACTATAGATACAGTTGAAAGTCCCTGCCTACCTAGATCACATTGCTATTCTTCCATTTCTGGAACTGGTGGCTTTCATTTTCAAAAATGTCTTAATTCTTTAAGTATACAATAAACAAGGGTGTTATTATCCAATGTTTTAAAGTTTATATGAATTGTACTATGTCTTGCCTATTTATTATAATGAGTTTAAAAATATTTTTCCATGTTGATGCACATAGATCTAGCTTATTTAATCAGTAGTATAGTGTATTGTTGTATGAGTATATCACATCTTATTTTTCCATTCTCTTGCTGATAAATATTTAGGTTATTTGCAAATTTTCTTCACTGTTAAAACAATGTGGCAATAAGCATTTATTTATAATTCTTTTCAAACACATGTGTGAGAGTGCAAACTTAGGGCTGGACTTCCTGGATTGAAGCATGCATAAATTCAAGTTTATTAGCTATAACTTAGCTTTTTATCAAAATGGCTGTACCACTTCGCTATGCATGCAAGATCTTATTGCAAACATATTATTGTCAAACTTTATTCTTAAGTTTGTCAATCAGATGGATATGAAATAGAGCTCCCCCATTACTAGCAAAGTTGTTGACCTTATCATACGACTATTTGCCATTGGATTATTCCAATTCCCATCAGAAATCTCTGGGTGATTTTTGACTCTTGACCTATATACTAATCTGAACCATAGTTTTTATTATAAGAAATATTTATATGAATTAAAATAACAACAGATGATATCACATTACAAAGAGCCCTGATGCTAAATGGGGTTCAAAGTGGTTCCCTTGCAGCTCAGAAATATCGCTAAGGTTAATTCTGAGACAACTGCTTAATATCAGTGATAACTATTTTCTCATCACATGTTTTCTACAATCACCATGACTATTTTCCTAATGGGGTAGAAAACTGTATGTCACTTTATGATTGGTCTCAGACACAGGGTAAAGGATACCCTCCCTCTTCTCTACAACATCTATCAAATATAGAAAAAATATACAGTATTATCAGTATTTTGATATAATAAACTGAATGCACTGAAGGGGAAAATGAATCACTTACTCTAAAAAGGCTAGCTCTGAACTGCTAAAGTTTCTCATGAAATCTGACACGTTGTAAGTTCTCTTCTTAAAACTTAATATCTATTTATAATCTGTTTTTCCTATTTATTACTCATTTTTAAACTTGGAGATCCTATTATTCTTTGTAATTAATGTATTCCAATCCCATCTGTCACTAACAGGCCCACTAGCCATTCATTTAAGGTAAAAGGTAACATAAAATGTGATATCATCCACTTAAAATAATTTATGCTATTTTGAAGCTCCTGTGTGAATAATTTCAGAGGAGCTGTGTCATCCAATATGAATGAAGAATTTGACTGAGCTGGCTTCTAAAGAGGCAGTATTCATTCCTATTCCAAGACCATTCTAGGGTGTTTGAGCATCTATACATTGTGAATAAATTTTCTAAAATGGGTTTATTTCTTGTAAATAAGTTACTACATTGACCTAAATGAATTCCAACAATTAAGTTTGTCAGTTTATTAAAAGCCCTGGGGAATAAAAATAAAATTTAACAATTATTCTAAAATATGATTGATCCTTCTTATTCTTATCCTCATTCATAAAAAACAGAGAAACTCAATATCTTATAGTACATTGAAGTACATTAATTTTTTTTTACTGACTGAGGGTATACCTTATTTATTTATCCATCTTTTGATTTTTCCCCCTTCTCTACCTAGCATAGTCTTTTGGTCTGGTTGTTGCTCAGTAAATAACATAACTTAGTTATGTTTCCTGAACGCTTTAAACACAGAATTGAATTATCTACATATAAACTTTGAGAATTACTGTTTTATAAGGTTGCTGGATACAGAATCAACTTATACAAAGCAACAGCAATACTGAATACAACTCATTGTAATATAGTAGAGGGAAGAAGAAGACTTCATTTTCAATAGCAATATAAACCATAAAACATCTAGGACTCAAGCTTATAAAACATGCACTTCACCTTCATCAGAGACTGGACTATTTTTATTTTGTAATAAATAGCACCCATTATTGTGGGTGTCCCATCCAGCAGCCATGAAGAAGAGTCAATAACAGTGTCCCCCTTCCTTTTAGGGATCCTTATACAAGTCCCACCATGACACTTTTGGTTAAATACCATTGAGCAGTACATATCCCATGGCCATACCGACACTACTGGACTGAAGGTGGGGTTACATCCCAACAAACCTATTATAAAATTGAAAAATATAAGTTGAACCATCAGGGACCAAAAGCACTTTACTCTAAGGGAAGCTGAGAAATATGGTCTTTACTTAGGGCTGTCATATACCTAGCTAGAACTTTGGATTCTATTCCTGAAGAAGAAGAAATGAAGACAGATATTTGGAGATTTCTACCAATATCTGCCACAACATTCGTTAGCCTTGTACTCTCATGGAGAAATTCTGTTGGCTTATGGCTTTAGAAACAAAAGTGGGAGATGGGAGGATACTATGGTTGATGTGGCTGAACTTGAAGTTGATATCAATTTGGGGAGAAGCATTTTTCGATTGATAATAAAAAGATGAGTTTATTTAATATAATATACTTGAACACTTTTATAACCATATTTTGCATATGAGAAATTATTGGTATTTATTTGTTGAAAATACAATTGAAGTTCACATTTCCCATAGGGTATTTTTCTAAATCTGAGTTTCTCCACACATTCTCTCATAAGCCCTACAAAGTCACAAGGAGAGTGGAGAAGACCACTCAATACCCATGCCTATATCATGACTAGGATACAGAGAACACCACAACTGTAATTTGCATGTAAGTAGGGAAATATTTCCAAACCAGCAGATCCAGCTACAAAGCCCACTCTGGAGCTGAGAGGTAGAGACTGCAAGGAAATGAGAAGAGGGTTCAGAGGGCTGAGGAATGATTGAGCACAAATCATGTTCACTGTAAACAAAGGGAGTCCCACCACCCGTGGTAAACATTGAGGACTGGCCCAAGACCTGATGAATCAGAGCTTTGAAAAGACATTGAAAGTTCACAGGACCAGAGGCTGGAGTCCTGTTAAGACACTATTCCCACAGATGGAGAACAACCATCTATTATTCTTTATGACTAATGCATTCTACTCTCATCTGTCAGTAACAGGCACACTAGCGTTTCATCCATTTAAAGTGAAAGAGATTATAGAATGTGACATCATCCACCAGGAGTAATTTATGCTGTTTGGGGTGCGGGGATGAACAGAGAGAAGGAAAAAAGCAGAGAAAATTAAGAGTCTTACTTAATGAAAAGAATCACAAAATAATAAGATATGCCAACATCTACCCTAAAGCGCATAATATAGAACTATTGATTTTAGGAGCTGTACTTCCTGAACAGAAAAAAAAAAAAACTGTTTCAGAAAAGAAATTTTGTTAAACCACACAAATCACTACATACATCTGTTATTACTGGCCCCCCAAAACAGAAGACATTTTACAATGAACAGAAGATGGCAATCAAAGCTAATATAAGAAAACAGAAATGAGAATCAGGATGTCAGCTGATAAATGTTCTCCTCCAAAACCTACCATGAAGCAAAAGAAAAAAGAAAGAAAACCCCCCAGCTGGAGTTAAATACTACTAAAGATTTCCAGGCATCAAAACACAGTTAGAATTACAAATTAAAAGTTGAGAACATAAATTGAGAGAGAGAAAAAAATGAGAGGGAAACGAGGAGGGGGAGATGAAGAGAAAGCGAGAGTGTGAGAGGCATACAGAGAGAGAGAGAGAGTGAGAGAGAGAGAGAGTGAGAGAGAGAGAGAGCGAATGTGAAAATATTAATTAATTTTCTCACACTGAACTTTGAACTTTTTCTGTGGATTTGAAATTTGTCAGAAAAGTTACAGTACACAGACACATAAAGCATTTAACTCATGCTTTGTGTCAACTACTGTCCACTGGGCTGGAGCAATAGCAGCTTGTCTGGCTTCCTAGAGCTAAATAAACCAATGAGGAGATAAGCATATAAACAATCAATTAAGCATACAAAATTATCTTTACTGATTATGGAGAGGCTATGCAGGAAAATGTAAGATTTGAAGAAAGAGTATAAGGACCATGGGGGTGGGTTTCTAATTTATATTGGGAAGTGATATATTCCAGAAGTAATATTTGAGATAAGACCTGTAAGGTGAGTGAAAGCAGCAAATAATGAAGAGAAAACAATTCCAGGCAGAAGGAATGGCATCCATGTATGTCGTGCATTAGCAAAATGGCTGAAGCAGAGTTTATCCATGTCATCAGGTTTTGTTTTGTTTTGTTTTATCCTTGACCTCTGCTACTTCCACCTATGCTTACACTTAAGTCTTTTGCCACTGCAGGTTCAGACTAGGGAGGGATTGTTGGGGGATATTGGGGACAGGATTGGGGATAGACTTTCAGTTATATTTTTATACTTCCTTATTCTTAGATTTTAAAGAATTTATTTTTTATAGGAATAATTAAAAGTTAAATGTAGTCTTATGAAAAGAAGGGGGTTGGCTGTCTTCTTTTTTGTTTTTGTTTTTGAGACAGTGTCTCACTCTGTCACTCAGGCTGGAGTGCAGCAACACGATCTCGGCTCACTGCAACCTCCACCTACCAGGCCCAAGCAATTCCCAAGCCTTAGCCTTCCTAGTAGCTGGGACTACAGGCACATGCCACCATGCCTGCAAACTTTTAATTTGTATTTTTAGTAGATACAGGTTTTCACCATGTTGGCCAGGCTGGTATCACTCCTGACCGCAGGTGATCCAAAGGCCTCAGCCTCCCAAAGTGCTGGGATTACAGGCGTGAGCCACCACACCCAGCCCTGGGGCTGGCTGTCTTCTGTGCCTCACAGACTGTCTCTTACCATTCTCCTCCCTTGCTCGGCACCTGGAAGACTGAAGTGCATGGATGTTGTTAGTGGCCTCCCGCTGTGGCTACTGGTTGGGTTTGGCCAATGGGAGACCCAGGCAGGAGATCAGAGGTGGAAGAGCATGAGGACAGAGTACTTATTTTTCCAGATCTCTCCTTGGAGGATCTGCGTAGCTGGCTGTGTTGCTTTATATTAAAAGTCCACATTTCACGCCAGGTACCTTTTCTATACAGCTCTTTTCGGGTTCTGATAACTGTTCCATTCCCTTTGCCACTCAGGCTGTGGTAGGCTGAATAGTAGTCCCTAAAGATATCCTTGTCCTAATCCTCAGAACCTGTGAATGTTACCTTATATGAAAAAAGGAACTTTGTAGATGAGTTTAAGTTAAAGATGTTGGGATGAGATTATCCTGGATTATTTGCCTGGGTGCTAAATATAATCACAAGAGTCTTTCTAAGAGGGAGAAAAGACAGTCAAAAACAGACTGGAATCAGGTGAGAAAAAGTGATATGATGTGAAGACATGAAGTGAGGAATGAGGACAGCCTCCGGAAGCCAGAAAAGGAAAGGGCACAGCTTCTCCCACTAGAGCTTCCAGAAGGAACTCCATCCTGTGGATACCTTGACTTTAGCACAGTGAAACTGGTTTCAGACTTCTGACTTCCAGAGCTGTTTGATGAGAAATGTGTGTTATTTAAGCCACAAAGTTTGGGGTAATTTGTTACAGAGGCAATAGGACACTAATATACAAGCCTAGAGCGGTAACGGTTCTCTGCTCAAGGTAGCACACCATCCCCTTTCAGTCATTCTAAACCTTGTCCACACTGTATAAGTAGTTGTTATATTAAACTGTCCTCAATTACCTAGTTTGAGTATGTCATCTGTCTCCTGACAGAAACATCTATGAGTTTCTGTTTGATCATTTTTAAAGTGAGTATTATAACTAATAATACCTAATACACAAGATACCTAATAATACCTAATACAAAGCAAATGAATTATTGGAGTAAGCACACTTTTCTTAAGTTGTAAAGATCTCTTAGTTGAAAATGTTTTTCTTGCTTCAAACTATTGGGCTCCACTCACTAGGAGACCCTCCTGGAATGAACAGCTAAGCTACAGTGAGTAGATAAGGATGTCATAAACTCATATTAGGCTCAGATTCATGTCACCAAAACCGATTATGATTAAGAATCTCATAAAAAATATAAAAAGGCAAGTGGGTTCTGGTAACGTGGGAAAGAAGTAGTGCCCAAGCACAGACATGTCAGCTGGTTAATCAATGCTTTAAAGATAAGGGCCTCTTATGTGTCAAAGAAGCTAAGCACTCTGCCTCTAGGGAATAGAACTCTTAGCTCTTTGCTGCATGTCTCTGGGCTTTTCTCAGAATGTCTTTGTTTTCTTCTCTGTTACTAATTTCTACTTGTCACCTCCTCCCAGAAGTCATCTATGATCTACAGGCTGAGTTAGGTATATCCCTAAGAGTTACTATAGCCCCCGTGGCTGTCTCTTTGCTAATCAAATATATTTACTTGTCTGTCTCCCACCAGAGTTCTCTTAGGACAAAACTATGTTCATTTTCTCTATGTCTTTAACAACTGACACAGTGTCTGGTTCATAGGAAAGTCTCCACAAATATTTAATAAAGGCATTTTGATTGAATGAATGAATACTATACAGCCATCTAAAGTTAAATCTACACAATTATTATATGAAGATATCAATATTCCAAGTATTATATTTTATTTATTCAGAAATTGTTAAAATTAATAGTCTCTAATAGTGCTTAGTATCCCTATTCAAGATTTTAGAACAAAAATAATGCAGGGGAAATGCCACGATGTAAAAATAGTTACCTTAAATGGAACAGCCAGACTTCAGAATCAAACACAAATGCTTATATGAAATTGAAAATCTGTAGATCCCTGAGAGACTTCCCTTCCGCTGCCTAAATTTAATGTGGATAATTTATCATTCTATAAATACATTTCAGCTACAGTTCATTCATATGCTTTGCAGTCTCTGTGTGCATTTCAGCTCTTGGCATTAGTGAGTGTATAAGCTATAAGATTAAAAAACTTATACATATTTTCTATTGGAATTGAGTGGGTCAAAAACCTGGAGCACATAATGTTTAATATATATTATTTCTCAGAAAAGAGTTGCTGTGTCCTACCATTAATAGGTATTCTTTTATAAGCTCTGCATTCCTCTCTTCCTGATGGTTTCTTAATGACACATCATTTGAGTCATGGTTCAAGTGGGTAAGGAAAACAGAGAGCACTTTGGAACTGGAATAAGCAGTGAACCAGGCCTTCAATATATTTCTGTCATCCTGACGGCAGGAAATTATGCTTATTTTGAAATACAATGCCTATCTCATCTTTAATAAGGCTAAAACTTTTGGAGAGTGATTACACAACCAGGAGGGAAGGGGCACAACAGAAGCTACAAAGGGTATAGGGAAAACATATATACCCATCTCTACACAGGCAGACTGACCCACTGAATATCTTACTAGTCACAAACTGTACATTTTTTTTTTTTTACTAAAGTACCCTGTTATAATCAGTAAATAATTTATTTATTTACTGGTTTCTTTCTATGCCATTCATACATTGATGTATTTTTTTGATTCACTGATTCAATTAGCAAGCTTTTTTTGTACATCTATGATAGAACAGGCACTCTGGTCGAAGTGAGAAGGTAAATGGCACATGGTCTCTGCCACTTTGAAGTTCATAGCTTATTAGGGGAGACTGATAAATACACTAAAAATTGCACAATGCAATGAACACCAAGAGAGTGTTATTGTAGTTACATGGTATAGAAGTAGTATAACAAAAGGGAATGTCAGAGGATATGATTTACTTAGAAACAACAATGGATTACTGAATAATTTGGAATATAGAATCAAATTTGAGTCTAAACTTATAAAATATGAAATTAGATTTAATAGATCTGGAATTTTTCTTTGTTTAGTGAAAAGAAAATAGCTGAAGCTATGAGATTCTAAGGTATCCAGGAACATTTCAGTTAAGGGGGAAATGGAAAGGCTTGAAAACAATCTAATAATGAATGCTGTCAAGGCTCAGTGACGGTGGTCAGCCCTGTCTGTGATCTGAAGTGACGTTTGAGTAGCTAAAGGGAAAGGCAGGCAAATTTGAGCATTGCTATCTTTAGGTGAGTGCAGTCACATCCACAGAGAAATTAGGTTTTAATACCCAGTCAATTCCTAAGCTTTTGGTACTATGTGGATAATTTATTATTCTATAAATACATTTCAGCTACAGTTCATCATGTTATACTTTATAACACTGATAGTACCAAAAGCTTAGGAATATATAGCTTTTAACACTGATAGTACCAAGTCCATTTTAATATCAAGTCAATTCCTGTTATAAAGTATAACACGGATAGTACCAAAAGCTAAGGAATATTTAGCTTTTAACACTGATAGTACCAAAAGCTGAGCAATGTAGTTGGTCTTAGGCCCTTAGGTCATGTCTGTCTTCTCAGATGGACCCAACTATAGGGTAGAAATGAAAATACCATAAGAATATAAATCATGCCCAGCAGGAAAAGAGTCAGTCAGAAGCAAACCAAAGTAATCCTAGGACTACGATAGTGTCAGCAATCACTTGGATATCACATCAACCTCTCCATGAAGAGCCTTTCACAACTATTGATGTCCAACTGAACCTAAGAAAAATCCATTGTTTTGGTTTGTTTTTGACAGCTTTTATAAAATATAATTCACATACCATGCAACTCACCCATTTAAAGTATACAATTCAATGTTTTTTGGTATATTATATTACTTTTTTAAAAATTGTGGTTAAATATGTGTAACTTTAAATTTGACATTTGAGGCATTTTAAAGAATAAAATTCAGTGACATTATTTACATCCACAATGTTATACAACTATCACTATTATCTATTTCCAAAAGTTTTTAACCATCCCAAACAAAATCTTTGTACCTATTAAGCATTAATTCCCCATTCCCCATCTCTTCAGCCTCTGGTAACCTCAAATCTACTTCCTGTCTCAATGAATTTGCTTAATCCAAATATATAATATAATTGGAATTATACATTACTTATCCTTTTGTATCTGGTTTATTTTTCTTAGCATTATGTTTTCAAGGTTCATCCATGCTGTTGCATATATAAGAACTTCATTCCTTCTTATGGATGAATAATATGTCATTGTACACACACAAACACCCTTATTGTGTATCCACTTATCTGTCAATAGATACTTGGGTTGTTTCCACCTTTTGGCTGTTGAATAATGCTGCTATGAGCACTGATGTATAGTCAGAAAAATCATTTTTTTTTGTCATTAGTCAATTACTTTAAGTGTATCCGTGGATTTACATGCCAGGAGTTAGGTAATTTTTCCCAAGGCCACTGAAGAAGTTATAGGCAGTAATAACATCTAAAGACTACATCCCACCTGCACTCTATTTTCTAAAACTTACTGGCTTTTCTAGATCAAATATATGCTATGCCTTTACATAGGTTACCTTTGTACTGAAATTAGTTCCAAGCCATGCTACAGAAGTGGAAAAGAATGGAAATCTGCATAAATGCAATTGAATAGCTAGCTCTGTAGGTGAAGAGAAGGCACTTCTAAACAAGGGTGAATATGGCTCCTGTGACTCCTTTCATAATAATCTGTAAAAACACTGCACATTTGACATCACAAGATCAAAACATCAGCATAATACTTTTAATACCTGCAATATCTAGATTTTATAAAACAAAGGGTTACCGTTGGTCAATATCTAGTTAGTTGCATACAGAGCCTAAAAGGGTTAAGAGTACGAGAACTGTGGAAGTTAAATCTCATTGTATAATACGTTCCTGAAAACTAATTTTAATGGAGAAGTCAGTTCTGATTCACTCACTTTTTCTGACTGGTGTAAAATGCAGAACATTATGACAAAAGTAAACAACAGGGACCAGCTTTGGAAACACCATTATCTCTGTGTAGTTTTCTGATCACCTAAGCAGAGTTCACATACTAGTAGGTAAACAAGGACAGAAGTTGGCATTTTAGAGAAAAGAGAAACAGAGAGTAGCTCAAGTTAAATGTAATGTTACATTAACATCAAGTTAATGGATTGACTATGGAGATAAATGAGCTAACCTTATATGAGATTTGTGCAAATTGTGCTGTGATACTACAAGTTAAATGTCCTGTTAAATAATTGAACACACTAATAAATTCTAATAGTCTCTTCATAAAAACCTTATTCTTTCCTTCCCTGTCAAGAAAGACTTAGGTTCGAAGCCATCTCCAAGTACTACAGATTGCTAGAAAGATGAAAAGTCAATTAACAGAAGATAAAATGTCATGATCACTTAAGTCTTTCAGGTTTCTGAATAGAATTTTAAATTCAGAAAACTCTTTTTCTGGTGTAGCCTGATAAACACACACACATATACATATATATATACATACACACACACATATATATACATATATATTATAATTCAATAAACTTTTAATATATTGTATTTATTAGAGAACAAATTATATTCTCTAGCTGTACAAAAATGTGGACCATTTGATTCTGTGTTTATATGTTTGGCTATGCTTTTGATTTGGAGTTAGACTGTGTGGATCATATCCTTGACTTCTCCTAAGTTCTGTGACATTGGATAAGTTATCTCCATCCTTTGAGTTACTTAGAAAGATGAGAAAAATAATAAAATCTAGATCTTTAGTGTTCTGAAGATTAAATGAAATAATGAAATACATGCTTCACACATAGTAAGCAACAAAACAATGTTGGCTATTTTATTTATTTTTCAATGATAATATTCATTATGCTTCAAAATAAGAATTAAATGAATGCATCTCTAGATATTTTACTGGCCATTTTCCGGAGACACAGTTACAAAAGATGTACAGAATTAGATATACCTTTGAAAGAGGTGTGAGATCATTGTATATTTAAAGAGATCAAATGCCATCCAGCTTCCATGTAGAGAAATCCATTTCTACCCTTGGCATTCCTTCCTAGGATTATTTATAGACTGTGAGAGGATTTAGAGCTTCCATGAATTTTAAAACAAACAAAGAATAAAAACGTAGCAACAAGCATTTTAACCTCCATTCTCTTGCCCCCAACTGGTAAACTAATCATTCTTTCATAACTATGTTTTTCCACCAGAGTGTCTGAATAAAAAAGATTAAAAAGTCCCATCATGGAAAATGGAAGCTCAAAGCCTTAAGGTCAATTCATGGTTTTAAGATATTCAGTGCTATTTTTTTTTTAATCCTGTGAACCTATGGCTCAAACGGGAAGTGTTTTATTAAGAAAATCTCCATGGTTCTTTTGTAGTTAAACCTGTAAGGTCTTAGCTAACTGTGGAACTATATTTTGTACTAGTCTTTTTAAGCATTCACGGGTAAGGAGAACAAAAATATTTGAGAATGGGAAAGGTAGCTCTGAACAAATAGTAAAACCACTCATCTCCCCAAAATACCGTATTTAGCAAAATTTTCTTAAAATGGGTTCTGTTCAGTGCTACACAAAGATATTTCCTTCCCTTCCTTACTCTTTCCTGACTCAGTAAGTGCAGAAGCTCTTTCTTGACTCAGTAAGTGCAGAAGCTCAAAAAGAAATGAAGAGATTGGTGATAATTAACAAAGCAAAATATTACCCTTTGTAACAGATTATAGCTGTTGAACTAAACTTCAACACGGCAATGCAATACCAAAATCTGAGAGCATGACCTACAGAACTATCCCTACAAGGCATTTTATAGAATTTCAGAACATACAGTCACATAAACCTTAAACTGAATTGCTTTTACAATGTTAGTAAAATCAAAATATATTCAAGTGTTTGCTTTGGACAAAATTAATTTGAAGGACATAAAGTCAATAAAGAATGAATACTTAGACATCAAAGATGTCCCATAATCCTCACAAGCAGCATATTTTATTAATTGACATAAACCAAATCTAAATATGTGACTTAATCATAATTCCTTTGAGCTGAATATATCCTACAAAACTAAGAAAGAGGCAACTTTTGTCTTCTCTGTTACATTTTCTCTTTATTCCATAATTATATTAGTGCCTTCTTTCTATAAAAACCATTCTTGTGAAAGAGTCTTGAATCAGTCCATGTAAATTTGCCTTTCTCAGGAGTATTTGGAGGTTAAGCCTTAGAATTAGAAGTAGAGTCTATTACTGTTGCCACATGGATTTCATATGCCAACAACCTAGTAAAACTGCCTCTGTGTGACTCTATACATGTACACATGTGTATCTGTGTGTATGTGAAATGGTGATTGGAGGGAATGCACAGAAGCTGCCTCTGAAGCCCCAACAGGTAGTCATTTACTTATGTTTCATTTATCAACAAATCAAAGCCCAAGATAGGCCAAGAGAGTTGTGTTTGATTAGATGAATAGTTTTCTTGATGGGTATTTTATTAGTTTGTTTTCACACTGCTGATAAAGATAAACCTGAGACTGGGCAATTTACAAAGGAAAAAGGTTTAATGGAGAACTCACAGTTCCACGTGGCTGGGGAAGCCTCACAATCATGGCAGAAGGCAAGGAGGAACAAGTCACATCTTACTTGGATGGTGGCAGGCAAAGAGAGAGCTTGTGCAGGCAAACTCCCATTTTGTAAGACCATCAGATCACATGATACCCATTCACTATGAGAATAGGACGGGAAAGACCCACCCCCATAATTCAATCACCTCCCACTGGGTTCCTCCAAGACACGTGGGGATTGTGGGAATTACAATTCAAGATGAGATTTGGGTGGGGACACAGAGCCAAATCATATCAAGTATGTTTGGGTTAGGGTTAGTGTTAGGGTTAGGGGGAGCAGAGTGAGAAGAAGAATTAGGTGGCCTCTCAAGATCCCTTCTAATCAGGGTAAAACTACCCAAACCTACTTTTGGGATATTTGACCAATAGTCTAAAGTGCAAGCACCATTGTGACTTTGTGGCCCTGCATATGTTAAAACATTTGTCCAATTAGTGCTGTTTGTCACCATATTCCCTGACTGTGCTTCTGATTTCGATCTTCAAATACAGACAGAGAAATTGCAGTTTGTGGCCAGCTGTGAACAGAAATGCCAGAGCACACATGCACCATGCATGTAACCAGAGAACCCAGACTCGATGTGATAGAACACGAATCATGTAAGCAGTTCCAGATAATTTAATCACCTCATCAAAAATATAGTGATTTACTACTTAAATTCAGATACATCCACCTCCTTTAAACATCAAGGCCAAATTCAGTTTTTTATTTCTCAGCCTTTATCTTCTGCAACTGTAATTTCAGAGGGAGAGAGTGCAAAGCACGGAGAAATTATTGAGCTGGTTTTAGCCCAGCTGTTTTATTTTTTATTCTTCAGACCTATCTAAGGTCCTCTGAGGATTTTGCTTTCATTTTCTCAACCCCAGAATGAGCAAATGGAAAAGGCTCAGAGCAGCATGGGAGTTGTTCCAAGAGTAGGGCTGTGAACATACATTTGTCCTGCCCAGGAGTGAGGTTTTGCCTCCACCTACGCTCTGAGGGGGCAGCTGTGATGTCTCGATGGGATGAGAGAAAAATCAATATGCATGGCAATCTGGTGTTGTGCCCATGGGACCATTGAGGGAAGATATGCTGTGTGCCATCCCTGTGTCACAAATGAGGGTTGCCACCAGCAAGCAGGACACCTCTGTGTTAAAACAATTACTGAAAGGAAGGAGTGGAGTGATGGTTGTAACAGCAGAAAGAGGTATTTCTATCCTCTTTATGTCTCCCTCTCTTCACTTGCCTCGGAAATTCCTACTCATCCTACTACCCCTACTCTATCATTCTTTGTATGATATATCCGGGTATTCAGCAAAGAAGTGAATTTTGGGGTGGAGAAGCTCATTTTCTGCCTGACATAAGGGAAATAATGGACTCTCCTCTGATAAGTCATATTTAGGTAGCAGCAGTTAATGGCATTTGACCGATGAATGTGAAACATCACAATGGCTTTACACGTTGAACGACTCCTTACAAGATGGAATCACAGAAATTGTTTATTGAAGTGAAAGGGCAACAGATGGACATTTATAGTCATTGAATGCCCTAAAGTGGAAGAGCAGGGAAATAATTTCTCCCTATGTAGAAGTGCCTGGTGTTGTTTATCCCAAGCAAAGTGGCTGACTTGTCTTTGACACTTTCTTAAGTTACATCAACCACAGAGGAGTGACTGTGTGCTGACATACTTAAATGCCTACAGGGCCAGCACTTTTCCTCAGAAAAGCCTACTTGGAAGGTATCTGTATGGGAGGTGGAGGCAGTAGAGTCTTCATTTCTTTTCCGTTCCAAGCCTTGCTGTTCCAACCCTTGCCAACTTCATAGACTAATGGCTTTGTGTCCTTGTTAGGGCATGAATGAGCACAACAGCTGTCCTCTGGGGCCTTTATTTTATATTAGGGGCTGACTGTGACACCTGAACAGGAAGCCACTGTCTGTTTCTTGGGTGGTCAACTCAAAAGAAGTGGCATTGATAGAGTACTGAGGCCTTCTGAGAGATGTGGATTTTTCCATTACTGGGAAAGAATTATTATTTACATTGATCAAGAAGAATGTGCAATGTGTAGACCATTCTTTAGAAATTAAGTGTTTGCCCCACAAAGGAAATGACTTATTTGAGACAGTCTTGTCAACTCTGTTCTTGTTTCTTTTCATTAGCTATTCTCAGGATGTATTTCAATTGTTCTCTTGCTCTGTGGGAACCAGTTGACTACTAAAAGAGATTATATACTGTAAAACTCAAAGTGGATTATTTACATACAAGTGATCTCAAAACTTATAGTTTCCTACCAATAGAAGGTATTCAACAAATGCTTATTATATGAATGAAGGCTGTGTCAAATTCTTCACTACTGTATTAGTCCATTTTCACACTGCTGTAAAGAACTACCTGAGACTGGGTAATTTATAAAGGAAAGAGGTCGGTCTGAAGAAAACAGATCAGCATGGCTGGGGAGGCCTCAGGAAACTTACAATCATGGCAGAAGGTGAAGGGGAAGCAAGGCACCTTCTTCACAAGGTGGCAGGATGGAGAAGCGCTGAGCAGAGGGCGAAGAGCTCCTTATAATACCATCAGATCTTGTGAGAGCTCACTCACTATCATGAGAACAGCCTGGGGGAAACTGCCCCCGATGATTCAATTACTTCCACCTGGTCTCTTTCTTAACAAATGGGGATTATGGAAATTATAGGGATTATGGATGAGATTTGGGTGGGGACACAAGGCCTAACCACATCAACAACCTAGTTTTAAGTTAGGGTGATGAGGATGGAGAGACTAGACAGAGCATTTCGTGTGGAAGGAGGACAGTTTATACTTGGCTGGGGTTGGGGGATCCACGTCCATTCCTGAAGGCTACAAGAGTACTTTTTTATATCAATTAATTTAAAAGCAAAGCAGCATGTGCTTATATTTGTCTGAAATATTGGAACAGACGGGACAGACATCTTATTACATGCTAGTAAAAATAAGCACTTGTGCTATTTTGGTTGACATTTTTCCTCTTCGATCTATGATAAATAGGGTTATATCTAGACTATCTTCGCTTTTCACAACTTTTTATTATTAAACATTTCATATATTTAAAAATATTGGTAATGAATAATACATTTTTAGGCATAATAATAAAACATATATATACCCACCACCCAGATTAAGAAATAGCACCTTTCCAATACTGCTGTATCTAGCTGTGTGAAAACACTGGCATTTCCACTGTCTTTTCATAAAAGGTAACCACAAGCATGGGTATGTTCTATATAATTTTCCTTATTATTCCATTATCTAGCAAAGAATGAGAAAGAATAAATAGCCTTTCACTGGTTATAGAATAAAAAGTGGTAATTTTTTCAATTTGGAAAGACAGTTGGTCAAGGTGGACATGCCATGAAATATAGACATGTAATAGAAGTGAGTGCCTGCCCCAAAACAGTCTTAGCTTTAATTCTTTTTTTAGATAAAGTATAGCTGTAACTTTTTTCTTTTGTAGATAGTTTCTCTTTGAACTTTGGTTTCTTATTCAAAATTTTTGGAAATGCTGTTGGGTATATTCCATTCGAAAATATAGAATGATATGATATAAAAGATGGTCTCCCTTGTTCCTCAATATTTTTTTTGTATCCTTACACAAGTTTGGATATTTTCATTTTCACAAGATTTAACATATTTTTAAAATATTGCACAGTTCAGGGAGGTTACATTCAGATATATTTTATGAAGCATGGATGTATAGTCATCAAATTTATTTAAGGTAAGAAAAATATTTCTCCAATTAAATATTAGTGAACTATGTTTGTTAAAATATGGCATGTCTAAATTTGTGATCTTTTACCTCATAAGACTGGCTAATGGCTACTCTAGCTGGATAATATATTATTAACCACTATGGCTGCTTGAAATACAAGTAACAGGGAGGTATTAAATATGTACACTATATTATGCAAATGAGTGATGTTAAATCAAGGTCCTAGAGCTGACTTTCTTAGGATGTAGTTAACATTAGACAACATGAGCTAAAGTTGTGGCTTTCAATGTCATATACAGCTATTTTAAGGCAGCACATATTCGAACAACTATTTGTTTCCTGGCCTTGTGCGCAAAGCTCTGGGGATTTAAGTATCTAGAAAGAGGTTATAAATTCAAGGGTGGTGCCTTTATTATTAATGGTATCATCCAGCAGTCACTTCCACAATATAAGGTACATAAATTCAAAACTGTCTTTTGGTTTTGGGGCTTTAGTAGTTATAAATGGAAAGTGTGAAAGATAAGTCAGTCACACTTTGCCATACAGTGTTCGATGCCTTTATTAAAAAACAAAAACTATATATTTATTGATAAACCCTTCCTTAATCAGACTCCAAACTCTTCTTTAAATCCATGTAGATGATCCTTCCAATGTCCTGGTGTCTCAGCAGCTGGACTTCTGCAATGACCTTGTCAACTGCCCTACCTCAGCCACTCACAGCTAGGGTCATGCTCTTGACTTTGTGATTATCAACAAGTGCATTTCAAATGCAAGCATACCACTCCCCATGTACCTTATCCTGTTTCAGTTTGTTCCTTCTGGTACTTCAATTCCAACAACGTTTTGACCCCTGCAGGACCAACAATCGATTGGTCCTACCAGCTTCTCATTGTGTCTTATCTCATACATGTTCTCACTTCCCTCTATGCCCAGCTTCAATTCTATGCTCAGACATTATGATCACTCCTTTATATACATTGACAGCTCTCTTACCAGTCTCTCTCTTTTTTGAATTACTTCGGCTAGAGTATAACCCTGGTTAATCAATATATCTGCCTATCCCATATGTACATCCAGGTGGCCAAAAGTAGCTGGAGAAAAACAATAACAATGTGGATTGATTCACTTGAAATTCATGACTACAAAATGGGCTTGATTATATTGACTGACAACATTTTTTTTCTCTGTCTAGACTAAGCACCGTCCCTGTCTTCTGGATGACTCTTTTGTATCATTCTTCCAACATTGAACATTTCCTTCCAATTTTAACTCTCAGCTGATGATTTAGCAAACTGTTCACCTAGGAAATAGAATACATTAAAAGAGAACTTGCACATGCTCGCAGACCACATACACCTACCCATCTGCTTCTGTCCCATGTCCTTCACCTTGTGTCCTAACTCCATCCTCTATGCCCAAGGCTCCCCGCTCAGAGTCACCCTTCCCTTCTTTCATTTTGTCCTCTGTCTGTCTCTTCCAGTGCAAGCCAACAACGTTGCTGCTGGTATAAAATTCTTAAAAACTATGTAGGTCTCTTGCATATTTTGTGAGAGTTACTCTGTTAGACAAGAGGCTCCTACACAGGGATTTTTCCTGAAAAATCCCATCTTTATTCCTGACTTCTGCTAAGATAGCTAAGGGGATCCATGAGTCGTACATTTCATATATTCAAAAAGGCCTCTGTGTGAATAAATAATCTGACCTTTTGGTTGTCAGAGGCACTAGCAAAAGGTTGTCCAGCCACACCCTTGTCTGTCCCACTTTTCTGAGAGTTAATCTCCTAATTTAACTTATTTTGCAATTTGAGTAAGTTAAGAATTTTTCAACTCATCAAGTCCTGTTTCCTTTTTGCTGAACAGTTTCTCCTCCAATTATCTCTATCTTCTCACATTTTACTATAAACAGCAAGGAGAAACCAGGCCCCGCCTCCAACACGTTGCTTCGAAATTGATATGGTTTGGCTCTGTGCCCCCACCTAAATCTCATCTTGAATTGTAATCCCCACAAGTCCAGGAAAGGGCCTGGTGGGAGGTAATTGGATCATGGGGGTGGTTTCCTCCATGCTGTTCTCATGATAGTGCGTGAATTCTCACAAGATCTGATGGTTTTACAAGTGTTTAGCAGTTCCTCCTTCTCTTTCTCTGCTCACCTGCCACCATGTAAGATCTGCCTTTCTTTCCCTTTGCCTCCTGCCATGATCATAAGTTTCCTGAGGCCTCCCCAGCCATGCTGAACCGTGAGTCAATCAAGCCTCTTTCTTTTATAAACTACCAAGTCTCAGGCAGTTCTTTGTAGCAGCAGGAGAATGTACTAAAACAGAAATCTTCTCAGCTAAATATCCAAGTTCATTGCTTGCATATTTTACTTTCCTCCTAACTGTAGAATACAATTCAGGTAAGTTTTCTGCCACTATATAACAACAATTGCCTTTCATGATCCTCATGTCCTTCTGGGCCCTCACACTAGCACTTTTAACATCCATATTTCTACCAACAGTTTGTTTGTGATCATTTAGGTATTCTACAAGATGATACAGGTTTTCACTACCATGCCCCTAGCATCCTTCTGAGCCCTCATCAGCAGTCTGTAACATCTGTATTTCTCCCAACAGTTCCTTCAAGACAATCTACGCCTTTTCTGTCATGTTTCTCAAAATTATTCTACCCTTTATTCATTATCCATTTACAAAGCCACATTTCCTCCCCCATCTTTGGGTGTTAGCACAGTATCCCACTAAGAGGTACTGAAACATGTACCATACTACCTTCTGTCTCCAGATCCTCAGTCCCTCTGAGTTTATCCCATGTTTCACAAAATTCTTCTTCAGCTCACCAAAACATTGTCCCCAATATAGAGATTCACATCCTGCCACTATGCCTTAGTGGAGTTTTCCTATGCTCTGAAACCTGCAGTTTATTAGTAGAGATATCGGTTTATGGAGCACTTCCTTGAACATGCTGCTGCCAGGCAATATACCTGACCCCAAGGCAATCTCTTTCCGCTGCCCTCTCGTGATATTCAGATTCATCCTTGATGGGGAGGTTGGCAGGGGAAAAAAGGGAGACTTGAGATGTGCTGTAATTAAGAAGTATTTATAGTGGCATTTTATACTGGGAAGAATATGCTTTAATAAATTAAAAGGCTTGAAGTTATAGACAGGCACATTGTCACACTCAGCATAGAAAATGTCACAGGTGTTCTTACAAAATTATTCATAAGATTATGAGAGGCTTAAATATTGAATGACAGAGTATGAATGAACAAAAGAGTAACATTCATTTTCTCAACAAACATGTATGGCATATATAGTATAGGTATGGCACTAAGCTAGCGCTTAGAAACAATGAAGTAAATAGGATATGACTCCTTACTTCAAGATGCCTATGTTCCAGTGGGAGAATCATAACTTTTATATTAACGTATGTTATAATATGACTTGGAAAGCACTATGATAGAATTATGAATCCAGAAGCTGCTTATATTGTAGCAGCACTATTGTTTCAGCCCGAGGAAATGAACAATTTTGTATTATTTTCCTCCATCAGATTCAGTTGTGAATAGTAAGGAAACACCAACACTTCTAATGAGCCACTCCATCAGGTCAACAAAAATGGGCCATCACATGGGGCTTATGTGTTGTACCACATTGCCATTAATAACTGGGGGCAGAGTGGGAGGGATCAGAGACTAGAATACATAGTTAATAAAAAGGGGTAATCCAGAAAAATAAAATCCCATGAACAAATAGACTTAAATGGCACAAAACCAACTGTAGATCAAACATATATCCAGGAAGTTCTAGGCTTTGCAATCAGACCAAGCTATGTAGAAGATAGGACACAATCTTCTCACATTTGGTAATGCTAGATGCCCGAGGGAACTCTAGCCATTCTCAGTGGTGTCTAACCATTGCCAGAGGAAATCTGGTTGTTACTGCAGGTTCTAAGAGGAATCCTGGCCAGGAGGCCATGGGCCTGGCTCTAATTCTGCTTCTGCTACTGATTTACTACCCAACACAAGTTACTTACTCCTCTTGTGTGTAACTCAACAAGTATACACTAAGTGAATCTTGTGCATAGAGGGGCTGTAAGTAAGAAGGAATTTTGAGCACTGCCTTCAAGGAGCTGACATTCTAGTGAATGCGACAGACAAGAAAGTAAAGGACTGCTCTACAGAGTGCTCAATGTAAAATGTGTTCATGAGGCACAGAAATACTACTGAAAGCATATTTCTTCTAACTATACCATAATCTGATAGAAAACACTTGAATTTTTATTTTAATAAAACATTGTGCTGATGAATGTTTTAAAAATACCAATACCCAGACTTTGATTTGTTTGGGCATGCATTTTCTTAGAACTCTAACAACATGTCTAAACGTATTCTAGTCCTTATACACCATCACACCTTTTCTTCCCAGGGCACTTCTGTCCTTTGGTGAGCCATAACTCCAGAAGGTCTTCGAAGAGTTCCTATGCTTGTTCAGGGAGGGAAAAATCTTTTCCACTCTTCTTTTCTTGGCCATCTGCTCCCTTGCTTGCATATGCTCCATGTTCTACAAGGGCCGTCCATGCTGTACCTGATCTGCCCTGTGGCAGCATTGAAGATTCCAGATTGGATCTATCCAGTGCTGGATCTCCCTGGTGCCCCTAGTAACAGCAAGACAACTAGAGTCTGAACCCTGTGAAGACCTATACCCAAGTGCTTGGGCCTAGATGGATTCTGAACACTTCTGAAAATGCTTGAAAATGGATTTCTAGAGAAGCTGACCGTATATCCCAGCCTACAAGAATTCTCTTACATTCATGTTCAGTTTGACAGATAATCTACTTTCTTCCCAAGGATTAGCTCTCAAGGGTATATTTGAGGATTCACCATCTCACTTATCTAGATGCATATTCCTTGCTTTTCACAGTGAATTCTCAGTTGGTGGAGTTCCTTTTAGGATACACTATTTGGTGAATGTATAGGCATTAATGCCATGGATTTTGTTCTAAAAGTCTTAAGATGTTCAGTACTACTACATATGGTTTGAGCTACCACACAAGCAGGAATGTCTAGCAAGTTCTGCTCTGACTTTTCTTATTCACTCTATATCACAGAAACAGTGTTGCATTTTGAGCCAGAGAAGGGATGACATCAGACTGGCAGAATTTGGCACTGAATCACTGGTGACCTTAGACAAAGTATCTAAAGTGTTTAAGACTCAATTTCTCAACAATAAAGTAGAAAAATCAAGAGAATTACATGGAATAATTCAGTGGAGTCTTCAAGACAGTGTCTGGAACCTAATAAGTGTTTAATATTACCATTTGGGTATAAATAAATAAATATACAAATAAATAGAGAATAAATCAATACATTATTGTTCTGCATCTGGAGGTTGGAGTCCTTATGGACATACAGTTCTATGAAAATATTATAGTCTGAAATTTTAATGCTTACCAACATTTATACAGTTTTAATTTTGGAGTATGAGGTGGTAGAAATATTTGAAAACCAGAAATCAGAATTTGGGATATTTATTTTATTCTATCTATCTATCTATCTATCTATCTATCTATCTATCTATCTATCATCTAATCTATCTATCATCTATCTATCTATCTATCTATCTATCTATCTATCTATCTATCTATCTATCATCTATCTATCTATCTATTTATTTATTTTGAGACGGAGTCTCCCTCTGTGCCCAGGCTGGAGTGCAGTGGCATGATCTTGGCTCACTGCAAGCTCCACCTCCCGGGTTCACGCCATTCTCCTGCCTCACTCTCCCAAGTAGCTGGGACTACAGGCGCCCGCCACAATGCCCGGCTAATTTTTTCGTATTTTTAGTAGAGACGGGGTTTCACTGTGTTAGCCAGGATGGTCTCGATTTCATGACCTCGTGATCCGCCTGCCTCGGCCTCCCAAAGTGCTGGGGTTACAGGCATGAGCCACCGGGCCCGGCCCAGGATATTGATTTATATAGCAGAACACCTTACCCACCTCTGCTTACCCATGGTGAGGAAGTAGAATCACTGTGAAACTAATGAATCCTCCACTTCAGGACCTGTAACTTTTATTGGACTGTTTCAAGACCTTAGGAGGAGCCTAGCAATTATGTATTAAATTGTAAAACCTTTGGACTCCTAAAGCCTAGATAAGCCTCTGCCTGGGTCTCATGACACTTCTCCGTAGTCTCTGACTGTGGCTATTTAAGGAACTTAATATCCTTTAGACGCTAAGTACACTATGTTTTTTTAAGAAACATGGCTCAAGTTTTAACTGACAACAAATCTTCTCCCACTGGAGTATATCCATTGAGTTCTGCAGTGACATTTGGAAATTTCCTCATTGAAGAGATCTTCAATAAAATACTTCATCAAATGTTTAAGAATATGCATCTCTTTGGTAACTTTTGTGCAGCACTGATGTGCTAGTTTGAATGACACCCACCTGATGATTCATCATGGGAAAAATAGTATTTGCCATAACAACAGAGAGCATTCATGGTTTTATTAGAATTCAGTGAGCAAAAAGAAGACTAAAAATTTAATAACTTTTTTTTCTGGAATGAGAAAAGATAATATAACCCCCAAAGACAGCTGTATGTGTCTTCCCTCATTTTCATAAGAGAAATGGCAGTTGGGAAAGGCAAAACAAGAGGATTGGCAGAAACAACTATTCATTCTAAATAGAGTGTAGCCAATGAAAAAATGTAAGCTTGTTAAAAAGAGTATGTATATTATTGTGTAGTTCTTAAGCTCACTAAAGAAACACGTTCCAAATTTGGAATATGTGTCTCAGGCTGTTTTCTGATTCCAGGCAATGAGACCATCTGACAAAATGACGTCAATTCTATTCCATACCGTTGAACTTATGTCCTACTTTAATCAGCTTGATATGAGTTTTGCAGGAAATAAAAGCAGTATGTTAATGAACTCGAGATGAGAGTGCTACAGTCAAAACATAAACCATTTTACAGTTAATGAAACTGGAGAAAATTTAAAGAGAAGCAGGGTATAGTTTAATACTGTCATTTTCAAAGTAAACATGTACTGTATCTTATTTTTGAGAATTGTGTCTGAAATAATGCATTTTGCATGGAACTTAAGAGGTAAAAAGAAGCTGCTGCCCTTTTCTCGGTCATAAAAATTGCATTTAGATAACAAACACATTTTGCATAATCTTATCTATCATTGTCAGATGATGAAGATTCTAACTATCCAGTGAAGAATCATGGAATGGAGGGTTAATTTACCTTTAAATCCATTACACAAATATTTGTATACATTTTCTCCATTTTTAGCATCCTCTTTGCACAAAGTTATTATATTGATAAAGTAGGTTTAGACTAAATGCTTTCAGTGTAGACTCTTAGGGTAAACACTTGGATTTAGATAATACCTTCAGCAAAAGGCCATTTATGGAGGACCTATTACTTGCCAAACACTTTAGGTATACATTTTCTTTTAATTCTCCCCAAAACTCTGTGAGATATTTGGTGTTATTCCATTTTACAAATGAGGAAATTGAGACTTAGATTAAATAAATTATCAATGCTTACAGACTGCATGAAGACTGGCTATAAATTCCAGTTTCTTCCATTGTAAAATGGGATAATACCACATATGGGCCGGGTGCAGTGGCTCACGCCTGTAATTCCACTTTAGGAGGCCCAGGCAGGCGGATTCACCTGAGTTCGGGAGTTCCAGATCAGCCTGACCAATGTGGAGAAATCCTGTCTCTACTAAAAATGCAAAATTAGCTGGGTGTGGTGGCGCATGCCTGTAATCCCAGCTACTCAGGAGGCTGAGGCAGGAGAATTTCTTGAACCCGGGAGGCAGAGGTTCACAGCCTGAGCAACAAGAGTGAAACTCCGTCTTAATAACAGAACAAAATAGAAACAACAACAACAACAACAACAAAAAACACATATCTCATAAAACTGTGGGGATAATTACAAGCTCATATTTATTTCTATAGTGCTAGCTTCATGTGGATTAAAAGCTTCCTCAATACATGGTTAGGCATGCAGGCTCTGAAGCCTGAGTACCTCAGTTTGAATTCTTAGCTTTATTTCTTAACCAAGTGAACTTGAGGTTATTCAGGTCTTTATATGTCAGTTTTCTCATCTGTAAAATGGGGATAAAATAGTACTCACAAACATATTATTGTTATGAAGATTAAATGAGTTATAACATGTAAATAATTTTAAAAAGTGCCTTAGAACTTCATTCTTAATGTTTAGCTATAATTAATATTCACACAGTCACTTGATTATTGGATCTATCATTAATTTTGTGTTCCTCAATTTTTATTTTTAAGAAAATTTACAATAAAGTAAATGGATTACAGATCTATTCTGTTTGTGGGACTGCAATGCATAGTTGGAGAGCAAAATCTCACATTCCAAAGTATCTACCATTTATGTGGAGGTAGAGACTTAACACATTTATTTATAAATGAATAATTTAAAACTACTATATATTTTTTGATAGTATGGACATCTTAAACAATTAATGATATAACAATTAATGATATAACAGCAAAAATGTTATGATGGCTAGAAATTAAATGACAGACCCAAATGTATTTTTTACTTTTTTCATTCTGTTCAAATTTGAATGGGATTAAATTACATTTTCCTTTTTTCACAAAAATATATATTCACCATGCTTTAAAATCAGGTGATTCAAAAGCCTTTAGGAATGATTGCAGTGGATTTCAATGAGGGAAAACACATAAAGCTATCATTTGGGATAATCATCAGCATTGGTGCTGACACTGGTTAGGTAGTGCCAACATATTTGGGTTTCCACACCATTTCCCACTAGGCTGATAGTAAAGTAAGCGTTAAAGACATAGGGATCTAGTATCTCTCTTTTGAAAACTTTCCCCAAATGTACGATTCCATCTTATGTGGATTCTAGCATGGTAAGGCTTGAGGGTTTTTTGTTTTGTTTTGTTTTGTTTTGTTTTTCCAAGGATGGTAAAAAAAGAAAATGTGAATTATAGCTTGGTAATTGTACGAGTCTATTTAATTATGTTTTAAAATGCTTTAAAGTCTTTAAATGGCCAGTCAAAATTTGTGATTTTCCCATTTGTGAATCAGTATTCTATGTGTCTGCAGAGGGCGGGAGATAATTTTGCATTGTTTGTTTGGGTTTTCCAATTACAAGAGTTTAGTTTTTCTACTAATTTGATTTAATTTTTTTTCATCTGTTGTATTTTCAGTTTAGCTAATGTTGCTGGTCCCTTCCTCTCTTCTACACAGAAATGCTAAAATATATAAGACCCTGAAACTAAGCCAGTCACTTCCTGCTTCCTAGTTCTTTCCTAATTTTTTTTTCCTGTGCTGATGAATATTCTGGAAAGGTAGACTAAATTAATTTCTTTCAAAGTTTTCTTTCATTTCCATCATCTGAGTGAAAACACTGTTATCTAAGGGCACTAACAATTTATTAATGAACAAACCCACAGACATTTTCTTAGTCTCATTCTACTCAGCTTTCATGTATACCTTTAATAAATATTTGTAATCTCTGTACCATAATCCATGTATTTCACTAGTCACTGGAAGTGACTGAAATTGGTGAATAAGGTAGAATTGAGTCTGTTCATTTATGGAGTTTTGGAACAGTTAGGGGGTGAAGTAAATGTTGGAGATCTATCTTAGGTAAGATGGTCATTTCTGAGGGGATTGTATTTGAGCTGAAAACTGAAAAATAAGAAATAAACTGCCATGTGATTTTTGAAAACTGCATCCCTGAAAAGGAACAGAAAAAAAGGATCTTGAGGCACAAAGGAGTTACACATGTTGCAATAACTGCAAGAAGAAAACTTAGGGAGACATTTGTCTTCCTTGGCCTTGTTAAAACTTAACATTGGTTTAGTGACTCAATACTCTGCTGATTCTCTGATCTGCTGATCATCTTTTCTTTAGTTATTGTCTTCTGTGTAGGTATATTCTTTCCAGGCAAGAGAAAGAATAAATAGACCATAAATGCTTTGCTGGGAGCTTAATGACCCGAAAAGACCTGATTTTTAAAAATTTGACAATTCAAGAAATAAAATGTGCAATGTGAGTATGAGGAAAAATTACATGTACAAGTTAGATCTGGCTCCAGCAGTTGCAGACCTAACAGTAAAACATCTGCCACAGTCATTGGCATAGACTAAGTTTTCCATGCTCACAGTTCAGTGTGCTGGTTGAAAGCCTGAATACTCAACTGTGCTCCCTACGATCTCAGGCCCCACCCAAATCTACTGAATCAAAATATATGTTTTCACAAGATCACCAGGTGATTCAAATATACATTAAAATTTTAGAACCAGGAGGGCTTGGAGTCAAATTGGCTGAGGTTTAAAGCCTGGTCCTCCTTCTTATTACCTATGTGGCCTTGCCCAACTCAACCTCTTAGAATTTTAATCTATATCCCTTTGCTTTTGTTACCAAAAGCATATATTTACTATGCTTTGAAGTCAGGGATTTAAAAGCCTTTGAAAATGATTGTGATGGCTTTCAAAAGCACAGATAAAGGATATGTGTAGGTGCTGACAATGATCAGGTTTGTTGGAAGGATCAATAAAATAATGTGCATAAAGCCGTTAGCACATAGTTTACAGTGGTTTCCAGTATGTGCACAATACATGATAGTGAAGCTTCTCTTGTTCACCAAACCAATTACAAATTAACCAACAATTTAATGACTTTAGATAGAGTTGGGTATGGTTAGCAGAGAACAGGTGGCAGTACTTATTATCTCCACTGTTGAGTAACCTGCTGGGATACACATCTTATGACACATAACAATTATTTTCTTAATTCATTTTCCTAATGATGGCTTTAGCTGCATTTTCAGGGAAACCTTGTCAGGTATGTTCACATTGTTCTATTCACCAAACCTGGTAAAGCTAGAAGATTAAGGGAGTCAGATAAAATAGGAATTCAAAGTTCCTTCTAATTAAATTATTCTGGTTTTTAACCTGCTAGAGAATGAGAACAAGACCAAGATTGCTTGAAATTGTTTCTCTGCAGTTTCCAAATCTTTCTGGAATCATGAATGCCAGCAGAGCCACATCATAAAAAGATGGGCCACTGGACACTAGTGAGAGCCTTCAAAGATGTCTCCATCTTTGCATAATAGTATGTTGTACAACAGAGCCTGGGAGCTCACTGCATTAAAACACAAACAAAAAAACATAATAGTCTGATTCAATCCACAAAGTATTGAATACCCACAGTTTTAGGAACTCTGTTAGTTTCTGGGGAAAGAAAGGTGAATAAAAACAGGTACTCTACCTTGAAGAATTAATATTCCAATGTGGCAGTAAAGGCAGACTCTGAACATGTCGATAAAAATGTTTAGCTCTTCAACAAAACCTCTGTTTAGGAATGCGAATCAACTATTAAAAATACAGCATGGCAGATCCATAAATGCAGGGACTCAATCCTGCCCTCAATAAGGATAGAATATAAGAAACTATCCGATACCCTCCATAAATGCAGAGACACAATTCTACTTAGAATTCTACTTAGAATTGAGTCTCTTCATTTATAGAGGTTATTGGATAGTTTCTTATATTCTATCATCTCATATTCTATATATCATCTTATATCCTATCATGTTTCTTACATTCTTATATTCTATCCTCCATATCAATCCCAGAAAGAGGTTTGTTATACAGTTCTGAAACAGTTATTCACCTGCTTCCTTGGACTGTTCATCACTGCCATAATATTATGTATAAGGAACCCACTTATCTTGGCTTGACTCCAGTGCTTAACCCATGCATGGTACTCTCCATTCACTCCAAAACTTTCCAAGTATGTCCATTGCCCTGGTAGCTGTTTCCTTACCCTGACCTCTTCTATTTTTGGTAACTTTTTAGACGTCACTCATAACTCAGCTCAAATGTCACCTTCTTCAAAAATCTCTATTTCTTAATCTTCCTTGGAAGACCTAGGCTCCTATTGCTTTGTGGCCCTTTCCACGCTCAGGACTCATTATCCATTAAACTGCAGTTATTTCTTTCCCAGACTCTATCTCCTTCTAAAAATATAATATTTCTTGCTCAACTTTGTATCTCCAGCAGCTGGTAATGCATCTACTGTTTCATAAAAGTTTGTTTAATGGATAAGCAGAGATTAACTACATGAGTTATTTGTCAGATATTGATGCACATTTATTGTAATGCCCAAACCAAAAGCAGATTGAACTTACATAAGCCAGGAAGTCACATACTGACTTCAGCACAAAGGAAGTTTGAATATTTTCTTTGGATACTATCAGTGATCTTTAAACATGTTAGTTGATTAAATGTTATTATTTAATGAAGTCAATCTTGATTCCATAATATACTTATTTTATGCCCTTCATAGCCTCTTTTAGACTCATCATCAATGTCACTTATCATAGAAGGAATAGAAAGAATGTTTTTTTTTAAATTTTTATTCTAAAGTACATCGGATTTCTGACAAACCAATGAACTTGAAGAGTAACAATGTGTTTTTATATATAAGAATTTCCAGAGGGGACTATTGATTGCAGTCTAACAAACACAACATTATTTACCTTGGCATCCAAAATACAATATTCCCTTTTGAAGGTCAATTAGATTTGGGAAGAAAAATCAACCCAAAACATATATGGGTGAATAAAATGGTTATCAATCTAGACAGTCACATCTTGCATTAAAAAACGTCCAAAGTGACTATAAAATAATGAAGCTAACTTCACTGAGTAGCTTGTGAACTAATTCTGAAACAGCTTTGAAGACAAATAAATATAACTGGCTTTTTAAAAAGATGTTAATTTGACTGTGAAGGTACTCAGTTTTATATTTTGTACCATACGTATTTATTAAGTCCTTTATCTAATTCATTCTTTCATCCAAACCCACTGTGTGGCAATCATGATCTAGTCTTTGGGATTACAGCAGCACACACAACAAATTTTATGTACTCATAAAACTGAGCACATCTGGTGTTTGGAGATAGGTATCCAACAAATACGTGATTTGAAAAATGGTTATAATTGCTAAGATGAAAAACAAATCAGGGTAAGAGGACAGAGGGTGATGCAGGACCTCTGTGATTAGATGGCATGGTGGAAGTGAATGAAGTAAAGTAGCTGGCTTTGTGGATATCTGGAGAAAGAGCCTTCCGGGTAAAGGGGATGGTAAGAACAAGGACCCTAGGCAGAAGTCCACTTGGCATGTATGAACAACAAAGTCTTTATGACTGGATTGAAGTGATAAAAGGGAAGTTATAAAGCTATAAGGAAATGAGGTTTGGGAGCTACCCTGGGGTTAGACAATGTGGTGTCTCATTTTGGATTCTTTTCTGAGTGAAGTGAGAAATTACTGGAGGGATTTTAGAAGAGGAGTGACACGGTTTAACTTCTCTATATCTAACAGACTGTGGAGCAGTTATTCAAAACTCGGAGGGAGTCGGCATGGGAGGATCCATATAATTTCACGCTAAATTGTGCACGTCTGTTTGTGAAATGTGAAGGTGCACATTTGTTTTCCTGGAAGGCAAATTTCATTTCTTATACCACCTTGTCAGAAAGATCTGTGATCCCAAGGAACTGCTGTTGTAAAGAAACAAGGACAAGCAATTTGAGGCAAGAAATGATGGTTCCAACGAGGGAGGGAGTAACCATGGATATGCTGAAATGCAGTTGGTTCCAGGATTTATTAGGACATGATTAGTTTGTAATCATCCCTAAGGTATGTATGCATCTATTTCCAATGTGGGTTTAAGTCCTTAATAATATTGAGTGACTTGAAGCAAAAGTTGGACTCATGTCCCATCTTTGTAAGCTGTGTGATCTTAGCATCTCTCAGTATAAACTTGCTTAGGTACAAACTGTATTTTTAAGGGGATCATAGGTAAGCTGTAGCTAAGTATGCTTCGTTGATAAAAGAAGTTTTGAGTACAGTGCCTAAATGTAAAAGCACTGGAATCACAATCCTGAGAGCTTCATCATACTGCTTCCAATATTTACTAGGCGTGCAACATTTAGCAAGTCACTTAACCACTCTCTGGCCTTTATTTCTTCATTTAAAATAGGAACACTAGTTTACCTCATAGGGATTTCTGGAGGAATGTAACAAAATAATTAATGCAAACTGTTTTTCACAGTGTGTGCCATATAGTAAGCACTGAATAAAGTCTAGCACTTTATTCAATTGTTACCTATTATGATTTCATAATTTGGATAAAGCACCTCTAAGAGCTAACCAACAACAATGCCAAAGGAGTCTCTCTAATAAGAGGAGCCTACTATCATGAAATTAATACTGCCCTCTTTAGTTGAAGATGCTATTGCTTTTAGTAGAATATTCCTTTTGAGTTATTTGTTCAAGACAGAGAATTTCTGAGTTCCATTGTCATTGTCTGTGCAAAATCATCAGCTTAGGATAGGTGGGGACACTTAAAGGTATAGAAAAATAAATTGGTTAGAAACATGAACAATTTCATTATACCTGGAAAGTGCATGGGCCATTTTCATGTATGTCTCTTGTTACTAGACATTAGATACCCTGAATTACTAGAGATATTTTTCAAGGACATTTGAGACTACCCTAATGTTTTCAGACAAATTTCTTCCATAAATCAATGTTTACACCAATCTTCCTAATTTTAGCCAAACTAAAAATTACAAATAGGGATGTTATTGTGATTTTAGGTCCATGTTCTGATACTTAATATGCATGATAGTGTTCTCTGTATATACTTACTGATTTTCTGACAGACAACTGAATCTTTTGTTAATAAAAGCACAATGATTACAAGAGAGAGATCAGGACTTACCCCCCGCCCCCCCACCAATTCATGCCTTGACTTTATGAAACTGAAGGTATATTTAGGAAATGTTCATCGAAATTCTATTTGTTAAAACACTTTGAGAGACATGCTCAGTGTCAGCGCAATATTATGGATGTATGCAGTATTTGAGAAGACGTTCAATTAAGAACTTTGGGGACCTTCTGGCAAAAGCTATATATAGGCCAGTTATGACCAGTTTTGAACATCACTTTATGTTTTCACTTGGTTAAGTATAGCATAGCCACGCATGGTACTCCTCCATGAGACAGATGAACAGAAGGACCATGTTCCAAAGAGAGCAGCAATCTGTTGCTGTTAGCTTTAAAGGATTCTTCCCCAGCACTTGAGAGCTGGGATTTGCAGGCCAACTTTTGATTACTTTTTCCATCCCTTGAAGTTAAATTTTTTTAAAAAAGGTTGATTACTGCCATTTATTGAACTCTTACTATTTTCTAGATGCTTTACATACAATTACATATAATATGAAAATCTTGTGAGGTAGTTTGTGTTATTAGCATCTTCAGATGAGGAAACTGAAGCACTAGGAGATTGAATATTTAAAGTTTCACAGGTAATAGGAAAAACTAGAGTTCAAGTATAGTTTTGAATGATTCCATCGCTCTGCTTGATAATACACCATACCATTTTTTTTACAACAAGGTGGGTGAGCAGTGGATGGCTCTATATATCATATGTCAGGAAGTTTGGATGTTGACCTTTGGATTTGAGACTAAAACTAAATTCATTACTGCATGTGACTGATTTCATGTTAGCTGTGATCTTTAACTCCATGGTAGGGTTGTGGTGCAAACAATCTTACAAGAAGCAGTAGTCTTGGGTCCTATCAGAAATTTACTTGGAAGGAAGGAAAAGGACTAAGAGAAGGAAGGTCACCTTTTTCTGGGAGAGCCAGAAGAATTTTCCAGTGGCCTTTTTGCCTGTGAATAATATTGTGAGGTGTATCCAGCAGCAACATTGAAGGATTTCAGTTAACTTTTGTGTTTGAAAGACTGTCCATTTTCATAAAAATACAGAGAAGAGCATTGAGAAAATAACTACTTGGCAAAGGAAAACCAAAATAATATTTTTCTGAATGTCAGATGCAAGCAGAACATTCTTTGAGGCACAATAGAAGTAAATAAAATTAAAGATACATTTATTGCCTATTTTAGAGGAGTGAAATCCGATATATGTGGCTGTGGGAAGGCCTGTTGCACTTAGGAGGTAATAAAAAGTGAAACACATAACCATGGTATAGCAAAGTAATCGTTTTGTAGATAAAAAAGGGGACCCCTGAGTCCTGACCTGTTTTGCAGCTACTCTGCCTAAAAGATATAATATTCAAAAACCTTATGTATGTGGCAGTCTCTGATCTCATTAACCCCTCCTTGAATGTGGACTCCTGAGGCTATAAAATTCAGGCGTATTTCCGTGAAGGTTGAGGTGGACAGCCTGGGAGCCATGCCATCTGTATCACCAAGTTTTTCAGGTTGAGAAGCAAAGCTAAGGTAATGTAATCTCAGCTCAATACGATGTATCATTTTTCTCTGACTCTTGATCCTGGATTGGCTTCTGTAGTCTAACCCAGCTCATGGGGGTACAACCACAGGTGTTAACAGGAAATCAATTAACTTGCAAAAAGGACTGAGCTGAGCAGGGCTTGACATTAGTTCAGTGTAGTGCTAAAAGAAGTGCTATCACTTGAGTGCATCTTTTAGAGTGAGGCAAAACAAGGTGAGATGGAGCAGCAAAGTTTTATTGTTTTTTGGGAGAATCCAATCATTTCCCCGTCCTTCCATTTATTCATTCGTTCATTTCAACACAATATTACATGTTAGAAACATACCAGTTCTTAAGGGAATGGAGAAATGTATCAAATAGAGCCTTTGTCCTCGGTAATCTGGTAATATAGTTGAGACATAACACATACAAGAAAGTTCAAAGGTCATTGGGTGTTACGGTTATGAGATAACTAATGAATAAAACGTTGGCTGTTTTGGCAGACTGGCAGAGTTATAGACAGAAAGAATGATTTCCTTCAATGTTGTTCTGATGTCCAGAAATGGAAACAAAAGAAGCAGATTATTAGAGTGACCAGGTGTGGTCACTAGCCTTTAGAGGTGGTAAAAGATTTTAATTTACAGTGGGAATCACTTTATAATAGCCAATCATGACATTCTGAGTGAACAGGACTCAAATGTAGATGAATTAGGAAGAGATCAAGAACTGGAGTAACAAAGTGAAGAACTTCCAGTTGAGGGCTTATGGGAGACTAACTGAGTGAAGAGATTAAAGTAATAAAGCAAGTAGTCCAAGTATGGACTTTCCAGCATGTTTTTGACATGAAAGAAGCTGGAGGTCAATGAAATTAAGTGGTCTATGGTATTATCTATTTGAATGTAGAAGCCACTGACCTCAAAGTGGAATAGAACCGAAAAGCAAAACTGAGTTATGTGAGTTGTATAGGAAGGTAGCCATGAGTTCATGTGGATGTAAGGCAACACTAGCAGGGATTGAGAGGTGATATTGACAGATGTAGAAAGAGGGGAGTAATTTAATATCTTGGAATTAACAATTGGGAAGGAAAAGAAGGTATTTATATGACATTCCATGTCAAGAGTTTGGTAGAATGTGGAAAGGTGGGAACTCCATGGAAGAAATGAATAAATAGGTCATGCTTTTAAAGGAGTAGCAGGTCACAGGTCCAGAAGACAGAAGGGTGCTGGCTATCTTAAATTAAGTGTGGAAGTACCAAATATGAATCAAGAAAGGAGAACTAAGTTTAAAAATAAATGTGCTAAACCAGTAAATATGTATTTATATGAGTGGTGGAATATATATATATATATATATATATATATATATATATGCACACACACATACAGATAAGATGTTATATAATCAGTTCATATATATGTGGTGGAAGAGCTGATAATATATCATCTTATCTATCTATACCACTCTCTTAAATATTAGCAGTTCTCTCACCACCTCAGATACCCCTGAAATGCTTGTGGGTCACAGAGATGTCAGTGAAACATGACATTGCTATTACCTCACTCTTTAATATCTCATCATGTGTTTTTCTCCTTAAACGAAACACCCTACTGAATGAACTACAATCATCAATGTAACCTGAACTTTGACAAATAAGTTAATATACCTACCAGTAACAGTAACATTGGTCTACTTGCAAGAATAATAAATACACAAGAAATCTGTAATTTTTATAGCTGAAGAAAGAGCCTGAATAAATGAATAAATAAACAATTGGCATATGGGAATCTTCAAATGTGGCTAAAAATTCTAGTTTCTTTGGAATTTATGTGTCTGGCTTGCTTTGTGTGTTGAGGTTTAGCTTGTAAAAGCACTATATAAAAATCTCTGAACTGTTAGAGTTTTCTCTGTTATAACACTGACAAAAAGGCTCATTCTTAGGTATGTAATTAAATTTTTTTAACTATTAAAGCAACTTATTACCTTGCTTTAATTGCCATTATTTAGTCACCCTTTTTTTGTCTGATTTGAACTTTGTCAGCAGAGAGATTTTGGATGAGAAGAAGTAAGTTAACATTTTGCATCAACCTTGGTATTATGTGCAAAGGGTAACAGAAAAACTCTGAGAGAAGGACCAGAATAATTATAACAAAATTCCACAATAAATCTATTCACTATGCTGTGGAATAAGATTTTATCTTCTGAGTCAAATAATATTCCCTATGCACATAAAAAGCAAAATCTCTTCTGTTCTAAATATCAAGGAAGATCTACCACTTGGTAAACATGAGATTCTCATGGATCATTTGCTCATCAATTAAAAAATAAAATATTTTTTACTCTTTGGTTGAAAATCTGAATGTCATACCTTTTTTCTGCAGTGTGAAACCATGAATCTCTACTGCATCATATTATCCTGAATTTAAAAGGCATCACATTAGTAGTAATCAATAGTATACCAGGTTTTCACTTCCCCCAAAATACCCAGAAATTTCTCTCATGCTTTTCTGAGCGATCCCAGGAAATGGCTCTCATGCTGTCAAGAACAAATCCTTTTAACCTCAACAAGACAAGGTCACCCACTTTTGGGTACAAAGTTATCAGTGCCTCTAGTCATAGAATCTAAGCAAAAACAGGGGATCAGATTATGCCTTCTGCATTTCCAAGATCTGTGTCTGTGTTAAGTTGCTGCTCTGGCTGGGGCCACAACACTACACCATACTGCAGGAAAAGACTAGAACATTGGCCATCCAAACACAGTTGGATCCCTTAACTAAGTATCTTTGAGCAAGACATGAATATAGCCACTCCCCGCTAGAAGTTTGGGGCTGAATCTTCCAAACACCTGCTGCATTATGAGGTGATTACAACCCATGATGCTTGCAGGAAAATTCTCCCGGGGAAGATGATTTAATGAGCAAAATTTAGCAAACACACAGATAAAACAAATGTCATTAAATCTTGCCTTTGAGGAAATAGTAATCAGAATGCTAATCATTACAACAATAGCAGCTATTTATGAGCACAAATTATGCACCAGGTATGGTACTAAATGCTTTGCAATTATTTCTCATTATTGCCCTTACAACCCTATGCGATAGGCACTACTATTTTTGCCCTCTTATGGATGAGAAAAGTGAAAGAAGATTAAATAATTACATGAGCAAAGAGGTACTAAATGATGGAACGAGAATTAGAACTCAGGCATCCAACTCCAGTGTCTACATTCTTTGTCACTTCGCTCTATTGCCATCTGAAAGGACTTTGGTTTACATATAATTAACATTTCCAAACAGATTAAAGAGTAAAAAGCATAAATAGAGTAATTAAAACTATTTAGGTGGTTGTAAAAACCCATTAAAGCATGTAAATTAAAAATATGGCAATTAAAATAAAAGTTCAAATGATGAGCCAACTGGAATAACGGATATAACTGAAGCCTGAACTAAAACAAACATTAAGTTGAAGAAATGCCTAGGATTCCGTTCAAAAAAGGAAAAGATATTATTAGAAATATTAAGAAACATAAATGAACTCATCCAGAAGCTCCAACATAAGACTAGTAGGAGCTATAAAAGGAAAGTATAGAGAAAATGGTGATAAGCCAATCTTTGGAGATATGATAGCTGAGATCTTACCAGAATTAATAAAGTATCTGAGTCTTTAATTTGAATACAGTATCCCAGAGTGCTGACCAGGCTTTTAAAAAAATCACCCAAAGCCCCATACCAAGGCACATTATAATGAAATCAAGTACAGGATCAATAATAGAGAGAACATTCTAAAATACAATAGAAAGAATGCATTTTTTATTAGTGTTAATCTTAATTCAAAAGATAGTGAAAATGAACTGCCAAAGTTATCTGTAAAAATATCTTAGAAAGTAGAATTCTACCACCTGTCAAAGCTTCATTCATTAATCCAAATCAAGTAAAGACATTTTCTGATGTATTAAATGAAATTATAACTGTGCTTGGCAATAAATATCTTTGAAAACTCTTGGCTATTATTGCAACAGCTATTAACTCCCGTTCAAAACTGTACAGGACTTAGTACTACATTTAGAAAGACCTTAGACAGTACAAAATGAGATAAATATTTTAAAATGTAAAGAAATTTGGTAACAAATTTATAAATGTTAAGTTGATCCAAAGTTAATTTAAAAAGCATCCAAATAACTAAGTCTTTGGAGGTTTTCCTTCTCTTCAGCAGGAACAGTATCAGCAAATTATTACTTTCCGTTTCACAGGAAACTCAGTATTATTTTTGTCTTGTGATGTGAATGCCTTGTGATATTTTTATTTTTAACATTAATGTTTTTTATCAGAAATATTTTTCTCATTGAAGCATATAACATTTTAATGTGTTGCCTCTGTCTTAATATGACTCATTACATTGAAGAATAAATATTTCCACCAAAGTAAGTCAATGGGAAACAGAGTGTGCACTGTAGAAATTTACTTTGGAATAGATTTTTCTGGAATGATTCTCTTCCACTATGTGAATGGGATCTGTGATTATAAAAATATTTGAGCATCCTCTGTATCAGGGTGTTTCTTGTTGCAAAAGAAGTTTTAGATAGAAAAAAAAAAGATTGTGACTAGTGCCTGTGCTGCTGTGCTACTATTTTGTGTATCTGTTCAAAGAGATTGACATCCTCTTAATTTTTTTCTTTTTTGAGACTGGGTTTGGCTATGCTGCCCAGGCTAGTCTGGAACTCATGTGCTCAAGCAATTCTACTGCCTCAGCCTCCTAAATAGCATAATCTTATCTTAATGGATGAATATTAAAGTTCTAGCAATAGTAATTTGGAGTCAAGGCTTACTTGATTTCAATGCTAATTTTAATTTCACTAATAGAGTTAAGAAAGGGAAGAAAACCAGAAAATAGAGTCAAGGCACAGGTTAGTGAGCATTTGAGCATCTCTTCCCAAATTTGTTCTTACAGATGCTGAAGGTCAGGAGAGGAAGGTTTCTCCAGCACTATTTCAGATCCTGAAGTAATTGAGATATGGTCCTATTTACCACCATGCCTATCTAACTGAGCACTGTTGTCTACTTTCCTTAAAACATACTATATAGGAAAGTTATTTTGCTATTTTTTTATTTTGTGTCTTCAAAGACATTGAAAGCAAGTAAAACATATATGTTGGTAAAAGTAAATGACTTAAAAGTATGGCCCATTTGGGTTGGTTCCAAGTCTTTGCTATTGTGAAAAGTGCTGCAATAAACATACGTGTGCACGTGTCTTCACAGTAGAATGATTTATAATCCTTTGGGTATATAACCAGTAATGGGATTGCTGGTTCAAATGGTTATTTCTGGTTCTAGATCCTTGAGGAATCGCCACACTGTCTTCCACAATGTTTGAACTATGCCCTTCAATGATAGACTGGATAAAGAAAATGTGATATAAAAAGGATAGTTCATGTCCTTTGCAGGGACATGGATGAAGCTGGAAATCATCATTCTCAGCAAACTAACACAAGAACAGAAAACCAAGCATCACATATTATCACTCATAAGTGGGAGGTGAACAATGAGAGCACATGGGCACAGGGTGGGGAACATCACACACTGGGGCCTGTCAGGGGGTGAGGGGCTAGGGGAGAGATAACATTAGGAGAAATACCTAATACAGATGATGGGTTGATGGGTGCAGCAAACCACCATGGCACATGTATACCTATGTAACAAACCTGCATGTTCTGCACATGTATCCCAGAACTTAAAGTATGTATAAAAAAAGTATGGCCCATTATTTTTATAGCCATGCTGTACTAACATGTTACATTTCTTGCCAATAAGGATGGAGATAAAAACAGAACATGAAATTGGAACCTGGAACAAAGCGACTCATTATACTGTATTTTCTCTACATTCAACCATAAATGCTACATTCAACCATCGTTCCTAATTTTCTTAAGCTTCTTAGCAGGAAATAAAGTTCTTGGCATCTCATTTGGCATGTGTATTTCTAGATAAAAGAAAGAAAGAAGGCTGATCTTCAAAGACTCTTTATCTTTTCTAAAAATGGCATTCATCGTTGCCCTTTTTATATGGGGTGAATAAAAATGACTCTTTATATTTTCAGCACATACAGCTTCTTTGGTACAGAATTATCCTGTGACACAAAAGACCAAAGTACATAATACTTGAAAATAATGAGCAATAACAGTTTCCTCCACCAAGATAATGGCTTTATTCTTCTTTAGCTCCACTAATCCAATGACAAAAGTCTCAGCACGTACAAAAGAATGAAATTCCTCTTCATTGTCCCATTTGAACAAACCTGGAGAGATTCTAAAGGACAGGAGCGGATATCATCAAAGGTAATGCAAAGGATTCTATAAGGACCATGAGAGAGCCTTCCATTTAATCTTGAAAGTAGCAGAACCTCCTCAGGAAGTGGAACAACACATTAAAGAGATAGACTCTTAACCCAGAGAGCAATTTCTAAGAATAGACATAGTTCCCATTCATTGAGTGTTTATTAGATGACAGGCACTTTGCTACTCATTCCGAATGCATTTTCTCATTTAATGATCTCAATGAGTATGCCCCTTTGGTACTATGATGATCATATTGAAGAAACTGTGGCATACACAGGTGATTGTGCCCAAGGTCATATAACTGACATATTGGAAACTTAGGTAATCATATCCAAAGACTGGCTTCCACCAACATCCATCCTTTTAATCTTAGTTCTATAGCAACATGGAGTTATAATATACATCCTAATCCATTTAATCAGCCTCACACTCGGAACCCAAATCCCTTTTTGCAGCATTCCAGACATGTGCCTGTACTAGCCTAAACAGAGTTTAACAAACATTCCTAGTGATGGAGAGGTTGGAATGAGAGAAAAAACAAACAGAAACATGAAAAAAAAAAAAAAAAAACCACTGTTCTTATTTCACACATAATAGTTCTCATAGGAATTTGAAAGATGGATATCATTACAGCCACTTTATAAGTGAGGAAACTGAGGCTCAGAGAAGTTGAGGAGTCAGTTTTAGGTCATTCTACCAAAAATAATGGAACTGGTTCTCATTTGATTCCAAATCTGAAGTTCTTTCTTTTTTACCAGGTTACCTACCTCTGAAGAGACACTAGTAACAAGTCATTGGTTCCATTTTTGAATAGTTATGCAGCAAAATTTCTTTAGAGTGAACATTTTTCACATTAGGGTCACTAAGGTAAGCAAGTAGAACTAACATATTCTTTGAAGCTTCCACAAGTTCGTCATTGATCTTCTGCTGGAAGCAACACAGTGTAAGTCTAAGCTTTCTTTGAAATGATAGACTTTCAAATCTTTCAGGTGAGTTATATTTCTGTAGTAGCTAGGCTCTTTTTCAGGCCCCTCTTCTCTAGTTCTGCCCACATTTACCCCCAGGTTTCTCAAATATTACTTAAAACTATAGTTATTTTATTCTTACATTATTTAACACAAGCAACTATATTCCATCTGATCTGTGGCTTTGAAGATAAAAAGGTCTAAGAGAGACAATCTTCAGTGCTTCGTTATCTATGCTGCATATGGACAGAGTTCCAAGTCCTTTGCCATTTCAGTTGTGTTCTCAGTGGCCTCTGGATTGTCAATGATGTTCTTAAAATGTGTTATCCAGGACTGAGAAAACAGTACATGAGACCTGACCTTGTGCTCAACTTATATTTCTATTAAAATAGTGGTTGAGCCTGTAGGCCATGAAATCAGATGACTGGTTTCAAATTCAGGCTCAGTTATTTTCCAGCTATCTGATCTTAAGCAAGTTACTTGTTACTGCCTCAGTTTCTTCATTTTAGAAGGAATGAAATGTGACTGTCTATCTTAAGAAATCATTGTGATGATTATATGTTACCACCACATGGACCCATCTGTTCCAGTTTGTACTTGGAGCCTTTCCTTCTCTGCCATTATGAAGAATGAATGGTCCAAGGCTAAGCTTCCATTTTTGGCTCCTTTTGTTAATTCTGCCTTTTCTTCCTAACTCTAAATGTTGAAATACTTCTCCTTTTTCTTGACATTGGACCTCATCTCCATTTTATCTATGCTCTCTTCCTTGGTGAAATAATACAGTCACCAAGGCCATTATATACTAATTACTCCAAATCTAGGTCTCCCTCTTAGACCTCAAACTTCTGCAACTGCCAATCAACCTCTCCACTTACACGTCTACAGGCATTTCAAAAATAACATTTCCAAAACAGAGATCTTTAGTTTATCTCCAGAAGTATTTTGTCTACAGTTTTCCTCAAGTCTGTTCTTTCAGTTCCTTGGGTCAAAAACCTTATAAACATACTGACTACTCTATTTTTTTCACAACCCACATCTAAACTATGAGCAAATCAATCAGTGCACTAATTTCTACCTCTCTCAATAACTGTGTCCTTCTATAATGTGTTAATTATCTTTGTTTTAATAAATTCTAAATCATGCTTGCCTTAACCATTCTAGATGAAATGCAATTTTCATTACCTATCATATAGAAGTTGAATAGTTCTGTTTTCTGACTCTGCTCGTTCATAATACACCACCTGAACTAAGTAATGGGTATAATATACCCAAATACATTTGGACTCTTCAATATGGTCCTATTGAAGAGGCACAAAAGAATTCATTTGTGTGCTCCCTTTGCTAATGGTATTTTCAACGTTCATTTAGAAATGCATTTATAGTTATTTTATGAACAATATAAGAAAAATTAGTTGTGTACAAGTTATGCACCTAATTTTTGACTAAAAATGTTATCCATTAATTTATTTTTCTACTCTTACTTATTTCCAATAATCACCTTCAGTGTAACAATTTGCTACCACCTTGAATATTTAAACAAGTGGCCAAGAGTTCAAAGGGAATTTCTACAGCAGGGTTGTGAACATATTTTAAGTGCAGCAGTACTGACAGACTAAGCATATAGCTTTCTGAGGGAAATATTGTGAAGAGACAACATTCATGTGTGTATCTGTAGGTTGGCCCACAGTGAAAAAGTATTATCCATAATACTGCACACATATTTCTCATATCTCAATGCACTTTATACTCTTAGGAGGAAATCCCCTACTCATGGGCTGTTGAAGAACCTTAATCATTAGAATTAATAATTTTCGTGCAAGTAGTTTTATTTTCATATAAGGTTCCAGTTTCATATAAGGGGTTAACTTTCTCCTTAAAATCTAGTAAACCTGACTACATAAAAGCCAAAGCCATCAGGGAGATAGTGTTAAGAGTAGACACTTTCTAAGTTGAGATTTAAAAATAAGTAAATAACCACTTACCATTTGCTTAATATGTGCTAACTATAGTGTGCATTGTAGGAAAAAGAAATACAAGGAACAGACTCTTTTAAAAAAGATTACAGGGCTGGGGGTGATGATTCATGCTTGTAATCCCAGCATCTGGGGAGGCCAAGGCAGAGGATTGCTTGAGGCCAGGAGTTTGAGACAAGCCTGAGCAACATAGGAAGACCTCATTTCTATTAGAAAGAAGAAAGAGAAGAAAGAGAGAAAGAAAGAAAGAAAGAGAGAGAGAGAAAGAAAAGAAAGAAAGATAAAGAAAGAAGAAAAGAGAGAGGAAAGAAGAAAGGAAGGAAAGAAGGGGAAGGAAGAGGAAGGAAGGAAGGAAACAAACAAGGGAGGGAGGAAAGGAGGAAGGAAAGAAGGGAGGGAGGGAAGGAGGGAGGGAGGAAGGAAGGAAGAAAGAAGGAAGAGAGAGGAAGGAAGGGAGGAAGGAAGGAATGATGAAAGGAAGGAAGAAAAGAAGGAAGGAAGGAGGAGGGAAGGAAGGAAAGAAGGAAGGAAGGAAGGAAAGAAGGAAGGAAGGAAGGAAAGAAGGAAGGGAGGGAGGGAAGGGAGGGAAGGAGGGAGGGAGGAAGCCTATAGTGCAGGGCACTGACAACTGACAACTGAATATGTCAAACAGGAGCCTTTGAAATACCCTACCCAGCAAAAATCCTAAGAATGACACAAGAAGATTACAGATGCTCTGCAACTTGTGATGGCAATATGTCTCAATAAACCCATAGTAAGCGAAAAATACCTTGAGTTAAAAATGCATTTAGAATCCCCAATAAACCTATCATCAAGTAAAAAAAAAATCATCTAAGTCAAATGATTATAAGTTGGGGACCATCTTTAAACTATTTTTGAAGAGATCAGACTAATACCTGTGAAACAATATCTAATTAAACATTTTATAATTATATGCTATATGGTAAGATTTCCAATTTCTATAGAACTGTGAGGAGGGGTATCTACAAGAGTTGAAGTAGTTATAGAAGTTGGAAGATGAGCAGTGTACAGTTAAAAGGAAAATGAAAAATATTTATTGTTGAGTTAAAAAGAAACAAAGCAAAGCTGGGTGTGGTGGGTCACACCTGTAATCCCAACACTGCAAGGCCCAGGAGGGAGGGTTGCTTGAGGCCAGGCATTTAAGCCACCTTGGGCAATATAGGAAGAACACATATCAACAAAAAATAAATGATGACACAAAAAATTAGCTGGGCGTGTGCCTGTGGTGCCAGCTACTTGGAAGGCTGAGGCAGGCATATTGCTTAAGCCTGGGAGGTTGAGGTTGCAGTGAGCCATGATTGCACCACTGAACTCCAGCTGGGCAACAGAGTGAAATACTGTTTCACTCTTTCAAGAAGCCAGAAAAGGGAACAAAAAAAACAAAAAAGGGAACAATTGAACAGAGACTTGGAATTAAAATTCTGATTAGTAATTAAGGAAAATGAAGGAAAAACAATAGTTGTGATATAAAGTTTCATGGTTAGGCAAAATCAGAGACTATGTTTGAGACTATGTAACAAGGGTAGATTTAATTGAGAAGTGTCAAGTCTGGAGAGGAATTTCAACTTGATGTGGTGGATAATGGAGAATCAATCTGTTTCTGAGCAGGGCAGCAGTGTGATGAAATTGCACTTTAGAAAAGCAAATCAGCTAACGATATGTAGGATACAACAGGAAGAAGAGAGAACAGGGGCACAAGAACAGGTAGAAAACTCAAATAAACGAAGCATGAGTGAGGTCTTTGGGAACAATTTTTGGGCCTGAGGCACTTCTGAACAAATGCAGCAGACATCACTTTTAAAATAACTTAGAATTTTGAGTTTTGTGATTTTTTAAAATCTGGAAGTGACTTGTAGATATCATGTCACATTTGGAGGCATTTAATGAATAATTTTAATTTTGATATCAGTTTTCCATTTTTGTGCCATTAAGCCTTGTGTTTCATGTCTTAAATATTTTCAGAAAATGTTGAATAGTTGTCAGGCCCTATGTCTGTTGTGCTGGAAAATAAGATATTCTTGAACCAAAAGAGATGAAATTCCTTTGTCCTAGTGTTGTCCATACTTTAGTTGAAAAGGCAGAGACATGTAAATAACATATATACGGTGATAACACCTTAAGGGGCTCATTAATCCTCAGATTCCACTTAGTTACTGAAGTTTAATCATCTAAATATTCAAAGCAGATGTTTGTATTGTAGAACAAAAAATTTCTCTCTTCAATAATCCTTTGGTGTTTAAAACGAACAAACAACTAACTCAGCTTTAAGCAACTTTATACAACTTTATTTAAAAAGGGGTAAGAATTTGGGAATTTAATTAAAAAATAGAATTTACATGAATTTTTGTTATTGTTACTATCTTGAAATGGTTACCACTACTTTGCAAATAGAAGAAAATGGACCAGGCAGCTCTCTCAGCTCCAGTTCTTTGTGGTTTTGTTACAGGTGGGCTCTACCCTAATAGCTCTATCCCTGTCTTTATTAAAAAGAAGAAAAAAGATTTAGAAAAGATAAACCTGCACTTTGGGTGGCCGAGGCAGGTGGATCATCTGAGGTCAGGAGCTCAAGGCCAGCCTGGCCAACATGGTGAAACTCCGTCTCTACTAAAAACACAAAAATTAGCTGAGCATGGTGGCGCATGCCTGTAATCCCAGCTACATGGGAGGCTGAGGTAGGATACTCGTTTGAACCTGGGAGGTGGAGGTTGCTTCGAGTTGAGACCGTGCCACTGCACTTCAGCCTGGGCGACATAGGAAGACTCCATCTCAAAAAAAAAAAAAAAAAAAAAAAAAAAAGTTAAATCTAAACTTGTCCTAGAAGATATAGAAATGCAAGGCCTACTTCATTAAACATAAAGCTGCTTATTTAGTAGAACTGCATGTGCTGGAAAGGCCAAAGCATGCTCTACTTAGTGAGCAACACTCACAGTTTACAAGCAGGGGTAAGGAAAACAAGAGTTATTTAGGCAAAGCCTATTTTCTTCTCAAAATGTGTTTTGTGAGTTGAACCACTCAGGAGGATGAGGCACTACTTCCTGTAAATATGGTACTTGTTGTTCGATTACTTTTTTAGGTGTAACAAAGCAATATTAAGCTTACTGCAAATATATCCTATTAACTTCAATCAGATTACTTAGATTGATATACAAAAATAAGCCAATATTTTTCTAAATGCTCTAGCCTTAAAAATATGTTTATTGTATTTTAATGGTACTTATCATTCCAGAAATCCTCTGTGACATTCTGTTTTAGTGTAAAGTAAAGTACTGTTTCCAAAATGATGATGGGATGCTGCGTAATCCATAAACAGCATGTTACATGGATACAAAATAGGACACCTCTATATCTAGAGTGTTATAGTGCCATAACACTTGAAAATAAGAAATGACATACCAGGCTTATTATTATATTTGATATACAAACGACAGTGGAATTTTAGGCTTAAGAAACACTCTTTGATACATAAAATATACATAAAATAGAAGTTGAATTGCAACCCAGCCAAATGGTGGCTTCTGGATGACTATTTCACAATCTGGGATACATACTATTGATTGAAGCAAACCTAGCTTTAATATCGTGCTCAAAAAGTTTATAAGGAAAACTTAGGCTTTTATTTTGATAATGATGATGTAAGCAACATGTGTTACATAGGCGATAGTATTATCTCAATTCTATAAATGAGGAACTATCATTGTAAATGGAACATGAATACAAATTTTTTAATTTTAATAAAATGCGTTGCTTAGATGTATATTTAAACATAATGATTTCCCATATAAAGAGCTAATGAAAGTTTTCTTTAAAAATATGTATGAATTTATACATGTATACACATCAATACATACATAAATAATAAACAAGTCAATATTTTTTAATGATGTGCAGTTGTGGCAAAAATCATGGAAGTGGTACTAAAATACTAAATTTGAAATGACGGTTTAATGAAATAAGATGAGAGTCCTGCAGAAGACTACTTGAAAAATTTCATAAATGGTTTTCAGAATCTGATACATCTTCTCAAGAAGTGGTGTCATTTCTAATAATATAACTAAGATGTAAAATTCATAACATTTCTGAGATATTTGTTTTTTCTTTTCTTTTCCTTCCTTCCTTTTTTTCTTACATTCTTTATCTAAGTCTTTTCTTTTTTTTTTGAGAACTGACATTTGATATTCTTCCACGAGACATACAATCAAGGTCAGGAATTTGGGGAGATGTAGCTCTTATTTTTTTGGTTACTGTTTGTATTTAATCTTCTGCATTAATTTAATTAGGAAGGTTTAATCACAATGATACATCCACAAATAACATACTCACACAATAGCTGTAATAACTGCATAATTATTTCAGTTGCTCATTTAATGTTTTACTTGGTTACAATGCCATATATACCAAAAAAGATATCGTAATATCATTTAATTATAAAGTTTTCCATATACATAAATGAATAAAGAACATCAAAATAAAAAC